>NC_000003.12:135220725-135523755 GCF_000001405.40 Homo sapiens
ACAAGGGCAAGGCTGGTATTTTATTCATTAATTGTCTGAGTGTTATCTATAAAATGCGAATTCACAGCCCACTTGTGCCTGAGGCTGACCCCAGCATACTCACAACTTGCTACTCCAAGCCAGAGAGGACAAGAATACCTGCCTTGTCTTCATAGATTTTCATACTGTCTCTTAGAGGTGCATGTTTTGGGCACAAAATCCAGGGCTTTCTGGCCCATGACTTAGTCAGGAGTGGTCATGGGTCTCTCACTTTAGCCCTGTCATTTTGAAAACCTTTTCCTTTGGAAAGGAATTTGGCCCGTTCCAGGGACTATTGAAGACAACAGAAAACCAAAGAGCTAAGCAATTAAGTTTATGTGCTTCTAAATTGACATCCCCAATAAAATGATATGAAATGGCTTTGTAGCTGGATATTCTACCCTGAGAAATTAGAAGGGCAAAAGTTTGGCCAAGAAGGGGATGGGGAGTGGGTGGAAAATATTTTAATATCACTTTAAGATAGCATGTGTTCTTCCCAATTTTCTTCCCATTGCATAGGCTATGGTTCTATTATCCAAAAATAATGATTATTTACCTTACTATTCTATACTAGTTCTCTGTACTAGAAAATTATTTTAGTAAGCAAATTAGGCACCATCACTTAAACCTCATTATTCATTTTTGTTGTTGTTTATTTGTTTTGACTTTTGGTATCCATTACCGTACTAGTAATCATTATCTTCAATAATAAACACAGTGAACTCATTCTTTCCTTGTTCTATTTTTCAATGTTTTTATCACATTTCCAATCATTTAGCATAATAAGTCCCAGGAGCTCTAATGACAGACAATCTAACGCACAGGACTTAACAGGAGATAATTCTGAATGGTGGCCCCCTCAGCAGTTGAGGCTGAATTTTGATCCAGAAAACATGATTTTAGTTCTGGTTCTACCAGTTGTTAACTTGGAGTCAGTTACTATACCTCTCTGAGGCTTCATTCCATTATCTGTCAAAGGGGATACTATATTACGCCTCATGTACATCACATGACTACTGTAACGATGGAAGGAGACATATTGTTTTGAAATTCTTTAAGTAAACCCCTAATGTCCTAAAAATGTAACAAAATAAAAAATATTACAAAAGCTGATGAATTAGAATCACTAGTAAATGGTTCTAGATCTTAGTAAAATACTTTTACTTGATTTAGGGGGGAAATTATTTCAAGAATACATGACATTCTAAATATAATTATTAATAGCAATAAGCAGAACTATTTCTTTTCAGCTAATAATGCAAGTGGTGGGATCCTAATATAAAATTTCACCAATGTGATGCAAAGAGCACAAGCTTGGATAGCCAAAAATTTAAGATCAAAATTTAAACCCTGGCTCTGCTCCTAACATATTATTGTAGTAACCTAAGTGAGGTATTTACTTCATGAGCCTCAGTTCTCTAATATGGGGATAAGAACTTACATTTTAGTAGAAGTATGAAGATTGGATCATAATAAATATGTACAGTGCCCAGCAGAACAGTTGATGCCTAGTGGATGCTTGAAAAAATGTCCATTTGCTCTCATCTTCTCTGAGATGCCTCATAAAATGGGAATGGGGATCCAGCGTGTTCTGTTCCATGCCTGTTTCTCCAATGCAAACGCAATATGTGATTGGTAAATGGGGGAGTGATGCCAGTATTGTGTGGAAGTCCCGCGGTTCTCATATGATCTTTTCTAGGATATTTATATTTTGAAGCAAATAGGGGCACGCTTTCTTCCAATTAAAGAGAAAGCCTTAGCACAATGAGAAGACCATAAGAAACAAGTTGAACACTGAAGAGGGCCTTTCTTTCATGCAAATAGTGGCCGGCTTCGTGGTTTCCAGAGCCACTGTGTTTTTCACTCTGTTTTCTGATAAAACAGGGAGTAAACATGAGGAAATGGAACACATTTTCCTTTGTGTTAAATTTTAATTTTATGACAAAACAGTCTACACATTGGATTGGATTTTTAATTTGGATGAAACTGATCTCTGTGAGATGTGAATGCCCTCCTGGACCTATGTCTCCAAGAGGAAGCACAAAAATCCAGAGTTTAAGCTTGCAAAGGATCAGTGAACCAATACACTGGGTACAAATGCAAATTATAATTTACCTGTGCTGCTATTTTTATGAAGATTGCTGTGTTTTTTGTTAGATGTTGAATGGTCTCCTCCAAATGCATTTTCTCCCCATAGGCTCTGTTATTTTATTGTGCAATTTCGCAGAGTATGAGGTTTTACTAAAATATGTATATGAAATTATAGCAGAAATGCCTGTATTAGGAAATTACAGTCCAGTCAATCACATTCAGAAATCATGTACTACACTTAGGCATAAGAAATAGTTGAAACATCAGTAAGCCTAATCATATGAGACCATTTGACATCAAAATTAAGACACATTAGAACATATACTTGAATCAAAGGAAAGGAAAAATGTAGGCTCACCCATTATATATGAGTCTGTCCACATGGGAGATGTGGCCAGTCCTCTTCTCTCCACATCCTAGAGTTTTATAGGAATGGGCCAGGGCACTGCTGGGTACTGGGGAAACCTTGCAGGGCTCCAGACCACCACCTTGCTTCAACCACAGCAGCTCCTCTCTTACCTATTTTAGATATTATGCTTTTACCAAGGTTTCCTTTCAAACAAGTTTTGCCAACATGAGTTCAGTATTTGAAAAGTATAGGCCATCAAACCTGATGATAATGGGTTGTTTAATGTGGTCAACATTCCTGTCCCCAATCATACTTTTTCTAAGCTTAGAAGAGAGTTTACAAACCATGTCCAATACTGGCTTTTAAAGAAGAGTGAGAGACACTTTATTGTATTTTAGAAGTTCCAAAGCTAGGAGATTGTCCATATTGCATTTTATTTATTATCCGTATTTGAAGCCATGATAGAGATGTCTTGGCGCACTCCTCATTGGCTTCTCTATAAAAACAACTTCAAAAAGAAATGTCATTGTTTGGTCAGATAACTCTTTTAGATACCTGATCAATTAACAAGAGGATTTTTAAAAACTTTATTTGAATAAAATTTCAAAAAATTGTTTGATGAATAAGTCTACACCATGGATCAAAATATTAACATTGTTAAAACCAATCCCTACTGAAATAAATGCCCTCTGGAACCTTCAGTCTAGGATCAAGTATTGCATTTAGTTGTCATGTCTCTTTAATCTCCTTTAATCTAAAATATAGTTATGTGCCATATAATGATGTTTTGGTCAGCGACAAATCACATATACAATGCTGCTCCCATATTATATTACTGTATTTTTACTATACCTTTTCTGTGTTTAGATATGTTCAGATACACAAATATTATTGTGTTACAATTGCCAACAGTATTCTTCATAGTACCATGCTATACAGGTTTGTAGCCTAGGTGTGTAGTGAGCTATCCCATTTAGGTTAGAGCACATACACTCTAAGATATTTGCACAACAACGAAATCATCTAACAACATGTTTCTCAGAATGTGTCTCCATTGTTAAGCAATGCATGACTGGATTTCCACTGATTTTCTTTGCCTTTTATGACATTGACTTGTTTAAGAATACAAGTCACCTTTTTTCATTAATAAGACATTCCTCATTTGGCATATTTTCTGATATTTCTCATAATTAGATTCAGATTCTACATTCTTGGCTATAATCCTACATAAATGTTGTGTCCTTCCTAGGCTATTATATTTTGAAACACCTGATGTCCATCTGTTCCTTATTGGTATTATTACTTTTGATCACCTGGTCAAGGTTTTGTCCAATTTCTCCAATGTATAGTTATGTACAGTATATATTACATATTTTTCTCTTGTGACTAATTAGCAATCTACAGGAAAATAATGTTAGGCCATGCAAATATCCTGCTCCTCATAAAAATTCACCTCACTGCCCCCCAATTTCAGCATCCATTGATGAGTCTTATCTGAACTAGTCTTTATTATCACAACGGGAAAATAATGTTTTTCAGCTCCAGCCACCATATACCAGTGAGCACTTGTCATTGAAAAGAAGATATTTTGGATGGTAGTTCCATAATCCAGTCAAATGTTCCTTTGTTCTGCTTAGAAACCCAACCTAATGACATTTTGAACATTACATTCTCTTTGATTTTTACCTGAGAAGCTTTGGAATGACCTTTGGCCAAGAACATTAAGATTCTCATGTGTTTCCAGGCCGCTGCTCCCTGTTCTAGTCTAAGGCCTTTCAGACCTAGCTTATTCCATCACTCTCTGCTCTGCCTGCACCTTTGATTTATATCTGTCTGGGATTTACTTGAGGGGAGGGGAGAGCACGTTGAGGGGGGAAGCAGACAAGCTCCTCTCTGCTCCACTGATTTGCTGGCTGTTTAATTTCTGTTTCTGTCTTCACACCTACTCTGCTGCAGAGCTAGGATGCCCTGCCCCCACCTCCACCTGTCCTCGTTTCACCCACCCTTTGCCACAGGCAGTAAAATACAGCCCTGAAGGGCCCAGAAAGATGCAAGGCGTAATCCAAAAGATGTATCTCCCAATCCTTGGGAGATACTAAAATATTCCTGTAGGATGCAGAACCTCCAGGGTCAACAAGGCCCGATGGGAAGGCTTTTGCTTGCCACTGACAGATGTCACAGAGCTTAGGCCCTTCCCTGGGCTTCTCCTGACTTGTGGTTAAGGATTCTCTTCTGAGCCATCTGAGTTCCTGTGATGCCATCAAAATGAGTAAGTTCTCTAACCTTGGGAGACCATGGCATTAGAGAAAATGGAAATTGTTTGCGAGGCTCGCAGTTCATTAGCCTCATATAAAATGAATTTGGAACCCTCTGAAAAGAGGAGTTTGGGGGCTTCAGCTGAAGGTACTGCTATGACTCTCAAGATTCCATAAAACTCTGGAACTGAAGCCCCACAGTTCTTGGCAGAGCTTTCAGACTGTGGCAAGTTTAGGAAGGCCACACCTCAGGTGAGTGGGGATGATGATAGTGGCCACCAAGAGCCACAGGGAAAGGGTCCAGTCCCAGGTTGGAGGAGGGGAAACTGAGGTGACTCTGCCTCCCACTCTGACAAGCCCAGCTGCCCTTGGGACAGCCATACTGTAAACCGTAGGCCCAAGCAGGACAGGCAGGGAAGCAAAGACCAGGGTTCTAGACCCACCAGGCTGGGTGAAAGTTAGGTCTGGGAATGTGGGAGCAACTCCAAGGGCTGGTTTTCTAAGGAATGGGAAAATGGAAAGTAAATCTTAAAGTAGATCAAACAATAAAGAGATTAGTCAGTGGGGAAAGAACAGGTAAGATGCAAGCAGCATTTGCTAAAGCCTAAATCTAGCTGGGGAACCCCAGCTTACCCCCAAGTGGGGTTTCTGTAGTGCAGGCCTAGGCAGGCCAACGGCATCAGTGGCCTCAAGAATGAGGATTGGGGACAGCTGTGGGCAGCTTGGCCCATGGTCCAGCCTACACTACGGCTTGCATGCTGCTCTTGCAACCTGTGCCCTGTCTCATGGCAGTTTCCTCCCACATCCTGCTCAGTAGCTCTTCAAAGCCTTTGCCACACTCCTTATGTCCCTGCCCTACCGCGGCACTCTTCTGTCCCAGCAGCTGGCCTGGCTTCCTCTTTTATCACAGTACCTCTGAGCTTTCATGTGCTGCTCAGTAACAGTTTGTGGAATGAATTAAGAAATTCACGAACGAGTGACAGACATGCCCCTGGAGATCTGAGATATCAAGGAGAATGGTCAGTGTAGAATGGGGCAGGAGCCCGAGTACTCAGGGAGCAGTATGGCTGCCCCCAGGCAGCTGGGTTCTTCACAGTAGGAAGAGACCTTTCAGTTTCTGCTCTTCCAACCCTGAATTCGACTCTTTCCCTGTGGCTCTGCACGGCTGTGATAACCAGCCCCATTCACCTACTTTTGGCCTTCAAAACCTTCTACTTTCTTCCCCTACACCTGGGGGAGGAATAATCCCAGAACATGCAGGAGAAGGGGCTTATTGGTCCAACTTGGAAGGTTGTTGGCCTATCTGAAGAAAGAAATCTCTAGAATGCCATATTTTTTAAATGTTATTATGGCTTTATTTAAAAACCGATCCATCATTTTCTTAACACAGTCATTAAGGAAAAAAAAAAAGAAATCATGTCCTTTGCAGCAACATAGACGGAGCTGGATGATATAGTCCTAAGTGAATTAATGCAGGAAAGGAAAACCAAATACCACCTGTTCTCACTTCTAAGTGGGAGCAAAACATTGAGCACACATGAACACAAAGATGAGAATAATAGACACTGCAGACTACTGAAGGGTGGGGGACCAGGGAGACATGGATTGAAAAATCCACTATTCAGTACCATGCTCACTATTTGGGTCCAATATACCCATGTAATAATCTTACACATGTACACCTAAAATAAAATCATCTAAAATAAAATCTGAAATTTAAAAACAAATGAAGTGCTTCAAAACATCAAAAAATAAAAATATGTTTAAAGTAAAAAGTGAGTCTTACACATGTACCCCTAAAATGAAACCATCTAAAATAAAATCTGCAATTTAAAAATAAACAAAATGCTTCATAACATTAAAAAATAAAAATGTGTTCAAAGTAAAAAGTGAAACTGACTCCCCCTTCCAAATTCCCAGAAATTACTATCATTCATAGTTTGGTGTGCTTTCTTCTCCTCTTTACTGTGTGTGTGTGTATGCATATGTGTATTTTTTGTGTATACATTTTACTCTCAAAAAAATGGTCTCATACCATACATAATGATCTACTCATAGGCTGCTTGCTTTGTTACTTAATGACTTATCCTGAATATTACCTTTCCCCTTCAGCGCCTCACTTCATGCCTTTGGAGACAAGCTCTTTTTAAATGGTCATCTAGGTGGCTTCTGATGCTATGTTATTTCAAACAACATTTCAGTGAAAATTCTTATATAGACATGTCTGTGCACTCGTATGTATATTTCTATAAAATAAATTTCAAGAAGATAAATTTCTAGATCAAAGAATTTGCACATTAATTTTAAAAAAATAATGTCAAACTTAAAGAAAGTTCCCAGAATAAGAATAATACAGACAACACTCATATAACATTTGCCCGGATTCTTTACCTACTGTTATCATTTGACCCCATTTCTTTATTATTTGCTCTCTTCCTTTCTCTCTTTCTCTCTCTGTAAAATATTTTTTCTGAACTCTTGGAAGATACGTTACATACATCATCGCTCTTTATTCTTAGACTCTTCGTGTGTATTTCCGTATTTCCTAAGAATAGGGAGGGATATTCTCTTACATAACTATAGTACAGTTATCAACTTTAGTAATTTAACATGGATAAAATACTTTTAACTAGTCTACTATCTATATTCTAATTTTGTCAATTGACCCAAAAAGTATCTTTTTTAGCCTTTTTTTCGCTCTAGTACAGGATCCAGTCTAGCTTCTGAGACTGCATTTAGTTATCATGTTCATTTAATATCTTTTAATCAGGAAAATTTTCACAATACTTTTTAAATTTTTAAAGGATACCTTTCAAATATTGTGTAATAGACTCTTCCTCATTTTGAGTTTGTCTGATGTCCCTTCATGCTTAGATTCGGGTTATTTATGTGTTGCCTAAGTGACAGTGTGCCCTTCTTAGGGTATTGCTTCTGGAGGCACGTGATGTTTGCCTGTCCTTTGTGTGATGTTAACTTGTATATTTTAAATTTTGGTAGCTGTTTATTCCCCCAAAGCCTTTTGCCAATTTATATTCTTGCATAGCTTACGAGATTTGCCCATTTTCACATCCTCTTCCTCACACAGAGAGTCATCAGTCTTAGTCCCAGTGTAAATGTGCTTATTCATGCTTTATTTAAAAAACAAAGCATCAATGTTTTTTCCCATTTTACTCTGAGGCACTTTAATATTCTTAATATTCTTATCTCTCAACCAACGTTTCTCAACCATCAAAGATGTAGTAAACTGACATGCTCTTTTATATCCCAGAGCTCACTGAGAGTCGGGCAGTCTGAGGGGTGACAGCGTGGGTGGGGTGGGACCCTTGGCTGACAGGGACTCCATGCTCTGGGAAAGTAAAACACAAGCCAATCCTTTTGTTTTTCCTTTGGGAGATTTTTATCTGCCCTCCATATGCAAGGACACACTTCTCCATGTATCTTCTTTCCTTCTTTCCTGTCATCCAATATGAGGAAAAGGCAGCATGGGATCTGGAATGGGAGGTTTCAAGAGCACCCCCCCACTTTTTACCAGGTGTGGACCCCTGGTCACCCTCCTCTCCTGTCCAGTTCCCAGTGCCTGTTAAAAGAGACTCAGAATACTTGGTTTCATCCCCAGTATAGAAGATACACAGGAAGGAGCTGCCCTCCCAATACAGCCTTTGAAGCAGACTCTGCCCCTCCTTGGCCATCCCTCACCACCACCAGAGGAGGGCAGACAGCCCAGAGAGCAGGGCTCATGCAGGGAGGCAGGTGGAGCAGCTCCGTCAGCACTGGCACACTCTGCCAGCATTAGCTAACAGCTCCTCATACGCCCCTCTGAGATAATTAAGTATTATTATCCCTATTGGCAGGTGGAGACGGTAAGACAGAGTGTTTAAGTGACTTAGTTGTAACTGCTGGGATTGTTTGCGGGAGAAACCATGCCAAGAAGGAAGTGCAGTTCAGGAGGCCAGAATTGCTTAAGCTATTTAATGTGACTGATTATTTTTAAATAGCTGTTGGAGGGCGGGGGCAGGAAGAGAGACTAGAAGCATGGCCAGTGGACACTGGTAAGGCATTCAAACATTGCAATGAAAAGAAGGAATATACCTAGTGTGTCTCTTAAAACGGGTTGCCATAGACAGTCTGTCAGCTGCTTACCCCACATGAAGAGGAGAAAAAATAATTGAAGGCCATGATAAGGACAATAGAAAACACCCCACAGCCTTCCCACAGAGTTGTACAGAGGTCTCCAAGTTGGCTAAGCAGGGGCCAGTCTCCATCTGAGAGCCCCAACCTTCTCCAGAGACAGAGCATCCACTGGAATCAGCAGCCCCACCAGTAGCCACTCGATGTCAGAAGGACTTGCCAGCTGTATTGCCTGCCGTAGCAAGTGCAGCTTCACCTCAGAGCAGCAGGAAGCCCATGTAGCCTCCATGCACAGGGCAGGGACAGAATGGGAGAAGAGTCTGGGTGACCAAGGGTTGTTGGGGAGACACATGCGAAAGGTGGAATGGCATCATGGCCTACTGATGGATGGAAACCCTGGAGACATGGGGAAAGGCCCAGGGGTCACTGGTGTGGCAAACAGACTGGCTGACAGAGAGGAAGCTGTGGTCTCTTAGGATGAGCCTGGGGCTGAGGGTGGGCAGCAGTGAGGCATGGGTGCAGAGAGGCTCTGGGAAAAAGTACAGTTCCTGCCATTGTCAGAGAAGCAATGGATGAAACACTGGACGTGGCCTGGAAACAGAAGGGGAGATAGTGGGGTGGCCTCTGAGCCTCCTCCTGAACCCTTCTTGCCCCCTGTTCCATGGTCCTCCATGCCAGCCTGTCACCCAGAGGGCCTAGAGGCTCATTGTCCCCTCCCCACCTGCCTTGGAGGAGGGCATTTTTGTTTCAGCAGCAGGGCAAGTCCAGCCCTGCTTACTACATTCCTGATGGGATGCTGGCTCTCTCTGTTCATTATCAGTACCCCACCATCTAGGAGAGCAAAGTGTCTAGAGAAGCTAAAGCCCTTTGGGGTGAGTCCAGTTGCTCTTTCTCCAGAGCACTCACTTCAGGAACACTGATAGCAGGACCCAGGCTTCAGGGACTAAACAAGGAGAGAACACACCTGCACCATTATTTTTTATTTTTATTAGCAAGATCTAAATTAGGGTAATTTAATTTAAATTTTTAAAATAATTTTGGCTTTTACTTTAGATACACGAGGTACATGTGTAGGATTGTTACATGGGTGTATTGGACCCAAGTAGTGAGCATAGAACCCAATAAGTAGTTTTTCAACCCATGCCTCCCTCCCTCCCTCTCACCTCTAGTAGTCTGCGGTGTCTGTTGTTCCCATATTTATGTCTATGTGTGCTCCATGTTTAGCTCCCATTTATAAGTGAGAATGTGTGATATTTGGTTTTCTGCTCCTGCACTAATTCATTTAGGATTCTGGCCTCCAGCTCCATTCATGTTACCACAAAGGACATCATTTCTTTCTTTTCTATGGCTGCATAGTATTCCATGGTGTACATGTACCACATTTTCTTTATTCGACCCACCATTGATGAGCACCTAATGTTGATTCCATGTCTTTGCTGTCATGAATAGCGAGGCGATGAACATAGGATCTGCACCACTAAAGACCTGACTACCCCTGCGGGATTCCCTGGACAGTGTCCTCCTCAGGGCAGAAGGGATGCTGTTTCTTTGCCCTTTATTGTCCCTGGCCTGGCTCAGAGAGGGGCCTGCTTGTCAAATGAATGAAGGCAGCTAGTTAATTATTTAGCCCTTGTCTCTCCATCCTTTCTTTTTAATTGTAAACTCAAGAAGCACTGGATAATAAAAAGAAATAATAATGCCTGTATCCTGGCCATCAGAGGCTGTTTTGGGTGTGGATAGTAAAAGAGAGCTGTTTGCCCAGTCAGTATAGTACAGAAAAATGACGTCTGTTTGGTTGAAGATTTTTTTTCCAGTTGGGAAATGTCACCAAGTGGCCTTTCTGTTCTTCACACATGAAATACACACTATCATCCACATATTTTTAGTTAATTTATGTCCAAATAAGCCTTTTTGTAGCTGCTGGAAAATTATATTTGGGCTGCAATTACCTTTCGCAGCATTGCACAGAAGGGTTTCAGCGCTCACAAAGCTCAGGGGAGAGGCAGCAAGGACCCCACCCGATTGTAAATCTTTCCATTTGTAGTTATTCAAATCACATATTTTATTACTAGTACGAAATACATTCTGCCATTCATTTTGGAGGAGCAGCTAATGCTTCAAGAAAAGCTTTGAAAAACATTCTATTTAGAAACAATTTTGTCAGCAGCTAATGCTATGTGTCTTTTTGGGTTGTCTTTTCTCCCAGCTCTCTTCTCTGTTATGTGTGCCATTTGCATGACAAACGAGACCATCCTCTCCAAAAGCTCACCTGTTCCTGCAGCCTGCTTCCCACCTCAAGTTTTCATTCTCTGTATGTTGCATCATAATCCTTAGCACGGTAATAAATTACAGTGTCACCATCAAGATTGTGGCTTCTGGAAAGAAATAAGCAGCAGGGCCAGATGAACTCTTTCAGAAGATGAGAGACTGTTTTCATGCAAATTCCTGGCATCCTGGGGAACTGGGAACAGCCTCTTTATTATATAGACTCAGTTGCAATTCAGCAGCCAGAAGCCATTTCCACTAGCTGTTAGAAGCTGGTGACACTCAGAGCAAGATAACCTTTTAGGCAAAAACTTCTTTTCCTTCTTAGTTGTTATGAGTCTTGTCTGGAAAAATATCACTTTACTCATTAGATTGAGGAAAATGGGTCAGTGTACTTTCAGAGAGCTTTTAAGTTGAGACATTTATTCTAAAATACCTTTCTAATTTGACACAGAAACACTTGCAGCTCACTTTAGAGCAGTGCAGTAGACAGTGACTGTGGAACAGGAGCAGGGGTGTGCCACATGGATGCCCCCTGAGGGCAGGCCCATCTGTGTGTGAACTTGTCTACAATGGATTGCACAGACCCTCACTCGCAAGCAGGTGCTATACCCAGGCTGGTCAACCACACAGTCAGGAGGGTCACTGCTCGAAGGCAGAGTGTCCAACCTGCCAACTCCAGGGTGACTCTTGACATACAATGTAAACTTTATCTCAATTTGCCCTCCATTTCCTTTGGGCCACAGATATACTTGACAGAAACATTAATGAGGCCAATTTGCTGCTTTTTTTCCTTTTTCATCATTTTAAGATCTTTTGAGGCTTAGTACAATGTTGAAAAATATTTGCTGTATTAGTCTGTTCTCATGCTGCTAATGAAGACATACTCAAGGCTGGGTAATTTATAAAGAAAGAGGTTTAATTGACTCACAGTTCAGCATGGCTGGGGAGGCTTCAGGAAACTTACAATCATGGTGGAAGGGGAAGCAAACATGTCTTTCTTCACATGGCGGCAGCAAGAAGTGCCAAGCAAAAGGGGGGAAAACTCCTTATAAAACAATCAGATCTTATGAGAACTCACTCACTAGTACAGTAGAACAGAAGGGTAACTGCCTCCATGATTAAATTACCTCCCACTGGGTCTCTATTACAACACACAGGGATCATGGGAACTACAATTCAAGGTGAGATTCGGGTGGGGAGATAGCCAAATCATACCATTCCACTTCTGACTCCTCCCAAATCTCATGTCCTCACATTTCAAAACATAGTCATGCCATTCCGGCAGTCCCCCAAAATCTTAACTCGTTCCAGCATTAACCCAAAAATCCAAGTCCAAAGTCTCATCTGTGACAAGGCAGGTCTCTTCCACCTATGAGCCTGTAAAATCAAAAGCAAATTAGTTACTTCCTAGTTACAATGGGGGTACAGGCATTGGGTAAATACACCCATTCCAAAGGGAAGAAATGGGCCAAACAAAGGGGCTACAGGCCCCATGCAAGTCCAAAATCCAATGGGCAGTTATTAAACCTTAAAGTTCCAAAATGATATCCTTTGATTCCATGTCTCACATCCAGGTCATGCTGATACAAGAGGTGGGCTCCCACAGCCTTGGGCAAGTCTGCCTCTGAAGCTTTGCAGGGTACAGCTCCCCTCCTGGCTACTTCCACAGGCTGGCCTTGAGTGTCTGCAGCTCTTCCAGGTGTACAGTGCAAGCTGTTGGCGGATCTACCATTCTAGGGTCTGGAGGATGATGGCCCTCTTCTCACAGCTCCACCAGGCAATGCCCCAATGGGGACTCTGTGTGGGGCTTCCAACCTAACGTTTCCCTTCCACACTGCCCTAGCAGAGGTTCTTCATGAGGGCTCTACCCCTGCAGCAAACTTCTGCCTGGACATGCAGGCATTTCCATACATCCTCTGAAATCTAGGCAGAGATCCCCAAACCTCAATTCTTGTCTTCCGCACACTCACAGGACCAACATCATGTGGAAGCTGCCAAGGCTTGGGACTTGCACCCTCTGAAGCAATGGCCTGAGCTGTACCTTGACCCCTTTTGGCCATAGCTGGAGCAGCTGAGATACAGTTCTGCAGTTCCAAGGCTCCACACAGTAGGGGGAACCTGGACCTGGCCCAGGAAACCATTTTTCCCTCCTAGGCCTCCAGGTCTGTGATGGGAGGGACTGTGGTGAAGGTCTCTGACATGCCCTGGAGACTCAGCTCCTTATTAGTTATGAAAATTTCTACAGCCGCTTAAATTTCTCCCCAGAAGATGGGTTTTTCTTTCCTATCTCATTGTCAGGCTGCAAATTTTCCAAACTTTTATGTTCTCTTCCTCTTGAATACTTTGCCGCTTAGAAATTTCTTCTGCCAGATTCCCCAAATAATCTCTCTCAAGTTCAAATTTCCACAGACCTCTAGGGCAGGGGCAAAAAGCTGCCAGTCTCCTTGCTAAAGCACAGCAAAAGTCACCTTTGCTCTAGTTCCCAACAAGTTCTTCTTCTCCATCTGAGACCACCTTAGCCTGGACTTCGCTGTCCATATTCCTATCAGCATTTTGGTCAAAGCCATTCAACAAGTCTCTAGGAAGTTCCAAACTTGCCCACATTTTTGTATCTTCTCCTGAGTCCTCTAAACTGTTCCAACCTCTGCCTGTTACTCAGTTCCAAAGTCACTACCACATTTTCAGGTATCCTTATAGCAGCACCTCATTCTACTGGTACCAATTTACTGTATTAGTCTGTTCTCACACTGCTAATAAAGACATACCCAAGACAGGGTAATTTATAAAGGAAAGAGGTTTAATTGACTCACAGTTCAGCATGGCTGAGGAGACCTCAGGAAACTTACAATCATGGTGGAAGGGGAAGCAAACTTGTCCTTCTTCACGTGGTGGCAGGAAGGAGAAGTGCTGAGCAAAAGGGGAAAAAGCCCCTTATAGAACCATCAGATCTTGTGAGAACTCACTCACTATCATGAGAACAGCATGAGAGTAATCACCCTCATGATTAAATTACCTCCCACTGGGTCCTTCATACAATAAGTGGGGATTAGGGGAACTACAATTCAAGATGAGATTTGGGTAGTAACACAGCCAAACCATATCACTTGCCATGCAAACAGCTGCCTACTTCCTCACCCAAGGAAGACATTGCTCATCAACACAAATACCCCTCTTCTCTCCATACCTGGAAGGTCTAGCCCAGTGGTTCTCAGGCTTGGTTGCTCATTGGAGTCACCTGGGGAAAGTTTTATTTTTTGTTAGTGCCTTGAGTATTCTAATTTAGAATCTCTGGGAGTGGTGCCCGAGCATTGATGATTTGAATGTGCTTCAGGTGATTCTTACATGTAGTCATTAGTCAAAACCTCTTGTTGAGCCCAGTCATGAAGCCTCAGAATCCTTCTTAAACCAGGCACTAACAATTATCAGAGTTTGTATTTAAGACAATTCCTAAAGCAATCCATGACTTATGTCGGATTGATCTATGCCAGCAGTTCTCAAAGTGGGAGAACCACACTGGGAATTTGTTAGGAATGCAAATTCTCAGGCCCTACCCCAGAACTAGTAAATTTTAAAGTCTGGGTTAGAACCAGTTTTATGAGCCCTCCAGTAGGTTCTGATACACATTCAAATTTGAGAACCACTTCTCCAGCCAGTAGCTGTGACTAATGGCCTGACATTCAAATCACCTGAAGCATCACCAAAAACCTACCAATGCTTGGGCACCACTCCGAGAAATTCGAATAAATTAAAATATTCATGGCTTTAAAAACAAGCAAACAAATAAACTTTCCCCAGGTGATTCCAGTAGGTAACCAAGCTTGGGAACCACTGGGCTAGGCCTTCTGAGTAATCAAAGAAAATGTGTATTGGCCTAGCTTTCAGCCGGTGTTGTTGTGCATTTACCTAGGCCTGGAGTGGCCATCTGAGTCTGGGGACACTGATGGTAGAGTGAGGATAGAATTCTCCCTCAGGCAGGATGACAAAGGGCAGTGCTTCAAGGTATGAACTGTGGCCGAGGTCTGATCAACAGCAGTGATGAAATGTTAGAGGGGCCCTGTGGTTAATCGAGGGGCTTTGATATAAAGTGTTGGAGCTATCCCTCACTCCCAAGTCCTCTTGCCCCCTAATAGTAGCCCGTGATGGTTCTGCCACCTAGGAACTTAACAGTGGTATTGTTAAACTAGTATCTGATAAAATTGTATATACTCAATGTATTAGTTTCTCATGGCTTCTATAACAAAGTATCACAAACTAAACAGCTTTAAACAGAAATTTATTCTATCACAGTTCTGGAGGCTGAAAGTCTGAGATCAAGGTGTTGGCAGGGTCGTTCTCCCTTTGAAGGCTCTAGGGAGGATCTATCCTATGCCTCTCTCCTAGTTGCCATCAATTCTTGATATAACTTGGTTTGTAGATGCATCACCCCAATCTCTGCCTCCATCTTCACATGGTATTCTCCCTGGTGTGTTGCTGTATTTTCATTCGGCCTTCTTATAAGGATGCCAGCATGAAATGTAGGGCTCATCCTAATCCAGTATGATGTCATTTTAACTTGATTATATTTGCAAAGGCCCTGTTTCCAAAGAAGATCACATTCACAGGTCTCACAGTTAGGACTTCAACATGTCTTTTGTGGGGATATAACTCAATACACAACATTCAATAATTTATTGTTTAATGATAATAAGAATATATTGTGTGGTTTAAATTTCTATCGTGTTGGACTTTCACAACAACCTCAATATACTTTATGTATTATAAACCTTTTGGAATAGCAGGCATTACGAAATTCAGAGCCATTTCATGATACACTCGGCCATGAACCTATCACTTCCAAACTTCAAGGGGATCCTCTCATGCTGCACAACAGAAATATTTGGTGAACAAGTCCATGAACACAATACTCAGTATTCATGAGTGGCTGGATTTCTGCCATAATCCCATTGAGATTTTGTCTCACACAAGATGGTGGAGAAAAGTGCTGTAGCAATGCCCAGACACATAGAAGTGCTACCCTCTGGGCTTCTCAACAATAAGCAATTAGCAAAAGGAATCAGTCATATGCCTGGACTTTGGCCTGGAAAACTTCATACTTGGGTGGGCTCTAGAACCAAAGCTATGTGTTGTACTTCTGTAACCTCACCGTGGCAAGACAGTGTGCTGGCTGGATGGTGTTAGGGACATCCATTGCCCATTGAGAGTAGGGCTGAGGCTCATCATTACCATGTCCCCAGCAGGGTACTGAGGACAGAATGGGTGCTGCATAGATGCTTGCTGCAGACTGTCTGAAGCTGAGGGACTAAAGTGCCTCTACACCAAGAGCTTCTACCTGTTGGCATCACACCTGCTGGCAGGTGTGGATGTGGGTCAGCAGATGACCTTGAGGATGACAGGGTTAGGATTAATTCGCTGCCAGATATCTTCTCGTAGTTCACCAAATTCTACACACACACACACACACACACACACACACACACAGACAGACACAAAATCTTAAATTTATCGTATATCTGAGTTAAGACATAATTTTTCTGAAGCAGTGGTTTTCAAACATTTGAAGAATTCTTGGCAACACAACTATTCAATGCAAAGCTCTGTGTGGAAGGTGTGTATGAAGTCTTGAAGGGAACTCAGACCCCTAATGACAGTGAGCTGCCTCTTCCTCTTCTTCTCTTCTCCCTCCCCCATGCTCCAACAGTGACCCCTGCGGCAGCTCTAGGGAAACCCAGTCCCTGCAGAAAGCAGACCCATACCCTTAGCATCCCCCAGGGAAGCAAGTCATCTGGTACCTTGTAGAAACCCCTGCCAGGGACAGTGCTCTCCCCAAGCCCAGTGTCAGCACTTCTGTGTCCGTATGAATGCAGATTCCTTTCCAGTGAGCCCCATGCATTCTTCACTGCCCTGAGAATTTTTCCCTGATATTCCTCACCACCCAATGGAGCAAGCACTCCTCTATGCCCCTTCCTCATACCTGCACTGGGGAGCTGGGGGCTCTTAGGGCACTTTAAAGTCACATGGCTGTGTTGGCCCTGGTGTCTGGTCCAAGCTCCTCATGCAGCAGCAGCAGGACCGCCTGGCTGGCAGAACCCTGCCTGCTGCAGCAGGGTTCCACTTCCTTTTCTTCTGCTTCCCTCCACAGGGCTGGTCACCATCCTCTAAATTAATAGATTTCCTTTCACATAATTGAAGACAAGTTATAATCATCACTTGATGATATTAATTATGTCAATAATTGATATTGATATTGATTATATCAATAATCATCACCATGATTACCTCTGAGCACCAGAAGGCAACATTGACAATGATGTTTGAAAAGATGGAAGGAAGGTTTAAAATTCCTAGGAAACAAAGTGCCCACTCTTGTGCTCCCCTGACTTTGCATTTCCTTTTGTTCTGCCTCCCAAGTCAGTGTCCCCCTTCTCTTCAGCTGAGCAGGAGAGCCTGCCATGACAAGCTGTCACCTGCCTGTCCAGGGGCTCTTCTCAAAGGCTCAGCCACCTGCTGGGATGGAGGGGGGCGGCGGTGACAGCCCAAGCTCAGTGTTCAGTGAGGCCCAACAGTGCAAGGTGGCAGGAGGGCTGTAGGCTCCTTGCCGTGGGCCAGGCACTGCCACTTTCCAGGCAGGAGGGAGCGGCTCCACAGCTGTCACTGACAGCCCCTGGGGTTTGCTCCAGACTTGGCAGAGGAGGACACTCTCAGACTCCCAAATCACCTCTTTGAAATTCAGAAGAGCCACACTGTCATCTCCCCTCCTCTCTCTGACACAAACACACACAAAAGATAAGCAAGCCCTAACTCTCTTTTACTCAGAGACCTACACTGCCAAGTTTTCTCTGTCTCCCACTCTCACACACAGATTGATACATTCTCACACACAATCTGGTTCTCTGTCTCTGTCTCTCTCTCTCTCTCACACACACACACAGTATACTAATTAAACTCCAATTCTCTCCTACCTCACTTAACCCAGGTATTTTGAGAAAACCAAAGCCCCTCTTTTCTGGGGGAGCCCAGGCCATCTCGAGGTGTGACAACAGCACCTTCCCTAATGGCAACACACAACTTGGGGTCTCTGCACTATCAGACATTGACCTCCAGGTGTTTGGTAGCTGCTGCTTCACTGGATGAATTCTTCACCTCTCTTCCCAGCCGTGGGGAACATGTTGATAAAACCAGTAAATTCATTCATGTTCTGGGGGATGATGAGAACAGAGAGTCTGGCTGCAGCCACAGCCTAAGCATGCCCTCCAGGCATTTGTCGTGTAGCTGGCATTTGAGCTGAGGACATCTCCCCCACCACAAAAGCCTGCCACCATCCTCAGGGGAAATTAGGACTGTCTTCTTTGCAGAAAGTGGGATGTGTGCCTGGGGAGGTCCAGCCTGGTTGCCTTTATTCCTCCCAGGCTCCAGATAGGAAACCAGATAAAAATACACTTTGCTGTTTGCTCCTTTTTTTTTTCTGCCTAGCTCGGGTTAACCATTTTTACATTTTTACAGTATTTTTGCTAACGTCAACCATGTATCTTTGGTGACTTGAGCAGATTGTAAGAATGGGCAGTATAAAAATATCCTCTTTCAGTGGAGGCATGAAGTAAATGAGGAGGGGAGTGAGGGAGCTGCCGTCCCTGCTCTGTGCTGTTACTGCTGCAGCCAGTGGCTTCATGTTCCACGTAGTATGGAGAGAGACAGAGCCTAAGCATGGAAAAAAGCATGAAAGGGTGAAATCCTGGCATTTGGCATGAAAAACTGAAAAGGGGGGTCATATTTGCTATAGGGAGTGATGAGCTTTTGAGGACAGCCTTGGCAAGAACCCTGTTTAACAGCTGTAATTGGCACTGATGCTGGACAGCACAGGCCATGCCAGCTGTCTGCTCTATGCTCACCTCCCATTACTTCTCCTTCAGGAACTCCCTGCTTCAGCCATTGTGGATTGCTTGTATGTCCCAGCCTCTCTCTTATCCCTGGCCGTTGAGAAAGCTGCTCTCTGCCTGGACTTCCCTCCTCCAGTCACTTTGCCTGGTTAACTTCTACTTGTTCTCTAGGGCTGAGCATAGTGAAAATAATAGTTAACACTGGGCTGTGTAGGTGCTGATGAGAAACTGAGGCACAGAGAGGTAGGTTACTTGCCCCCGCCGCACAGGTAGAAAGAGGCAGTACTGGTATCCAAACCCAGACAAAGGCTCCAGGAGTTCTTAACCACCACCAGAAACTGCTTCTCTAACAGCTCCTGCCTGCCTTCCCTGACCCTTCCCTGTGTTGGGGAGTCTCCTCTGGTTTTCAGAACACCTTGTACCCACTCTCATCTTCACCTTCCCTCACTTTTCAATGTTTTTAACAATATATTTTAAGTTTTTGTTTTCTTGTCTGTCTCCCCACTGTCCTGTTCAGCTTGAGGGCAGGGACACTGGCTTATTTCTGGGACATCAGCTTCTCAGCAGGACCTGGCACAAAGTGGTGCTTATTGCCTATTTGTTGATGGGATGGATGAATGAGTGGATAGATGTGAATCCCTTAGGTAAACAAAACTGGCTAAGGTCTGGCAGACAAGCTGAGGGCCAAGCAGAGAGCCAATTTAGAAACTTCCAGTGTGGGATTGGAGGCAAGAAGGAGAAACAAGCCTAAGAGTGGCCCTGTAGAAAAGAGCATCTCTAGACTCTGGAATCTTGACCTCCACTGAAGGGCTGGCAGGACAGCCAGCATGTAGAAAGACCACAGCACTGGGACCATTCAACCCTCATGAAGCTCAGGGCTATCTGCATGCTACAGAGTTAGGGAAACCTGCCCCCCAGAGGTGGAATGCAACAAAAATGGGGCAGAGGGCAGCATAGCATGACCTTGTAGTGGCAGGGCTCTCCAGGAGGCATGCTTCATCACTCTTCTTTCCTTTTGTACCATTGCAATTCCTTCTGACCCAAATGTGTTAGCTTTTACATTGCCAGGGAGCAAAGAAAACCATAACTTGTTTCTCATGTAGCCAATCTCAGGTAGTTCCAGTGAGTTTTATGACAGTTACACTCTCTCCTCCCACCCACCTCCCCTGCAGCAACATTGGAACCCACATAGAGGGAACCAGGGCACATGTGGCATATCCACATGAGGCTAGAAGCCAGCACAGGCATGCTGGTCACCTTGAGCTTCTCTAACTAGGCACAGCAACATAGCTTGTGCACGAAGCAAGAATAGCCTGTCTGTCATAATTCACAAGATATGGGAGTGAGAGTTTGGAAGAATGTGCATGCCAAGTTTTTTATTGCCTGCCTTCAATCAGAAACCTGATTGTTGGGCTGACCACGGTTTCTCCTTCTTTCAGGGAGGGAAGATCCCTGTGAGATGGACAGCTCCAGAGGCCATCGCCTACCGCAAGTTCACTTCAGCCAGCGACGTTTGGAGCTATGGGATCGTCATGTGGGAAGTCATGTCATTTGGAGAGAGACCCTATTGGGATATGTCCAACCAAGATGTGAGTGTCAGCAGCACTTGGTCACCACAAACCCCCATTGAAGGGATCCCAAAGGCAGTAGCATACCAATTCCTCCTGTTTTCAGCTCACGGCCTCATAATCTGAACCTGCAGTGTTCAGGGTAGGGGATACAGGGACACCCTTAGCATGGATGTTGGAACTAATCAAAGAGCCCAGCATGGAGGTGTGAAAGGCCCTATAACCACAAAGCCTGTAGAGGTGCCAAGGCCACAGTCTCCAACCCAAGAGACAATGGGCTGTTTCCAAATGGCTGAGGACCATGAATAGATCAGCCCCAAATTAAGCAGTAAAGTCTACCCTGCTTCTAAGTGTTCAGGTTCTGTGTTTTCCTTCCCTGTGAACGACAGAGGGGAAGGAGGCACTGGACTGGGGGCCAGGGCCTGGGTTCCCATCCTGCTCTGCCTCTGACGGCTATGCTCCATTGAGCCAGTCGCAGTTTCTGTGTGGGACTTGTACCTCTTAGCTTTAAAGAGAGTAATTGGAAAGGGCCCTTCTTCCTTGAGAATTCACTCTTCTATGATCCCATATCACCTATCAGTGAAGGAAGAGGTGGAAAGCTTTCCAAAGCTGGGCAGCTTCAGATGGGCCACAGGAGAGGGTCCCTGTCTGTGGGGAGGTCAACACTCCCCCAGGATGCCCTCAAGGGAAAAGGGTGAGAAAGGAAGAGATGGGTCATCTAACATGCTTTAAATAGAGGCTTTTTGGAATGTTCCACATGAGAACCTTTGCTCCATACTTACTAAAAGGTGAGGAAGCCTTTTTCGGATGATTTGCTTTGATAAGTCTCCAATGAAAAGTCCTGCCTGAATTTCAACACTGCCTCTCACCCTCTCCAGGGACCAGGCCTCTTTTGTGTTTTGCATACATACCCTCCCGTTGGAGCTGAGAGGATTACAATTTGCAAAGCTGCATACCTATGTTCTCTGCTTGCCCTTCCCATCACTTTGGGAGGGGGCAGTTTTTATCCTTCCCAACTGACAGCTAAAAGAGAAAGAATGGTCCCCAGTTCAGATCTGAGTCCACTGGCAGCCAGCCACACTGTAACCCCCTCTGTGCTAGGGTGGACACTGAGGAACTTGTCAGCTATGGAGTCAGCAAGCCTTCTATCCTGTGAAAGGTTTAGTGCCATGGCAGCTGCTCGGAAGATTGAGAAAGGTGGCAACTTCCCAGAGAGACTGTGGAAAGAGGAGCTGGGGTACTTCTATGACAGTACTCCCTGTTGCTATGGGCAGAGTGGCTCCAGCCTGGAGTGGGTGAAATGGCTGCACCATTAACCGGGTCCTGAAGTCAACTATGGCTGGTGTCTAGGTCCTCTATTATCTGGGATTAGCAACACCTTGCCTCTGCTCCTGAAGCACATCAAATCAGTAAGCGGTGGAGTTAGTGCAAAGCCTGCTTTTATGAAATCAGCTGCACCCTGGTTCTGTCTATACCAGCTGCTAAATAAGTATAACATGTTAGTAGAAAAAGCAGACCCAGCAGGGCGCAGTGGCTCATGCTTGTAGTCCCAGCACCTTGGAAGGTGGAGGCAGGTGGATTGCTTGAGACCAGGACTTTGAGACCAGCATGGTCAATGTGGTACAACTTTGTCTCTGCTAAAAATACAAATTAGCCAGGTATGGTGGCACATGCCTGTAATCTCAGCTACTCGGGAGACTGAGGCACGAAAATTGCTTGAGCTTGGAGGCAGAGGTTGCAGTGAGCCAAGATCGCGCCACTGCATTCCAGCCTGGGTGACAGAGCGGGACCCTGTCTCAAAAAAAAAAAAAAAAAAAAGAAAAGAAAAGAAAAGAAAAATCAGACCCATCTTATCCTGCCCAAGACCTTAATCTGACTAAGAACAATTCAGCACTTACAGAATGAATTACAAAACTGTCTGACAAGCAAGATTTCACATTCAAGATATTTTCTGTCAATGCTGAAAACAAAATTTCTGATATTAGACTTCCAGAATTCCCAAGTTATTCATTTAACACACAATCAGTGTATGCTAGTTGTGACTAAACACTGTGCTTGCTGATTCTAGAAGGTTTTACAGTCCGGTGGCATAAACATGGGGCTTTGAGAACATTTGAGTGGAGGAGGTAAGGGAAGACTTCCTGGATATTTGACGTTTGAGATGGGTCTCAGAGGGAATAAGAACATCTGTAGAGTAGCAGTTTATTCTAATTTTGCGTGCTCCTTCAAAATAAAGCCCCTAAGCATTGTCTCAAGTGCAGTTTTGCTCCTCGTGGGAGGCAAGAGGTGACTTCATGCCCATTCAGAAAGCTTCTTACAACCTGGCCTGGGAGAGAGCCAGGAGGGGCTCCCAGCTGCCGGGCTGAAGCCTCACTCATCAGAAACCACCAAGTTGGTGGTGGTAAAGGATTTTACAGATGACAATTGAAAGGTTTTAAGGAAGAGAATTGCAGAGGCAAGTTGGAGTGCCGGTAATTAGGCTTCCAGAGCACAGGAAGGTCTTTGAACATGTACAGAGAGTTTGTCAGCCAGAGAGAGCAACTTGGAAGTTCTGCTGCTTGGATCTGATTGACAGAGATAATGAGAGTGGCAGTGTCTGTGGAGAGGAGCTGCAGTCTTATTGAAACATCAGAGCTTGACTTAACCCACTCTGCCCTGGTTTCTCCACTGCTCTGAGTTCCTCCACTTCCCTCTCCCCAGTGCAAGGTCGACTAGGCACTACCCACAGCCTGACTCACTAATGGGAAATACATGTCTGGGGGCAGCCGGGAGCAGGCCCTGAAAATACAAGGGCAACAGGAGGGGCTCTGCCCACTTCCCAGAGGCGTTCTAGTCACTCCACCCAGTCCCAGAGAGCACCTGGGGTCAGACTACCTGCACCTGATCCCTACAGAACCTGTGTACCTACCATTTCTCAGTACAGGTGAATAAAGGCAACCCCTCACCACACCTCCTCCCTGCCTCTTTAATTAGATCCCAGGACGTTTGCTTACACTGGCCTTTGCAATGGCCAAAAGAGTTGTTGCTGAACTTTCAAAATGAGACAGCAGAGAGCTCTGGGTAACAGTTGCCTAGACTGGTCTCCTTGCCCCCAGAGCTTTACTTTTACTTCTCTCTGGAAATGCCATCTGATTTCATTCTAATCTTCAATCTTCTCAATAGCCACTTATCTCATCCTCTTGTGGACCAATGAAAGGAGCCCAGAATTCACTTCTGTTTTCAACTCTGCTCAGTAGGACACCCTATGCCTCCAACCTTAGGCCATATCTTTCCATACAATTCAAACCTGGTCATTGTCATTTACAGCCATCATCACATGGCCAGAATGAAGGTGCTTTTCCACTCCTCCTTCCTGTTCCCCATACCTGCTAGTGAGGCAAGTGTGACAGAGAATGATTTCAAAGTCCCATTAGAAGACCAAAGCTATTTTTTGATATAATGATATTGTAATTTGACTAAATTTTATTGCTCAGAAATTTAGAAAACACGCATATCCTAAAGAAGAGAATAAAAATCTCCAAAGGCATTGTACTTCAAAGACTTGAGTGGATAAATGCTACTCATATACCAATGATTGATCTCAGTATTTTTTTCTTTGGGCTGAAGGGTAAAGGACACTTTTTTCCCTATGTGCAAGAAGCATTAATGCTCCCAGATTATCAGCTCAAGTAATAACAACAAAATTATTTACAAGAAGTAACAAATGGAGTAAAGTCCCATTTTCTAAACACAAACATGGTAGTGGGTTCCCATGGCTATGCTCTACCCTGAAAAGTGAGAAAAGTCCTTGGTGCTTTTCAAATACTATCTTCCTGGACCTCCAAAATGAGCAGTAGTAACTCCCTTCTTTGCTGGGAAGACATCTACTAAAATAGACACAGCCGTAATGACACCTTCTGTGTGATGAGGATTCATCCTACTACTCATCTGCGCTGTGCTCAACACGCATCACTTCGGTGTCATTTAATCTTTGTAACAATCTCATCTGTGAAGTTTCAGGAAGTCAGGTGACTCTCCCAAGGTTCTATAGGTAATAAGAAATGGAACTTGGATTTGAAACCAGCCTTCCAAGGTCTATGCACTATGTAGTACTATCACCAACACAGCCAAATGGACCTGTGTTCCTAGCTGACCTGCCCAGAAAGGAGGAATCAGTGGCTGTTTGATGTCCTCTTAAAAAGAAAGTAAACACACCAAACAAAGAGCAAATACAAAAACAAATACCAGAACAGTCTTCAAAAAAAAAAAAAAAAAAAAAAATCGGCCCGTGCCTGTAATCCCAGCACTTTGGGAGGCCGAGGCGGGAGGATCACGGGGTCAAGAGATTGAGACCATCCTGGCCAACGTGCTGAAACCCTGTCTCTACTAAAAATACAAAAGTTTGCAGGGCATAATGGTGCATGCCTGTAGTCCCAGCTACTCGGGAGGCTGAGGCAGGAGAATTGCTTGAACCCAGGAGGTGGAGGTTGCAGTGATCTGAGATTGTGCCACTGCACTCCAGCATGAGCAAGAGAGCGAGACACCATCTCAAAAAAAAAAAAAAAAAAAAAAAAGCCAATGAGATGCCATGATGCCATGCAGTGGAGACAATAAGGGAAACAGAATTGAGTTACATTCGGTCTAGAGCTCACAGGCAGAAGACTCAGCATGTGCATGGGTCCCCATTCTCTTGATCCCTTGCCAAAAGAGGTTGGGTCAGCTGGTCACATCATGGAGCTGCGCTCTCTCAGAAAGGCCCTGACTCCAGTGCTCCTTCTTGTTCCAGGACAGGTGGTAAAGCTGTCTTGTCAGTGAGGAAAATTAGTATCTGGGGCTCTAGCATCTAATGATCTGAGCAGAGATGCCATTAGTTTAGGGGACCACCAGGAACATTAACTGCCCTGCACTGGAAGACTTTGGGGACCCCTGGCATCATGAGAGGTTGAGTTTGGACTCTAGCTCCTCCTGCTGGCCCTACCTAACCTGCCCTTATGCAACCCAGAAGGAGCTCTAGGGGCCATTCAATGGGTAATCCCACTTGGAGATTCTGTGACTGGGACCCTCAATCTAGTTACTTGGAAGGAACTGGAAAAGGGTGCGGGGTTTGTGAGCCAGGCTGATGGGAATGATGCACAGCTGCTCATTCTCATAGATTACTTAGTTTAGCCCCATGCCCTTGTTGCATGCCAAGAAGACAGCCGACACCTCCAGGGGCTGTTCTCCAGGCTGAGATTACTATGGCAGCTCAACAGAGGCCTAGGAAATACGGCTTTTGAAGTATTCAAAACTTAAAATCAAGCACCGCTGTGATTTATTCCCAGCCCTATCTTTTGCTAGATGTGTGCCCCTGGGCAAATTATTTCACTGCTCATGCCTCCATTTTCTCATGGGGAAATGGGGTTAAAATGGTTGTCCTCAGAGGATAGCAGGGGAATTTGATTGACAACAGTTTAGAGGAGGAGGAGAAAAAAGATTGTCAGTGCAACACAGTGTTCAAAAGTGAGTACTCCCAGTCACTGGATTTTTAAATATAGCGATAAAATTGATGTGGTTTGTATGCTTGATTTTCACCCTATTGAATGAAAGAACTAATACACTTTGATTATCTCCAATGACTTGGTTATCATTTTATCTCATGTCCTATCTCATGTCCTACATACTATGCATAGAAACTGTAAAAACTAAACTAACTGAAAATACTCACTTTTTGACCAATTTATAAAGTATATAAAAAAGAAAGAATAATCAGTTGAAATGAATCTCATTATTTTTTAAGTAGAGGCAAAAACACCAAAAACACCCTGAACTCCAAATTATTTCCTTTGTTGTTTAAAATGCTTTAACTGTTTATTTTAATATAAAATTAATGCAGGATTATTATAGAAAATAAAAAATTCAAACAAGCAAAGAGAAACACATGAAAAATATTCAGGTTTCTGCCTATCCAGAGGCAACTGCTATTAACACCATGCTGTATATCCTTCCAAGGTCTTTTCTATGCATGTCTATAATAGTTGGTTTTTGTTTTTTACAAAGCAAGATTATACTATTTCTGAAGTTATGCAGCCAGCTCTTTTACCTGTTACAGTATGAGCATATTTCCATCTCAATAGATGGATTTTTGTAGTATTACTTTAAGGCCTACATTGTATTTTAGGCCTTCTGTTGCATTATGGGTGTACCATAATAAATTCATATGTTTAGCACTTGCGTCACTTACAATTATTTTTTTAATGTAAAAAGCACAGTGTAGGCATAATTGATTTAAATGCATTTGAAGTTAGTTAAGATGTACTGGATGAAAAAACACAAAGATCTGAAAAACAGACAATGTACTTAACGTTCCTAAAATCTTTACAAAATTACTCTCTGGCGTTTGTGAAAATTACCAAAATCTGATTGACGGTATTCATTTTGGACCACCTTGTTATTTTGACTGTTGTCATTGATTTGAACCAATTATTTGTTTAACCAAGCCCATTCATGTTGCTGCCTCATGAGGAATATGGCAAATAATGCAGAGGAGGCATCTAGAGGGTCTCTAGCATGGAGTAAGTGCTCCATCAATGCTAATCCCTTTCCTCCCTTTCTCTTCTCTTCCAAATGAAAGAATGAGTCCACCACAAGTTTTGAGGACATCCTTTATAAATAGTGGGTTCACTGGGTTTCCCATGTGTCATTGTTTCATCACTCCTAGTGCCACCAGCTTCCAGTAAGGCAGAATTGGGCCCTATGTCTTCTTAAAGAGCGGAGATGCTCAAGCTGTTCACTGGCTCATTCTTCAACAAACATTTACAGAGGTCCATGTGTGTCAGGCCCTGCACCAGGAGCTGGGGACATAAAGAAGTACTACAATGTGGCCCCTGCTTTCTAGGAGCCCAATGTCTAGGGGGATAAACCAAGTGCACAGAAAATCCATTACAGCGGAAGGTGTGCAAGCACAGAGCAAGGGCATCTGAGACAGCCTGGATCAGGGAGGCTCCATATAAAGGGGATAATTTGTGAGTGACTGGCTGGTGGCAGTCACTCAATCACACCTGTTCCCTGTATGTCACTGCAGGTCATCAATGCCATCGAGCAGGACTACCGGCTGCCCCCACCCATGGACTGTCCAGCTGCTCTACACCAGCTCATGCTGGACTGTTGGCAGAAGGACCGGAACAGCCGGCCCCGGTTTGCGGAGATTGTCAACACCCTAGATAAGATGATCCGGAACCCGGCAAGTCTCAAGACTGTGGCAACCATCACCGCCGTGTGAGTCTAGTGAAACGGTGATCCCTAAATATGGCTGGTTTCATGGTCAGGGGCATAGCCAGCAGCCTCTGACCATGATCATGTTCGAATTTTTTAAAGAGTATCTAGTTGCAGTGTGGGCCTTATGTTGAGGAGAGCAACATGCATGAAGAAAGACAGGAGAACATTGCAATGATCATGATAGAGAAAATAGTGTCTTAAATCAGGATAATGGTTGTGGAAAAAAGTAAACGAGTTTTGGGGATTTGAGAGACAAAATCTTTATGACTTGGTGAAGGATTGGACATGGATATTGAGGGTGAGGGAGATGTCAAGATAGCACCCGGATTTCTGGTTTGGATACCTGGGTGTCTGCTTTGAAAATGTGCCAGAGAAGGTCGGCAATGGGTCTCACTGCTCCATTTTTTTTTTCAAATAGCTAAGGATGAAACTAGGAAAAACAATGTTACCAATATATCTGGGGAGGTTGTGATAAAATATGCATATTTTTAAAAGGACTACGTCTTTGAATGGTGAGGCTCCTAAATTTTGGTTTACAAAGGAGTTGGGAGCCTTCCGTTCCCTTCAGACTGAACGCTATGTCAACCTGTCTGTCTGGGTTAACTGAACTGTGACAGTGCCCAGAGGCAGAGACACTGGCCACCTGGATGTAGAAGTCATGCTGATTTAGGATTCCATGAAGAAGAAAGGTTCAGCCCAGGGCTCCACTATAATCCTCATTCCATCAGGGATGCTGCCTTCCATGAAGTCAGCTGTCAGGCCAGACTGGGGCACTGTCCATGCATCTCTGCAATGTGTGGTCACCTGCCCATCTCTGTCTCACCAGGCCTTCCCAGCCCCTGCTCGACCGCTCCATCCCAGACTTCACGGCCTTTACCACCGTGGATGACTGGCTCAGCGCCATCAAAATGGTCCAGTACAGGGACAGCTTCCTCACTGCTGGCTTCACCTCCCTCCAGCTGGTCACCCAGATGACATCAGAGTAAGTGATGAGAATCTCTCTGTCCAGACCACACCTAGGGGTCAGTGCTCCTTCCCTGCTATTGCAGATGGTGTGAGTCCTATTTCTGGCCTCATCCCTGGAGCTCCGTCTCTGTATAGACCAGGCCTGGATGGGGAGCACCTTGGAAAGATGAAGGGGGATGTGAGGGTGGGATGGGGAGGTGGAGATCCACTCTGGGACCCAAATGAGAGTTCTTCAAAGTTATAGCCATATGTCATTTGCCTAATCACCCAGAGTCTCTTCCCCATTTAAGTTTTTAAACTCAACTCATCAAAGAGAGCATCCAGATGGAAAGAACACAGCCATCTAGTACTTTAAATAACAGCAGGAAAAGCATTGCACTGATTCAGCAACAGTCTGAGATATGTGGGGAGCTTGTCCTTATACTTAGATAGCAGTTGTCAACAAGCATGCATTTCCATCCCCCACAATTATTTACCAGTCTGTGGCTCCCTCAGGAGTTTGGAGGAATACACAAAATAAAATTATTCAAATAAGACGAGAGCCAGAAAGAGTTTTAAAGATCCATGTGGTCCAGCATTTCCCCCAAGAATGTTCTGAGAAGCACCAGTTGTGGGAAATGTTAATAGGTTCTCCTTGGAAAAAAGGTCCCACTGTCAAATAAATTTGGGAAATATTGTGTACTTTATCACCCTCTTGGAGATTCACTGCTCATATTAGCATTATAAAGGCCATGAGAAATCCTGAAATAAAGGAACCCATTTAAAATTATTAAATACCATAGAACCATATTTTTGAGGGGCAGGGTTTTATAGAACTGTAGTCTGGGAAATATTTATCTGGTTCCACCCCTTCCATTCAGCAGATTCTGAAATTACATGACATTGGTCCTCACAGGTGGCAAAGCTGGGACACAAGCCTGCTTTTCTGGCTGCCAGTTCAATATTCTGCTACCTGTCCACCCCAGGGCCTCAGTGGTTCCCAGGCTTTGCTGCACACTGGAATCACCTGAGGGCCTTTAAAAAATATTGATGCCTGGTTCTCACTCCCATACCTTCTGATTAGTTGTGGTAAGATCTGAGCATAAGGGTTTTTTAAAGCTCCTCAGGTGATTCTAATGTGCAGCAAAGTTTGGGAACCACTGGATTAAGGTTGGTAAGGGTAAAATTTCACCTTCTACACTCACAGAAGCTCAGATAATCCTACCTTGGAAATTAACTCTACCCTTCAAACACACACACATACACACACACCGGGGGGACTTCATGGGCTCCGTGGGCTACAACATGTACCGATAGCACATATTGTGGGATCTGGCAGCCTGTAGTACACATTTCTTATGGTAGAAGATTCATTCATCCATCAGTCTGCGAACACGTATTGATCACCTGTTATACAATGGGCACAGTGCAAGGTGCTGGGATTCCCTCCTTGCAGCTGGGACAAACCGGTTGCTGAGTCCCAGGAAAGAGCAGTAGTGATCCACCCCTATAGCTGAGCCCCCAGGGACAGCTTCCTGACATTCCAACAGTTTTCCTGCCAATATTCCTGGAGTCCAGCTCTACCTCTCTGAGGTCTATTTTTTTTTTTTCAGAAATGATGGAGCCACCACTTTCTCCAGGGAGATGGTTTGAATGTGTGTCTAGCTTTCGATCCACTGAACATCAGAATACATTTCTTAAAAACTAGATTAATTTCCTGGTGATGCCAAAAAAAGATGGTTCCTTCCATTAAGAATGACTGTCAAATAGACAGCAAAAATAAATAAATAGAAAAGAAGCACTTACCAGTGGGAAACCAGCTTCCTCATCTTTTAGAGTGAAAAATTGATGCCCCTAGATAATCAGAGGGACTGAGTTCAGGGATAGAAATGGGTGTTTATGAAGACTGGCTACTCCCATTTTCCCACTGTGATTTGACTGCGTATGGGGGCCATTGTCACGTAATCCCCCAGGATCTAAAAGAATTCTCTTAGTCTGAGAATAATCAATGACAAAGATAAGGGGAAGACCAAAAGGAAAGTGAAACTATAAATTAAGGGATTTCATTCAAAGTAAAACATGTCCACACACTATTAGAGCAATTTGATTTGTTTCTTGAGAGGTAAAAGATGGAAAAAGAAACTGAGCAACTTAATAAAATAGATTGTGGGACAATCTGTGAATTCAAAATTCAAGCATGCTTCCCTAAAGTATTTGCCAAAAAGACATGAACACTTTGAGCATCTCAACCAGCAGCATCCCTTGGGAGACTGACTACCAGCTGAAAAGGGCATGGTGTGGGAGAGCCAAGGCATTGTGGACAGAGATCCAGCCAAGCGTTCACCAGGGTGTGATGTGCAGTGTACAAAGCAATCAGCTGTGCTGGGTTCAGGGGGCTTTAGAGGAAATACAGTCAGGACCTTGGAAGAGTTCTGCCAGCATCCCTGCATGGGTGCTGAGAACCAACTTCTCTTGTATTTGAACACTAGCTCCACCACTGCTTACCTACTGTGTGACCTTGAGCACATTACTTAATTTCTCTGAGCCCTACTTGCCTTGTTTATAAATAATTTATAAATTATTATAAATAATAATGCCCATCTCATTAGTGTTTGTGATGGGAGGTTAATGGAATGGCACATGCAAAGTACTTGATCCATTATCTACCCATAGCATGCACACAAAAAAATTGTTACTGTTAAATTTTTTTTTCTGTCCATAGCTTAATTTTATTTTATTTTTATTTTTTAATATTTTTTATTTATTTTTTATTATTATACTTTAAGTTTTACGGTACATGTGCACATTGTGCAGGTTAGTTACATATGTATACATGTGCCATGCTGGTGCGCTGCACCCACTAACTCGTCATCTAGCATAAGGTATATCTCCCAATGCTATCCCTCCCCCCTCCCCCCACCCCACCACAGTCCCCAGAGTGTGATGTTCCCCTTCCTGTGTCCATGTGATCTCATTGTTCAATTCCCACCTATGAGTGAGAATATGCGGTGTTTGGTTTTTTGTTCTCCCGATAGTTTACTGAGAATGATGATTTCCAATTTCATCCATGTCCCTACAAAGGACATGAACTCATCATTTTTTATGGCTGCATAGTATTCCACGGTGTATGTGTGCCACATTTTCTTAATCCAGTCTATCATTGTTGGACATGTGGGTTGGTTCCAAGTCTTTGCTATTGTGAATAATGCCACAATAAACATACGTTTGCACGTGTCTTTATAGCAGCATGATTTATAGTCCTTTGGGTATATACCCAGTAATGGGATGGCTGGGTCAAATGGTATTTCCAGTTCTAGATCCCTGAGGAATCGCCACACTGACTTCCACAATGGTTGAACTAGTTTACAGTCCCACCAACAGTGTAAAAGTGTTCCTATTTCTCCACATCCTCTCCAGCACCTGTTGTTTCCTGACTTTTTAATGATTGCCATTCTAACTGGTGTGAGATGGTATGTCATTGTGGTTTTGATTTGCATTTCTCTGATGGCCAGTGATGGTGAGCATTTTTTCATGTGTTTTTTGGCTGCATAAATGTCTTCTTTTGAGAAGTGTCTGTTCATGTCCTTTGCCCACTTTTTGATGGGGTTGTTTTTTTCTTGTAAATTTGTTTGAGTTCATTGTAGATTCTGGATATTAGCCCTTTGTCAGATGAGTAGGTTGTGAAAATTTTCTCCCATTTTGTAGGTTGCCTGTTCACTCTGATGGTAGTTTCTTTTGCTGTGCAGAAGCTCTTGAGTTTAATTAGATCCCATTTGTCAATTTTGGCTTTTGTTGCCATTGCTTTTGGTGTTTTAGACATGAAGTCCTTGCCCATGCCTATGTCCTCAATGGTAATGCCTAGGTTTTCTTCTAGGGTTTTTATGGTTTTAGGTCTAACATTTAAGTCTTTAATCCATCTTGAATTAATTTTTGTATAAGGTGTAAGGAAGGGATCCAGTTTCAGCTTTCTACATATGGCTAGCCAGTTTTCCCAGCACCATTTATTAAATAGGGAATCCTTTCCCCATTGCTTGTTTTTCTCAGGTTTGTGAAAGATCAGATAGTCGTAGATATGCGGCATTATTTCTGAGGGCTCTGTTCTGTTCCATTGATCTATATCTCTGTTTTGGTACCAGTACCATGCTGTTTTGGTTACTGTAGCCTTGTAGTATAGTTTGAAGTCAGGTAGTGTGATGCCTCCAGCTTTGTTCTTTTGGCTTAGGATTGACTTGGCGATGCGGGCTCTTTTTTGGTTCCATATGAACTTTAAAGTAGTTTTTTCCAATTCTGTGAAGAAAGGCATTGGTAGCTTGATGGGGATGGCATTGAATCTGTAAATTACCTGGGGCAGTATGGCCATTTTCACAATATTGATTCTTCCTACCCATGAGCATGGAATGGTCTTCCATTTGTTTGTATCCTTTTTTATTTCCTTGAGCAGTGGTGTGTAGTTCTCCTTGAAGAGGTCCTTCACATCCCTTGTAAGTTGGATTCCTAGGTATTTTATTCTCTTTGAAGCAATTGTGAATGGGAGTTCACTCATGATTTGGCTCTCTGTTTGTCTGTTGTTGGTGTATAAGAATGCTTGTGATTTTTGTACATTGATTTTGTATCCTGAGACTTTGCTGAAGTTGCTTATCAGCTTAAGGAGATTTTGGGCTGAGACAATGGGGTTTTCTAGATATACAATCATGTCATCTGCAAACAGGGACAATTTGACTTCCTCTTTTCCTAATTGAATACCCTTTATTTCCTTCTCCTGCCTAATTGCCCTGGCCACAACTTCCAACACTATGTTGAATAGGAGTGGTGAGAGAGGGCATCCCTGTCTTGTGCCAGTTTTCAAAGGGAATGCTTCCAGTTTTTGCCCATTCAGTATGATATTGGCTGTGGGTTTGTCATAGATAGCTCTTATTATTTTGAAATACGTCCCATCAATACCTAATTTATTGAGCGTTTTTAGCATGAAGGGTTGTTGAATTTTGTCAAAGGCCTTTTCTGCATCTATTGAGATAATCATGTGGTTTTTGTCTTTGGCTCTGTTTATATGCTGGATTACATTTATTGATTTGCGTATATTGAACCAGCCTTGCATCCCAAGGATGAAGCCCACTTGATCATGGTGAATAAGCTTTTTGATGTGCTGCTGGATTCGGTTTGCCAGTATTTTATTGAAGATTTTAGCATCAATGTTCATCAGGGATATTGGTCTAAAATTCTCTTTTTTTTGTGTGTGTCTCTGCCTGGCTTTGGTATCAGAATGATGCTGGCCTCATAAAATGAGTTAGGGAGGATTCCCTCTTTTTCTATTGATTGGAATAGTTTCAGAAGGAATGGTACCAATTCCTCCTTGTACCTCTGATAGAATTCGGCTGTGAATCCATCTGGTCCTGGACTCTTTTTGGTTGGTAAGCTATTGATTATTGCCACAATTTCAGATCCTGTTATTGGTCTATTCAGAGATTCAACTTCTTCCTGGTTTAGTCTTGGGAGAGTGCATGTGTCAAGGAATTTATCCATTTCTTCTTGATTTTCTAGTTTATTTGCGTAGAGGTGTTTGTAGTATTCTCTGATGGTAGTTTGTATTTCTGTGGGATCGGTGGTGATATCCCCTTTATCATTTTTTATTGTGTCTATTTGATTCCTCTCTCTTTTTTTATTAGTCTTGCTAGCGGTCTATCAATTTTGTTGATCCTTTCAAAAAACCAGCTCCTGGATTCATTAATTTTTTGAAGGGTTTTTTATGTCTCTATTTCCTTCAGTTCTGCTCTGATTTTAGTTATTTCTTGCCTTCTGCTAGCTTTTGAATGTGTTTGCTCTTGCTTTTCTAGTTCTTTTAATTGTGATGTTTGTTAGGGTGTCAATTTTGGATCTTTCCTGCTTTCTCTTGTGGGCATTTAGTGCTATAAATTTCCCTCTACACACTGCTTTGAATGCATCCCAGAGATTCTGGTATGTTGTGTCTTTGTTTCCGTTGGTTTCAAAGAACATCTTTATTTCTGCCTACATTTCGTTATGTACCCAGTAGTCATTCAGGAGCAGGTTGTTCAGTTTCCATGTAGTTGAGCGGTTTTGAGTGAGATTCTTAATCCTGAGTTCTAGTTTGATTGCACTGTGGTCTGAGAGATAGTTTGTTATAATTTCTGTTCTTTTACATTTGCTGAGGAGAGCTTTACTTCCAAGTATGTGGTCAATTTTGGAATAGGTGTGGTGTGGTGCTGAAAAAAAGTGTTTATTCTGTTGACTTGGGGTGGAGAGTTCTGTAGATGTCTATTAGGTCTGCTTGGTGCAGAGCTGAGTTCAATTCCTGGGTATCCTTGTTGACTTTCTGTCTCATTGATCTGTCTAATGTTGACAGTGGGGTGTTAAAGTCTCCCATTATTAATGTGTGGGAGTCTAAGTCTCTTTGTAGGTCACTCAGGACTTGCTTTATGAATCTGGGTGCTCCTGTATTGGGTGCATATATATTTAGGATAGTTAGCTCTTCTTGTTGAATTGATCCCTTTACCATTATGTAATGGCCTTCTTTGTCTCTTTTGATCTTTGTTGGTTTAAAGTCTGTTTTATCAGAGACTAGGATTGCAACCCCTGCCTTCTTTTGTTTTCCATTTGCTTGGTAGATCTTCCTCCATCCTTTTATTTTGAGCCTATGTGTGTCTTTGCACATGAGATGGGTTTCCTGAATACAGCACACTGATGGGTCTTGACTCTTTATCCAATTTGCCAGTCTGTGTCTTTTAATTGGAGCATTTAGTCCATTTACGTTTAAAGTTAATATTGTTATGTGTGAATTTGATTCTGTCATTATGATGTTAGCTGGTTATTTTGCTTGTTAGTTGATGCAGTTTCTTCCTAGTCTCAATGGTCTTTACATTTTGGCATGATTTTGCAGCAGCTGGTACTGGTTGTTCCTTTCCATATTTAGCGCTTCCTTCAGGAGCTCTTGTAGGGCAGGTCTGGTGGTGACAAAATCTCTCAGCATTTGCTTGTCTGTAAAGTATTTTATTTCTCCTTCCCTTATGAAGCTTAGTTTGGCTGGATATGAAATTCTGGGTTGAAAATTCTTTTCTTTAAGAATGTTGAATATTGGCCCCCACTCTCTTCTGACTTGTAGGGTTTCTGCCGAGAGATCTGCTGTTAGTCTGATGGGCTTCCCTTTGAGGGTAACCCGACCTTTCTCTCTGGCTGCCCTTAACATTTTTTCCTGCATTTCAACTTTGGTGAATCTGACAATTATGTCTTGGAGTTGCTCTTCTCGAGGAGTATCTTTGTGGCGTTCTCTGTATTTCCTGAATCTGAACGTTGGCCTGCCTTGCCAGATTGGGGAAGTTCTCCTGGATAATATCCTGCAGCGTGTTTTCCAACTTGGTTCCATTCTCCCCATCACTTTCAGGTACACCAATCAGACGTAGATTTGGTCTTTTCACATAGTCCCATATTTCTTGGAGGCTTTGCTCATTTCTTTTTATTCTTTTTTCTCTAAACTTCCCTTCTCGCTTCATTTCATTCATTTCATCTTCCATTGCTGATACCCTTTCTTCCAGTTGATTGCATTGGCTCCTGAGGCTTCTGCATTCTTCACGTAGTTCTCGAGCCTTGGTTTTCAGCTCCATCAGCTCCTTTAAGCACTTCTCTGTATTGGTTATTCTAGTTATACATTCTTCTAAATTTTTTTCAAAGGTTTCAACTTCTTTGCCTTTGGTTTGAATGTCCTCCCGTAGCTCAGAGTAATTTGATCGTCTGAAGCCTTCTTCTCTCAACTCGTCAAAGTCATTCTCCATCCAGCTTTGTTCCGTTGCTGGTGAGGAACTGCGTTCCTTTGGAGGAGGAGAGGCGCTCTGCTTTTTAAAGTTTCCACCTTTTCTGTTCTGTTTTTTCCCCATCTTTGTGGTTTTATCTACTTTTGGTCTTTGATGATGGTGATGTACAGATGGGTTTTTGGTGTGGATGTCCTTTCTGTTTGTTAGTTTTCCTTCTAACAGACAGGACCCTCAGCTGCAGGTCTGTTGGAGTACCCTGCCATGTGAGGTGTCAGTGTGCCCCTGCTGGGGGGTGCCTCCCAGTTAGGTTGCTGGGGGGGTCAGGGGTCAGGGACCCACCTGAGGAGGCAGTCTGCCCGTTCTCAGATCTCCAGCTGCGTGCTGGGAGAACCACTGCTCTCTTCAAAGCTGTCAGACAGGGACATTTAAGTCTGCAGAGGTTACTGCTGTCTTTTTGTTTGTCTGTGCCCTGCCCCCAGAGGTGGAGCCTACAGAGGCAGGCAGGCCTCCTTGAGCTGGGCTCCACCCAGTTCGAGCTTCCCGGCTGCTTTGTTTACCTAAGCAAGCCTGGGCAATGGTGGGCGCCCCTCCCCCAGCCTGGCTGCTGCCTTGCAGTTTGATCTCAGACTGCTGTGCTAGCAATCAGGGAGACTCCGTGGGCATAGGACCCTCCGAGCCAGGTGTGGGATATAATCTCGTGGTGCGCCGTGTTTTAAGCCTGTCGGAAAAGTGCAGTATTCGGGTGGGAGTGACCCGATTTTCCAGGTGCCGTCCATCACCCTTTTCTTTGACTAGGAAAGGGAACTCCCTGACCCCTTGCGCTTCCCAAGTGAGGCAATGCCTCACCCTGCTTCGGCTCGTGCACGCACCCACTGACCTGCACCCACTGTCTGGCACTCCCTAGTGAGATGAACCCGGTACCTCAGATGGAAATGCAGAAATCACCCGTCTTCTGCGTCGCTCACGCTGGGAGCTGTAGACTGGAGCTGTTCCTATTCGGCCATCTTGGCTCCTCCAATCACTGTTAATTAAATTTTTATCATCATTGTGTTTGCAGTGGTTTCTCTATTTTTATGAAATGCTTTCACATAGGTTTAAATGAGATAGTGTATGGCACGTGGGATGCATTCAAGCAGTGTTATGTATTATTATTAACCTAGGAAGAATGCATGGGTCTAGCACAGGTCAACTATAAGCCATGAACTTGTTCTTATTAATCCAATTCAGTGCTCTATCCTGGACATATTCCTTGGGTTCCTGATTGGGCAGATATTTTAGTTATTTTGAGCCCACTCTTCTTAAAAATGCATACATTAAAATTCACATGGAGGCAGCAAATGGAAACTCAGGGGAAAACATCAGAAGACCAGGTGAGCCCCACATCTTTTCAGTCTCAGTGGGTGATCACTAATTTAGGCAGAAAACTCCACAGAATAACTGAAGCCCCGTATAGTGTGCACTTGGAGTGTTAAAAAATAGCAGAGGAAAATTCCAGTCCATCTGAGGGTCAGGAGACAATGAAGGGGCTGCCTTAGAGCCCGTACATAAGGAACACACCCCTGGAACAAGGCACAGCACTCCCAGGATTGCCTAAGCTGGAGGAAGCATTAGAGAAGAAGGAGAAAGTGAGCAGGAAAATCTCTAATTGGAAGTTTGCCAAAAATTTGGGTAAACTTAAGCTAGTTGGATTTTTGTAGCATGGCTACTTCCCAAGAACATGGCTTTAGTGATGAGTTTTGATCTGCGAAAAGCTAACCTAACACTAAAGTGACTTCTTTTCTGGCTCTTTCCTCCTAGAGACCTCCTGAGAATAGGCATCACCTTGGCAGGCCATCAGAAGAAGATCCTGAACAGCATTCATTCTATGAGGGTCCAGATAAGTCAGTCACCAACGGCAATGGCATGAGAACTCTTGTTTCTTGGGGAAGGAGAGGAGGGAAAAGGACCAGGGTCAAGGGGGACCAGAGGTTGACCACTGTGGAATGTACTGGAGAGACTGGCTTCTCAGCTGAGGAATGCATTTCCATCAGTGAAGAATCAACCGGACCTGTTGCTAGCAGGCAATCTCCATTTCTCAGTGACAGAAGCATGTTTGAGATGCCGTGGGAAACCAAATATATAATAATAAAAATATAAAAAGGTGATGTTCAACAGAAGTGAAGACAAAACAATATGCATCAGGAGAACAAGAGTAAACCCAGCTCCCATTCTCAGTGGGCTGCAGTTGCCCAACCACAGGAAGAAAGGGAAGGAGGTAGAGGGAAGAAACAGAAGCAGTGTTCCATTTTCTTCCTCACCAATGACATTCTTTTCTTTTCTCCTTTCGTACTCCTCCCTGAGAGTCCCCTCCCTTCTCCCACACTCGTTTCCCTTTGCTCATGACTCCTGTAGGGAAGTTTCTTCAAACAAAACCCAGCTCCTGAGTCTCCAGATGTTGTTCTGTCAGTTGCCAAAGGACTTTGCTGACCACTGCATGGGGATCCAACCAATTCAATTAATGTCTTCATATTGAAGAAGAGATGTACCTTCAATTGAAAACCTCGTTTTTCTTTTGTTTGCATTTTCTGCAAAAAGGAAAAAGAAACCACAAATTGGGGAAAAAAAAAGAAGAAAAACCTGTTTCCGTGTGCAAAAGCACACATATGTATGTCTGTGTTATAAAATGACTGTGCTTGTTCGTAACAGATGCAAACAAGAAAGAAGAACTGGGAAGTCTTTGTCCCTAGGAAATCCAAAGGGGCTGGAATATGGTGTTGGTTTGGCTTTCTGGTTGGCCCAATCGGCCTATTGGCTCAATGGGAAGAGAGGAGAGGGAGAAAAATAAAATGAAAGGAAAAAAAAAAGTTTGCAAATTCAGACAGGAAACAGGTGAGTGGTTTGAATTGGATGCAGTGTGGGCCATCCTGGAATGATACTGACTGATTAATTATTCCTGATAACATCTCAAGAAAAGGAGAAGGAAAGTGTTTCTGGAGAATGTTCTTTCACATCACTGGAATCTGCAATTCAAGAAGTGACAAGGGAGAATTCTTGCTTTACCTATGGACTGGCTTAAGCCGTGTGGCATCCGAGGAATGTTTCAAATGTGTCTGTGTTTCTCTTTACATTCCTTGTTGTACCTCATTGTTCAATTCACTTTTGTAAATTCCACCTAACATTTAATTATTTTAAATTTCTCCTTTTACCTTAATCTCCTTGCTAATTTTATCTGTCTAATTAAAAAGAGCAGAAGCATGTCTGGGTTTACGTAAAATGGTGTCAGAGTGTGTATCCCTGGATCCCAGAGGGTTGTCCCCAAATTTCAGGAGAATCCTTAACAACTGTCCTTCTTCTTTCTAATGTGGGAGGGAGGGAACACATCCTTGACCCCATGAATGCCAAGAAGCAGAATGTAGTAAACTCTCTGGCACTGACGTGATCCAAAGGAAAAACTGAATAAATAAGGCTTAAGAAGTCGCTGGCAAATAAACATAAACAATCACCATGAATACACTATCAACCCTGATTTTAGTTTACGCACTGCATTTGAGAAGTCCACATCCAGGCCAATTTTGTAAATGTAGACTGCTTGCTGTGGTTTATCTATGAACATGCAGTTGGGAGTGAAGAGATATGAGGCAGTGAAAGGTGTTATGGTTGCCAAGTAGCTCATTTAATACATGCTTACACTGATAATAGCCTTTTCCCCTAGTCATTGTTAACTTTGATATGGGGTGGTTCTTACCTTCTAAAATCACCGGCCAAGATTCCCCGAACAATTAACCCCTTCAAAGTGGTCCACAAGCCTGGGGGTACAGCATTAATTCAGTGGAGCTCATCTTAAATCACCATCCATGGCTGAACCCCTGGAGAATGGAAGTGGATGGACAGAACTCCTCTCAGCAAGTTTGCCTGAGGCTGCAAAGGACCCCAATCCAACCATGCAGGTAGAAGAGAAAATTTCCCTTTATTAATTGCTTACCAATTCCATGCACAATTTACTAATTACCCCAAAGACCCCGATCCATGAGTATCATACAAGTCTAGGCAATTTGGCTAATCTATTCTCAATTTTCCACAGGAATGAATTTTAATCTGTCACTAAAGTCCTCTGGCAGAATCTTTAACCCCGAATTCTCACTACCGCCTCCACCAATGCCAACTCATCTTCTGGTTGTGGACAAAGCAGGGTCAAGGTGAAAGTCCTGTTAAACCCTTTGGCTTGGTTTCACCATAGATCCCAGAATGGAGACAGCAAGAATCCAAAGTGCACAAGAGGAAAGCATGAGGGGTCAGCAGAGCCAAGGCCAGGGTGCCTCGAGGCACAGTTTTCAGTGAGGTGGGCACGACCAAGATCTGGACACCCCCAACCCCCACAGATGCCCTGCACAAGGCCCCACCCCTACACCCGGGATGAACTACAGGAACACATGAAGCATGAAGGGAAGGAGATGTGTCACTAGTGAGTGAGACCTCACACATTACCTCTGCAGCACTGGGCCAGTCATGAACCTCTCTGAGCCTCAGTTTCCTCATCTGTGTAATAGGAAAATAATACCTACCTTCAATGAAGAGTACCTAACATTCCTGAGTAGGTTCTCTATGCCAGGCACTTATCTAACTGCCTTACATGCATGAAATCTCTTCCTCACCATAACCTTGTGAAATAGTAGCAGGTAATTTATTGTTCCCAATTTTGGATGAGGAAACTGAGAGACAAAGGACCTTCCCAGAAAACACAATGGTGGAGTCAGGATTTTGATTCAGGCAATCTGACTCCTTGCTTTTAACCACTTACCCCAGTGGGTCTCACACTTGAGTGTGCATTGGTATCACCTAGAGGTATTGTTAAAACAAAGATCACAGGCCCCACCTTTGGGCTCCTGATTCAGCAGGTCTAGAGTGGAACTGGAGAACATGCACTTCTCACAAGTTTCCAGGTGCTGCTGATGCTGCTGGTCCAGGGACCATGCTTTGAGAACCACTGTATTACCCCAGCCTACCTTCCTGAGAATTAGTGATAATAGACATAAAGCTCCTGCTTCAGGAAATAATAGTGATCGAGGTTCTTGAGATACCCAGAAAGAAGGGAACAAACCCTCACACTTTTGGCATGAAGTGATTGATGGGAAAGGCTGGTTCGCATCTTGTGTCTCTTCCACTGGCACATTTAGCTCCAGGGGGGGCTTTCCTAACACCTTCAAAGAAGCTCTGTGGGGAGAATTATGTCAGTGAGACCCCAATGCTCTAAATTTCAGCTACATATGCTGCCTCATCATCTCACAGAAGACTAAATCCAATTTGGACCCTTAGTTAAAAACACACTTTGCACAAGGGTCAGTGGCCCATAGCCCTGAGAACCAGGCTAAAGAGATGGAACCTGCAGCCATGCTGTGCAGCCCAGGGTGTGGCTCACAGAAAGGGGACTGCTCAGCCAGCACACCTGCAGCCACTGGGAGTCCGGTGGGCGGAAGTCACACGGGGGCAAGTGGGAGATGTTTAATTAATGTTCCCGGGTCAAGGGTAATGGGAAAGGAGGTGATTTGTGGAGAATCCTTGGAGATTATGCCCCACCTTTCCACACCCTCTCCCTGCCCCTTCCAGCACTCAAAGACATGAATGACTGGTAGAGAGGTAGATAAATCTACAGACTGTATGTTTATTGTATCACCTGGGTGTCCAAATACATTCACACACTACTGAAATTATGTGCTTCTTCCTGCCTTCCACCTCTCCATATGTCTCCTTCCCACCACGTTACATGTGGAGCCAGGTCACTGGATTCTTGCCGAGGCCACCTGGGATAATTGAAATTAAATGAGAACGTAAAGTTTTCCTTGACCATGCACTTAAGAAGAGAGCAGAGAAATTAGTGAGGGTTGAGGAATAGGACTTTAGGAATATCGGAGGGCAGGAAGACTGAGACATAGAGCAGGAAGAAGAGAATCTACAAAGTATCAGTTAAAATGAAAGGTTCTAACAGTTCCCTCGCGTTCTAAGAAGGCCTTTTCGGGGAGCCTGGGAATTTCATCATCTTTTCAGAAATATTAGTGGCTCTGGCACCAACTGGCTGGGGGCATGGTGAGGTCACTGTCAGTGAAGCAAGGGGGAAGGCACAGCCATGACAGGGATCAGCCACAAACAGGCACCATCCAGAGCACTCCAAGGACACTCAGTGCTAAAAGAGGTCTTAAGATTCCTATCAGCCCGAGTTCTGCATTGGCTGAGACTTGCAGTCCGTGTAGAAGTCATAGAGCCATTTCTGAAAGTAGTGAGAGGTTTTGTATTGTTCAAGATATCATTGGGACAGCAGGCAGGAGCATAGTAGAAGGGAATCCCTGAGGTCACAGAAAGGTGGCCAAAAGAGGAAGGGTGTGTCTGGATCACACTGGAAGGTCACTCGAGTTGACTGAGGTCCAATGGCAACTATGTTCACCACTAGGGAGTCTCTTGAGACCAGCCATTTCCAAATAAGAACAGTTATACAGAGGTCTGAGAACAAATTATCAGTCCCTCTCAGAGAGTGCAAGCCCTGGTAGGGGGTGGAAGGATGTGTTCTGCAGACCTGATTAAGAGTGGATGGGATGGATAGACCTCCATCACTCACCGGGGAAAAAGGAGAGCTCTCCCTCCTGCATCCCTCCTGGGCTGGCCTTGTTATCACTGGTCCTTGAGGGGTTCTCATGCCGCTGTGAGTCATGACTTAGCACATAGTATCCTAACAGAAGCTTGTGGTAATTCTCCAAATGAAAGTGGCCACAGGGCACATCCTACTCACCTATGTACTCAGCACTCAGCACACTGTCTGACACACGGAAGATGCTCAATAAATGTGTGGTGACTAAAATAAGTTTGAATTGAGAAAGTTTAACATGTCATTATTTCACCTACAAAAGTCCATGACCTTAAAGAGCATGCTTTAAAATAATTTAATCCCTGGGTATTTAGTTGGAATCTTTCTCAATTACTCTAACTGCTATCAATCGTAGCCTATTCTAATTTTAGTTTTGTGAAGTTTAAAATGCTCCTTTTAAACCCTGTTTGAATCTTTAAAATAATGTCACAGTTTTCCCCAGAGCCCAAGCCTGGGGTGAGGCAGCCTCCCACTGAGTGTCAGTCATCGTGCAAAGGCCTTGAGATGTAGGAATGAATTTGATGTTGTCCCTGGTACAATGGCAGCAAATTCGACGGACATTGAAGAGCAGAGGTGAAGGATGGCCCAACCCTCTGAGAGCAGAACCAGGGCTGTGTCCTGCTGGAAGATGTCTGGCTGAGCGGAGAGGATGGGCAGCACTTCTCTGGCCAGTGAAACTTCATTGGTGTTTTGTACAACTACCTCTACTCTAAGGCTTTCTTCCAAGAGTTGTTTGTCCTTTCTAAAGCCACTATTACTCTAAGAATTCTTGTGGCCTCCCTTTCACCAGAAGAAAAAAAAATGTTGAAATAAGAAAACAAAACAAAATTATGGGCAAATGAGCTACTTCTAAGCAGCTGAGAAATACTGTTAAATGAGAGAAGTTCTCTTTACCCCAAGAAAACTTTGGTTTTCTCTTCTGGTCTTATTTAAATTCATATTTGCATGTACATGAGCAACTGCTATATTCTGAAAATGGCTTTCTGACAGAATACAATGACAAGTAAATTTCAACTACAATTTTTATGGCAGAACTCAATGTTGTAAATAACTCCAATGGGAAAATGAAGAGGGCTATGGGAGCATAGAGGCGGCACTACCATTGTCCCAGGCAGTTAAAGAAGGCAACCCCAGGGTGGTCTGCTAAACTGGAACCTGAGGAATGCAAGGAGTTATCAAGTTGAGGGGGTGATGTCAGTGGTGGAACTCAAATTGTAGGTAGAAGGAACAGCAAGGGCCAAGGTTCAGAAGCCAGAGAGTACATGACGTGTTTGTGGGCTCACACACTGCTGGAGAGGCTGGAGTATACAGTGCTCCCTCTGAGCAGCTGGAGGGGTAGCAGGGGCTAGAGCATGATAAGGAATCCAGGTATTACTCTGAGTGTAAGCTGTGGAAAGTAGGTTGAAGCAAGGGAGTTATATTTTATACAAATCATTCTGGCCACAAAATAGAAAACCGAATGGCAAAAGTTGATTCAGGGAGACTAGTTGAAAGCCTGGTGTAATAATCTCAGCAGATGATGGCAGCCGGGGTGAAGGCGTAGAAGTAGCAGTGGGGATGGAGAAAAGTGGATTGATTCAAGAAATAAGAAGGAGGCAAGAGCAGCAGAAGGGAAAGGGGGATTGGCTTTCAGGGGTGAGGGAAGGAAGAGTTGAGGATGACACTCCAAATTTCTGATTTGGGAAAATGGGTGGATGTTGATACCATTCACTGACATAGAGAATACAAAAGGAGGAAGAAATTGTGGGAGAGGGGGACAATACGAATTCGAGTTGCCTATGAGCCATTGGATATAGGGCTGCATAATTCAGCAAAGAGATTTGGGCTGATGAAATAGATTTGGGAGCCATCCTTTGTCTAGATGGTAATTAAAGCCACAGGAGTAGAGGAGTTTACTGCATGAGAATGTGAGTGGAGAGAGAAGTGAGCCCACATGGGACCCTGAGAAACAACTATATTTAACAAATGTCCAGGCAAAGGAAGGCTCACAGAGGAGTCTGGACAGAGTCACTACAGAGAGAGAGAAAAATCAGGAATGTGCAGTGTCCATGGAGCCAATGGGAAAAATCTCAGGGAGGGAATGGTGGTCCCGATTCCCAGTGTTGCCAAAAAGGGTTAGTATTAGGTAAGGATTAAAAACTGCCCATGTGTTTAGCCACAGGAAGGCCTGGGTGACCATAGTAAGAGCAGTTTCAGCAGAGAGGTGTTGGTAGAAGATGCTGGCTGAGTCGAGGAAAGAGAGAACATCACAGTCTTTCAAAAAGAGTGACTTTGAAGAGGAGAAGAAAAGTAAGGATGTAGCTGGAGGCTCTTTTCGGTGGTTGTTATTTTGTTATTTTTTAGTGGGAAAGACTTGAACATGTTTAAAAGCTAATGAAAAAGATTCCACAGAGAGAGAAAAAGAGAAAGAGGATAATTGAGAGGGTCAGACCCCAAGAAGGTAGGGAGTTCAGGTGGAGGGATGGTATGGCTTAAAGTGAAGCAATTCCAATTTGGTTTGGAGGATGAATAAAGGAAGCATGGCATGAGTTCCTGGCAGAGTTCAACCTCAACTTCCAATTTCCTCACAGTCTAATCACTTAGTTCCCACAACCTCTTGTGATGAAGAGCCGTGATTGAACTCACAGACCTTGCCATGGCAATGTGAGAGTAATCAGGCAAGCACACCCATTTCTAATGAAATGGGAGAGTGGGCAATGAGAGGATCTAGTGAGAAAGGAAGATGAAAACATCACAGGCTCTTCTCCTGCTCAGAAGCCCTCAGTGGCTACCCAATACCAGTTTCTGGTCATGCCCACCTCTCCAGGAAATGAAGGCTGCAGAAAGTGTCCCGTGTCTAAACCGTATGGCTAAAATGAACTGCTTCCAGTTCTGAGCAGCTTGTCCTCCTTTTGCTAGATTGTTGTGGCTCTGTGTTGACTCTTGGAGATCTCCCTCACCCCCACCCTGAAGCAATTGCCTTCCTCCTCCAGCATACACTAGGAAAGGTCTGGACCCAGGAGGCTGAGCACACAAGCACCTAACCCCAAATGCCAGTGGAGTATGGCATGCCAACTGGACTTCTGTGTGATCATAGACACCTCAGGGATCTCTGACCAGAGCCAAGATGTTTTCAGAGAAGAAAATGCTGATTAGGGCTCCTGTACCAAGTTTGGGTATAAGGTGACACTTATACCTTACATTTATAAATGTAGACATTTCCAGCTGTCACCCTTATACCTGAACTTAGTACAAGAGCCCTAATCAGCATTTTCTTCCCTGAAAGTAAAGGGAGTCTTCTCTTCTTAGTGGATCTTACATTCTTCTTAGAATGTGAAGGGAATCTTTCTACCAGCTAATTAGAGGAGGTGCTCCTGTGTTGGGGGCTGAAATTAGGGCCACTTGAGAAGTTCTCAAAAATAATAATCATAAATTAAATAATATAAATGGTAATAGCAATTGCCATTTTTTTGAGTGCTTACTACGAGCCAGGCAAACTAATTACTTATACAACTATTATACCCATTTTGAAAGTGAATTAACTAATAAGGTTCAGAGAAGTTCAAGCAGCTTGTTCTAGATCACACTGAAAAGCAAGGATTGGAACTGAGCCTATTTGCCTGAAGTGTGTTCTCTGAGTTACCAAGCCATATCCCCACCTGAGCTAGATGCCTTCTGGAAATTCCTACTGGCCACCTGAGTCCTGCCACACAGTGCAGGCAACATATGTACACTCTGAGGCTTTGTGTCTATAAAATGGGAGTAATATTCAACCCACAGCGTTTTGCAAGGGTGAAATGAGGGGCCACACATAAATCACATAGTTTAGGTCCTGGTTGTTGGGAGTACTCAGTAAATGGTGGCTAGTATCAGTTTACTTTCCTTCTAGCGATTTGGAAACATGATATAAAAATAGAAAATGAATGGGTCCCTGAGGTTTGTTGTAAAAAGTCGTCTTGCCTTCTGATAAAGGTCAATCCTTAACCTCCATGGATGTGGGGGTTTTGTGAACTTCATGGTTACGTGTAACTGTCATCGTAATCATTTCTCCCCTTCGCCTTGCATGTTTGCAGAGATTGGAGCTGAGCTTTGCCTTGCTCCTGGGTGGATTCCCAGGCTGCTTGCCATATTGGACCACTGGCTAGATTCTGGAACTTCAATATGTTGTATAGGCACATTGCTTGCTCATTCACACAGGCCTATGGCTTTTCATCCCTGCTATTAAGTCAAATATCCTCTTCCGATTAAAGCCCAATTTCTGGGCCTATTAGTCCATATGAAGAGATTTCTTCAGTTAAGTAACTGTTCAGAGATTTTCTTGTGACTGAAATGTCATCCTCGGGGTCAATCTATTGGGTTTCCAAAAGTGTGGTGAGTGCACCATCAGGGGGTGAGAGGGTTTCAGGACACATGTACCCACATCCTTTACACATTTATGTTAATGTACACTACAGAAAAATATAGGTAGCACAAAAACATATACATTATTTCACACTAATTATAATGTTCCTTTAAAAATAAGTTTATGAAAGTAAAACTGGTTCTTGGTTTTAGGGAAATAATGGTAACTAAAAGATAATACAATTAATGTGTGGATATGGTAAAACATTGTGGAGGGAACTGAAAAATTCAAATGTGGAAACCTATGAATCCTTATGACCTCTGTCCCCATTTCCCAACACCATCCCTCTTGCACCCATCAAGTCTGTCATGGTCCCTGGTGGCCACTGCTCAACCCCTGCCCTGTCCCACCTCCTCTCACCTGGCTGCTTCCTGGCTCTGCTTCAAGCCTCAGCTCTACTTGAAGGATCCCAGATTCCTCCCACTTGGGTTAGCTGCTTCTTCTCTTTGCCCACTCCATTCTCTGTGCTCCTCACCATCACAGCGTTCAGCCCTCTGTACTATCACGGTCTGTTCATGCATCTTTATCCCTGGGAGCTCCGTCAAGCAAAGGAGTGTGTCTTATTCGTGGCTGAATCTGCAGGCCTGGGGCACTGTCTTCTGCAGTAAATCTGCAGAATAAATGAACTAATAATTGAATCCAGGCACCTTTGCCATCAGTCACTTCCAACTGAGGAAGACAAAAGACCAAGCATGCTCATTGATTACATTGATTCTTCTTGAAGTTACTTCACCTCAGGCTCAAGGTTGGGCCATGTATATTACAACTCTCTAGGACTCCGTGGACATAACCCTGCTCACATGATTTCATTTGTGCTCTCTCTAAATGAAAATACAGCAGCTGGGCAGGGCACCTGGTGGTGGGTCTCCCTGTAGAATAGAGCAGATGGCACCAAGCCTTTCATCTATTTTGCCCAGGAAGGGGAGAGCTCCTCTGCCTATTGGTGACCTCTAGCCTTACTCACAGTCCGGTATTTTCCAAACACAAAGTGCCTACTGCAATTTTGAAAGATATTCTGACATCCAATTTAACAATTAACAATTTTTTTATTGTTTTTTTCCCACCATGGGGCTCAGCTCCTGCTGAGCTGTTTCACAGAGAGGGCAGTTTGCCAAGCATTAACTTGTCTGGCCCAGGGGGCATTACTGTACAGCTGATTTCATTTGAGTGAACATCATTCCTTTGGTCTTATTTGCAAACTGTCATATGCTGCTGAGATTTAGTTAACTGTTTATGGTTCTGAAACTCATGGCTAGCCAGAGTGCAAGAAAACTGAGCATCTCTTCCAGACTCCTGTGCAATAGATCTAACCTATTAGGAGATGGCAAAATGTTTCCACTGAAGGTGAGATAGTTATTATATTAGGCTTTGTGGACCATATGGTCTCTTTTGCCACTATTCGTCTCTGCTATTGTCCGGTGAAAGCCGTCATTGACAATATTTAAATTGATGGGTGTGGCTGTGCTCCCATAAAGCTTTATTGATAAAAACAGGTGGAGGGTTGCGGTGGTATATGTACCATAGTTTACTGAATCCTTGTGTAACTTAATGATTAAGACCTTCTGCTCTGTAATTGGGCCAACCTGGACATGACCTGCCTAAGGTGGACTGGAGGGGTGGTGGCTAGAGTCAGAGAGCTTGGGGCAGACTTCAGGAACCTAAAATATTTGTAAAAGCCTCACCAACTAAATCCTGATCCCAGGGACTATCTAGTCAGCCTCATTAGGCAGTCCCTACCAATGGGTCTTGCAGTCATTCTTGAAAGCTGGTTTCAGGAGAATCTTAGTATACTGTAACATGGCTAACCACCACAGAAAGGTATAAACAAAGCAAGCCTCCCAGAATATAACATGAGTGGTGAAAAGCAGATGGTTCATGATCAGTGTTAAAAAGCCAGTGTTCCTGGACTAAAGCACCAGGAAAAGGAACCGTCAGTAACTGTGGACTCTGATTTCTTGGCAAATGGTGAGACCTTCTCTGGAGAGTCAATGGGAAAAGTAGAAACATATAAGCAGGTGACTCAGGAGAGGGCGGCCGTAGTGAAAGGCTGGAGGAGAGTCTCCAAGAGGAAACATTACGTATTTGTGTATTTGTAAATTATTTATTTGTATATTTGTTCATCCATTCATTCATAAGTCTTTACTAGATCCCTATAAATGCCAGGCACACCTTTACTCTAAGGGAGCTCACAGTCTAAAAGGGGAGTTAACGGGGAAATTAAAAACAACATGAGAAGTGCCGCAATAGCGGCAGGAATCCCGAGGGAGGGCTGTGGAGCTGGTTTGTGAGGGTTTGGGCCTTCTGGATTAGGGATCTGAAAGGAGGCAAGGAGGCCGTTTCCAGACAACACCTAGCTGTTCACCACATGCAGGCAGCACCAGGTTTGCCCCTAGGAGAGGCTGGCTTGAGAAGCTTGGCCCCAAGCTGCCATCACCCCCTTCTCCCCCACACCAGGGCCCATGTTGCTGGCTTTGAAGGAAGTGCCTTGATGACCAGACCCTGCCTGGTCCCCACTCTGGCCCCCAGGCTACCGGCCCACCTCTACGCTCTGAGCCCCCAGAGTTTCCCTGAGCACTGGGGAGAGATTTACCGCACTCCATACACGATGGGGAAGTCATCCCTTTTCCAGCCCATGATGCGAAGCAAGCATAATCAGCTGCCGCACACATGTAATTAGAAGAAATAAGACCAGTAAGAGGAAATTGGTTAAGTAAGCCCAAAATGACTTTTTTATAATGAAGAAATAAATCTCAGATAAAAGAAGCTAACTGAAGCCAGAGCACACACTATCTTTCCTTTTGTCGCACAACCTATTTTCAGAAGAGAAGCCAAGATCACCTTACAAAGCAGGGTTCCACCTCATTCAGACCATGGGGTTGGTGATTCTGCTTCTGGTGCGCAGGTGGAGGGGGTTTTGGGTGAATCCCATGTGCACTGGTGCACTTCTGTAGACCCAGGCAGCTGCTTCTCTGATCCCAGGACTCCCGATTGCATTTTTATCTCAGTCGTGTTCCCTGTGGCAGAATCTGCATCCCTGGGCTGGGCCCTGTCTCCTCATACCCCTTCCTCTAAATGTATTTGATGTAACTTCCCATTGGGCAGCTGCCCCTCATGCATGCTCACCGCCCCTCACTCCCCTCTCACTCCCTCCTCCTTTGCTCTGGGAAATTCTTTTCAGCTGTCAGTCCCACTTCTACATTTCTATGGCAACCACAACCCCCAGCCTCATTGCCTTTCCCCACCTTGCATTTATCCCCACCCCCCCTCTTCCTTTTGCAAGTAGGATTTTCTAGGAAAGCTGCTGATAGACTGGGGTTCCAGTAATTTTCTTCATAAAATAAACAGTTGAGCAGAGGGAGTTGGGGGCAGAAGGACCAGCTGAGGGGGCCACTGGGAAACAGAGAGTCGAGAAAGCAAGCAGTACAGTGCAGTGCACATATGAAGGAAGAGTCCTGGGTGCAGCAGTTGACAGCCTCAAATCCACCTGGGCCCACAGTACTGAGCGAGGTGTGGCAGCCTCCCCCGAGGCATGCAGGGACAGAGTGCCAAGTGTTAGCACTGACTGGTTGCCATCACAGCTGCACAGCCAGGAAGGGGCAAGGCGGGTCAGGACCCAGAGGAGACATGCCTGCCAGGCTGCTCTGACACAGACCAAAGGGAGCGAGGACATAAGCTGCAGCCCGCAGGGGAAATTATCCCAAATATCCTCATTACAAAGGCAAGTGCCTCTGAACCCATCAGTGCTTAACTGCCGGAAGTGCCCTCTCCTTGGAAGACAGGGCCATTTTACCAACTCTAATGGCCATTTACATCCATCCTAGTCCACTGAGAGTCCCAGGCTCCTCTGGGTACTGCAGGCCGCCAAGCAGGTGTCAGGGAGAGGGCAGGTGCAGGAAAGCGATGGCCAACAGGAGGGCACATGGCTGGGGGCCAAGGAGGCAGGCCACTTAGCTGGAGGGAGTAAGCACGTAGGAGCTCAGAGAAGAGGGTAAATATTATTACGTGACTTTTTATAAATGAAAGAAATATGTTTTTGGCTGCTAATGACCTTCAAATTAGCAGCTTTTTCAGAAAACACTTATGTATTTTTAATTCCAAACATAGCTGAGTGTCAGTTGCAGCAGCAATGAAAGCAGCAGGGCAGCTGGATAGTTTTAAATAAGAGGGAACCGAGATCATTATTTTTGAAACTGTCAGCTTTTACGCCTCTTAATGGATTCACTTTCTGTCATCTCCCCCGACCCTGCTATGGTCTTTGAAGATTCCCAGGCATTCTCTGTGGGATAGAGGAAGAGAGGCACAGCCTTGTCATGTGGAAGGACCTGGGCTTTAGTTCCCACCTTGTCTATAAGGGCATGACAGTAACTGGCAGGGAGACTTAGCACAAAGTGTTTCCAAAGAGCATGGGAGAGAAAAGAATTTCAGCCTGGGATACAGGGACTCAGGGTTTCTTTCTCTAGCCTTCTTCTGATTTCATGTTAGAAAAAGAGATCAGTGACCTGAGAGCATCTGAAGGAGGAATGGAGAGGACAATGACAAAGACAATGAGGGAGAGAAGGAGACAGATAGAGAAATGCCATGAGAGGTTGAGGGATAGGGAGGATGAGCAAGCAATAGGTCAGCGCTTCGCAATGTGTGGGTCTCTGGCCAGCCACAGCAGCAGCAGCTTCACCTGAGAGCTTAGAAATGCAACTTCCCATGCCCCAGCCCAGATGCACTGGATCAGGAACTCAGGGAGAGGACCCACGATCTGTGTTTTTATAAGCCTTTCAGGTGGTTCTTATGCTCACAAAAGTATGATGACCACTGACCTAGAGCAGAGGAATCATGGCAGAGAGAGGAAGAGAGGAGTCAATGGCAATGGAGAAGGAGGAAAACAAGAGAGAAGAAAAATGTGGGGATGAGTCAGTGGGGCTCCAGACCTCTGGCCTTCCACAAATACACTCCACATTGTTTTGGAACCATCAGCCCTCAGGGGACTGTTCCACTGACACTGCCACCCAGTCTCACCACGTGGAGCCTCTCTTTACCAGTGGGGTTCCTAGCAGAGCTGACCTCTAAGTCGCCAGTGACCCCCAGCTATACCAGGCTTCTTCCAACACAGGGAGAGGGTGCAACATCATTTCACTGGTCTGAAAAAATGGGGTTTCTGCTCCTCTTTTGCTCACGTGGACTCCTGAGCAGCCTTTTTCACTGTGCACTTCACTTTTATTTTCAGCTACCAGAAAGATCAGCTACCAGGTTAAATTTTAGATAAAAGTTGAGCTCTTTTCCAAGCTGTGAGGCCAGTGGACAAACAGAAAAAATATTGCCTATTTGTTCTTGGAGCACCTAGCACTTAAAGCATGATTGGCCCTAAGTTAACAATGATTGTTCAAAGTTAACAAACGTATGCTTTCTATAAATCTAGCCAATAGACCTTTATTAAGTTTCTAGTTTGTGCAGAGGTAACTCTGGCCTGACTGCTGCCTCCTTGGTAAAACCGGGGGTAAGAACCCTTGCCAAGAGGCCCCGACGTCACCCAGACCTCAGACTGGTACTCACTTTCTCCAAAGACTGTGATCTTCTCAGGCCCCATGACCAAATAGGAAATATTCTTGCTGTTTGTCCACTGGCCTGTTTGTCCACAGCCACTCTGGAAATGTGAAAACATCTTAAGGAGGTTCCTGGGACTATTCTGATCTTGGCACAGCTAAGTAAAACCATTCATTTGACAATATTTACTTATTAGAGACTCTAAGCCACCTGGAAACAGGCACTATTTTCAGGTATTTGGGATTCGTCACTAAACAAAACACAGATCTAGGTCCACCATAGGATTTAGCAAGAAGCACCAATAACTAACACTAAACGTAATTCATAAATTATCTAGTACCTTTGAAGATGAAAAGTACACAGAAAGAAGAAAAGTTGGAGAGTGGGGAAAGAGTTGTTTTGAATTAAATTAAGGTGATCAGGGCAGAACTCACTGAAAACGTGGGATTTGAGCAAATATTTGAAGTAAAGGGAGTGAGCCATGATGGAAGAGTCTTTCAGGCAGAAGCTGCTGGAGCTATCACCTGGTGTATTCAAAGAATAGCAAGTTGACTTTCCAATTGCTATATAATTTAAGCCTCATCATGCCCTAATGTACTAGGTATTATTACTAGCATTTCACAAATGTAAAAACTGAGGCTTAGGAAGGCTGCATGGATTGGCAAAGGCTGTCCCAATAGTGTGTGGCAGAGCTGTTATTCCAATCCTGACTGAACCGATCCTAAAACACATATTATTTTTTAAAATACACCTTGCTTCCCAGTGTGTGAAGATGGGTGTGGGGATGCTGACAAAAAATAAGACACAGAGGCCAGCCACAGAGACAAGAGAGATGCCACAGTCAGTAGGCACCGGCACACGGCAAGGGAGTTCCGACCATATATGGTTTGACCATCAGACAGTGAAGGAGACATCTCCGCCAAGAACAATGGTCTCACACTGGAAAGCATGAAATTCATGCCCAAGAGAAGGTACAAGTCCTACGCCATAACAAAAAAATTAAAGAGAAGGCTGCCATACTAAGAGTATTTAAACCTCCTGTCCCAAATGACTGATGTCACAAGACTCTGCCAGAAGTTGTCTGATGGGAAGGAATTGAGGCAATCTGGGTGAACATTGCTGGGAAAGTCAATAGCCAAAATGTGGTGGATGAACATCATGAAGTCCTATGTGTTCCAGAAAATGGGCTACTAGACTTTCACATAACCACCTGCATAGATTTTTAAATTTTATTTTAATTTATAATAGACAATAATTGTACATATTATGAATATGTATATAGTGATGTTTTGATGCATGTAATATACAATGATCAGATCAAGATAATTCCCATATCATCTCAAACATTTATCACTTATTTGTATTGGGAACCATGGATGTCCTTCTTTTATCTATTTGAAACTATATAATACATTATTGTTAACTGTAGTCATCCTACAGTGCTATAGAACACTAGAACTTACTCTTCCTATCTAGCTGTAATTTTGTGTCCTTTAACAAATCTCTCCCCTTCCCTTCCTTCCCCCTACCCTTCCCAGCCTCTAGTATCCTCTGTTCTACCTTTTACTTCTATGAGAACCACTTATTTAAAGATCATAGGTTTGAATGGGCAAAAGAAGAGAAGGATGGGTATATAATATGACAATACACATTTTATAAGAATAAACACAACCAAAATATCTGTACTGAACACAATATAATGACTGTTTATGCTTCGGAAGGATGAAGATAATCTACCCCTTCCTCAATTACTTCATTTGCTGCATATATATACATATATGTATATATACACATATATACGTATATATATATACGTATATACATATATACGTATATATATATATCTGTTATGCATATATAAACAGATATGTATATATCTGTTTGTGGATATCCGAAATGCTTCATTAGTCTGTCAACTTTTATTCCAGGCAGCGCTATCTTAATTAACACAGCCTCAGTGCACATTTTAATGTATAATGTGAGTCATCTATCTTTATCCACTTTTTATAATTCTCATAGCTGTTTTCGTCTGTACATTTTCCAGGTAAATCATGGGATAATTTCGTAAAATTCCAAAACATCAATATGTTTACTGATACAGCTCTAAGTATTAAATTGATATGAAGAGAATGGACATATTTACCAGATATATCTTCTTATTTACAAATATGGCATTTCTGTCCATTTCTTCAAGTAGTCTCTTATAGTCCTCAGCAAAATTTTGTACTTTTCATACATATGCTGTATATTTCTTGCTAAAATTTTATATAGTTTATATTTTGCTGTAGTCAGGGATCTATTCTTTTTTATTATAATTTCTAATTGTTTTAAAATATATTTTAATAACTGCCCAACATATTGAGCATTATTTTTGTTAAATAGTTATTTAAGGGATTTTATTATTTTTGTTCTTTTTTTATTTAGGCATATAATAGTACAGTCTATAATAAAAGAGAGTATTAATTCTAAGTCATCAATTTTTAAATCTAATTTTCCTGCCTTATCACATAGTCTAGAACTTGTACAAAAATATTCAGTAATAGTATTGGCAAACATAGTTATCTTTTTTCTTACTTAAATGAAAATGTCTTCATTGTTTCACAGTGAGATATAATTTTGGTTGCTGCTATTATACACATATTGAAATAAGGGCATTTCTATCTTTGTTTTACTAATAATTTTTATTTAGAATGGATATTGTATTTTTTCAAATGCATTTTAGCATTTAGAAAGAAGATAATATATTAAACCAGAATTGAATTCATAAAGTAAACTCTACTTTATCTTGGCATATTTTGTTTTTAATTTACTAGTGGGTCTGATATATTACAATTTTACATAAAATTCTTGCTTCTGTATTAATAACTATGATTACTGGATAGTTTCCTTATTTGTGTATTCATGCTAGCCTTTTCAGCATTTTACTATCAATGGTCCTAATTGTCATTTTAATTAAACTATAAGGGAAACAATGTCAAAATTTGAGTCAACAGCTTGATAAATTCAACATCTTGGTAAACTCAAGCAAATTCACTCATGTAACTATCACCCAAATCAGGAAATAAATTCACTGGCATTAAGCATCCTCCCACTAACTATGCCCCCAAACTGTTTTGCATTCTTTTGAACCTTATACAAGTGGAGTAGTATAGTATATATTATTCTGTGCTTGATTTGTTCTGCTCAAATCATATTTGTGAAATTCATGTTTTTATAATAGTAATTCATTCATTTTGACAGCTGTATAGTATTTATTTGTATGATCATATAATAATTTGTTTCTTTACTCCATTATTATACATTTGGACTGTTTTCAGTTTTCTATTATTATGAATAACTGTACTATGAATACTCTGACATGTGCTCTTTGGTGTACATGTTTTTGATACATGCATGCATGCACTTCTATTACTACATACCTATAAGTAATATTGCCGGATCATAGGACATATACATGTGCTGCTTTAGTAGGCACTTTCAAATATTTTCCAAAGTGGTGAAATAAGATGTAAAGTTTCTCCCAAAGGGACAGCTGCCAATTTTTTAATCTAAATCCAAGAAGCTCTTGGGGCCAACTTGGCTGAGTCCTTGAATATACTATTTTCATTTGATAAGTGAGACTTGTTGAACACTTTCCAACTTGTTAGTCACTGAGTCTGAGCTGACCCACCACAAAATGTGCAGAGAGTAACAAGCACCTCATGGATCAGGTGTTCACTTTTGACAAGTGCAAGCTAATGGATGCTTTTCCAAAGGGGTGTACCTTAGAAGAATGCAGGAGAAGTCAGAGGGGAAGTCAATGTGATGATGGAGGCCATAACTGGAATGATGCAATTTGAGGATGGAGGAAGGAGTCAGTAACCAAAGGATACAGGTGACTATTAGAAATAGGCAAGAAAATGGATTTTCCATGCAAAGCCTCAGAAGGAAACAGCCCTACCAACTCCAATGGCCCAATGAAAATATCTTTAGACTTCTGACCTCCAGAACCATAAGAGAATATATTTGTGTTGTTTTAAGTCACTAAATTGTGACAGCTTGTTATGGTAACAATAGGAAACTGGGACAAGTAATAAGCCATATTCAACCTCCTTTAAAATTAAAGCCTAGGCTACTTAAAAATGGAAAAAAAAAAAAAGGTGGGGGGGGGGGTGGTGTACTTGAGTATCATGAATGTACCCACATAGTCCCAAGAAGCTTTGCTTGGAGAGCAGGGTTTGCACCCTATGGCTGGCTTGGACTTAGCTTACACAGTGGTGACCCTCGAGGAGCCCACATTAATCTGTAGCATCATTTCCCATTACCAAGATAACACCTCCTAAATTCCCATTCAGTTTCCACATAAGGAATAGGGGAATTTTCCAAGGTGGCAGGGTTGACAGCAAACATTTATCACAATTTCTTTAGGACAGTTTCTCATTCTGCAGTGCATCACTTTGATCATTATTGTAAACCCAATTCAGGGCAGTAAGACTCTGAATACTAGTCAATGTATCATTTATGGTTTCCCAAAGGAGTTTGTTTTGAGGACAATTCCCTTATTTTAGCCAGTACCTATAGCAAAAAGCTCTGACCCTGTTACTATAGATTCATCTACAAATGAATCTATGGAGGGCCTGACAGACTGCATGAGGGGTGGAACCATAATATGACCTGCTATTCCCACTCTTCCTTAACAAACATTATGCATCCCACGCCCCCTTCATCTCCCAGGTCAATCAGCCAACGGTTTATCAGTCTTCCTGGTTTCTGCACATAGTGGTCACAATTTTTCTTTCTTTTCATGCTAAGTATAGGTGTGTGTTTTTGCAAATATTATTTGATAGAGGTAGATCTTCTGGCTCCCTGCTCCCAGGAATAATATTCATATTATTTATTACAGTGTGGTGAATTTGAAGCTGACCACCAGAGTGGTGAGGAAATACCCACAGGAGAGGAGAGTTGTAACATCCAAGTCCCTTTTTAGGCAGTTTTCTTCGAATCTATTTCCCAGTACTTGACCTGCAACCACATCCGCAATTCCTTCTCATTAACCCACAACAAAATGGAGGACAATTTATGCCTGGTTGAACATACACTTTGTTCAATATGTTTGCTTTCCCTAAATCCCATTAGTCAGTTCACTAGGTCCTCATCCTTCCTCTTCCAGAAAGTCACACCTCTGTCAGCATCCATCTTCACTGCCAAAAGTGTCAAAACTGTGGAGAGTCGGAGATTTTACTCTACATGTAAGCTAACCAGTCACCTTGCCACCATTTCACGAATGCCAGTAGAAGACACAAGACTCCTAGTCAGAGATGAAGGACAATTTACTACTCATACCAATAGCAGTAACTAAAGTGTCATTATTTGGGGGCCAGTTCCCTGAGCCTCAATTCCCATAGGGTAACATGATGAGAGCCAGATGACACCTGCCACAGTGTGCTGCATTACAGAAAAGGACCCCTGAACTTACTCAACAGTTAGTGTTCCCTTTGCTCCAGAAAGAGACTTTATCTTTATTATACTGGATAGTATTAATAATTAGGCCTGCAATTTGCTCCAGAGGGTGACACTATCTCCGTCCACCAGGGCATAATGCAAACATTCTTGAGAAAATCATCCAGAACAAAGGGCAATCATTGTGTGGCCCACAAGACACGCAGAAAAATCTGTGGAGAATTACCTCTTAACATAAAATTTGTGTAAAGTTCACCGTTTTGAGATATACATTCCTGTGAAGGTATACAAATACTAAAGTCATATGACCACTACCAGAATCAATGTAGAATACTTTTTAATCACTGCACAAAGTTTCTATGTGCTCCTTTGTCAAAAAATTATTTCCTCCATCCTCAGCTCCTGGAAACCAATAATCAGACTTTGGTCTCTGTAATTTTGCCTTTTCCAGAATGACATATAAATGAACTCACAAAGAACACAGCCATGTGTGTCTGGATTCTTGTGCTTAGCACAGTGTCTTTGAAATTAATCCATGTAATGTATGTGTCATTAGTTTATTTGGTTTTTATTCCTAAGTAGCATTCTATTGTATGCATATAAAACAATTTCTTCATCATGCATTCACTGGTTGATGGCATGATTGGATTGGATCATGATTGGATTATTTCTAGTTTTTTACTATTTTGAATAAATATGCTACAAACATCTCTGTTCAGGTTTTCTCTGTACAGTTCTTTGTGTGAACATATGTTTTCATTTCTTTTAAGTAATTAGTTTGGAGTAAATTCTTGGGCAATGTAAGAAGTTCATGTTTAACTTTATAAAAAAGCGGACAAACTGCTTTCCTAAGTGGTGGTACCATTTTTCTTCCCTAGTAGCAATCTATGAACATTGTCAGTTACTTCACATTCTTGTACTTGATATGGATTTTTCGTTTTTCCGGTTTTTAAAAATTTCAGTCATTCTAATAGGTATGCAGTGGTATTCCATTGTGGTTTTAATTTGCATTTTCATATTGATTAATGATGTCAAGCATCTTTTCATGTGCTTACTTACCATTTTGTGTGTCTTCTTGGTGAAGCAACTGTTCAATTCTTTTTCCCATTTTTTAATTGGGCTGTGTTTCTTCTCATTATTGAGTTTTGAGAGTTCTTTTTTTTTTTCAGTTTTCAAAATTACATATCCTTGTGGCTATCATAAGGAGACAGCTCAAGTGTAGATCAATAGCACCCTGGAAATTCCTGAACTTTTTTTAAAAAGTTGCATATATTTAAGGTATACAGCATGATGTTTTGATATACATACACACAGTGAAATGATTATGACAGTCAAGCAAATTGACATATCTATCATCTCACATAGCTTCCACTTTTTGGTAGGTAAAAATATCTAAAACCTACTCTCTTATCAAATTTCCAGGATACAATATTATTAACTACAGTACTCAGGCTATACTTTAGATCACTGGGGTTATTTATACTACATAACTGAAACTTTGTGCCCTTTGACCTCCATTGCCCCATTTTCCCACCCCCTGACCTCTGGTAACCATCTTTTTTACCTCTATTTCTATGTATTCAAGTTTTGTTTTTGTTTTGTTTGTTTGTTTTGTTAGTTTCCACATGTAAGTGAGATCATGCAGTATTTTTCCTCTTGTGTCTGGCTTATTTCACTTACCATAATGTCCTTTAGGTCATCGAAGCTGTTGCAGCAATGGCAGGATCTCCTTTTTTAAAGTTAGAAAATATCCATAAATATACACTACAATGTCTTTATCCATTCATCAACTGATGGACATTTAGGGCGTTTTCATATCTTGACTATTGTGAACAATGCTATAAGAACCATGGAGCACAGATATCTTTACTATCTTTACAAGGCGGTGATTTCATTTCCTTTGCATATACACTTAGATGAGAGGTTGCTGGGTCATATGGTAACTCTGTTCTCTAATTTCTTCAGAAACCTCCATATTGCTTTCCATACTGGCTGTACCATTCTACATTCCCACTAGCAGTACACCATGTTTACCTTTTCTCCACACCATTGCTAATACTTGTTATCTCTTGTCTTTTTTAAAAAAATAGTATAAAGAGAAAAGGATTAATTGGCATGGTTTTGCAGGATGTGGAGAAAGCATGGCACTGGCATCTGCTTCTGGTGAGGCCTCACATAACTTACAATCATGGCACAAGGTGAAGGGGAACAGACACATCATAGGGTAGAAGAAGGAGCAAAAGACAGTGGGTGGGGGTCAGAGGCAGGTGCTACACACTTAAACAACCAGATGTTGCAAGAACTCACTCAGTGTCTGGAGGACAGCACCAGTACATGAGGGATCCTCCCCCATGACCCAAACACCTTCCACCAGGCCCCACCTCCAACACTGGGGATTACATTTCAGCATGAGATTTGAGCAGGGATTTGGATATATCACCTTGATTCTGCATGAAACCTGTCCACATGGTTAGCTCAGACTTCCACACGTGACAGTTGGGTTTTAAGAGATTGTGAATGGAAGCTGCAAGCTTTCTTGAGGGCATCTTTAGAAATTGCAAATCATCTAGTCTATTGGTCCAAGTAGGTCACAAGGCTGGATCATATTTAACAGTCAACATTTCAGGCTGAGACAATGGGGTTTTCTAGATATACAATCATGTTGTCTGCAAACAGGGACAATTTGACTTCCTCTTTTCCTAATTGAATACCCTTTATTTCCTTCTCCTGCCTAATTGCCCTGGCCACAACTTCCAACACTATGTTGAATAGGAGTGGTGAGAGAGGGCATCCCTGTCTTGTGCCAGTTTTCAAAGGGAATGCTTCCAGTTTTTGCCCATTCAGTATGATATTGGCTGTGGGTTTGTCATAGATAGCTCTTATTATTTTGAAATATGTCCCATCAATACCTAATTTATTGAGAGTTTTTAGCATGAAGGGTTGTTGAATTTTGTCAAAGGCCTTTTCTGCATCTATTGAGATAATCATGTGGTTTTTGTCTTTGGCTCTGTTTATATGCTGGATTACATTTATTGATTTGCATATATTGAACCAGCCTTGCATCCCAGGGATGAAGCCCACTTGATTATGGTGGATAAGCTTTTTGATGTGCTGCTGGATTCGTTTTGCCAGTATTTTATTGAGGATTTTTGCATCAATGTTCATCAAGGATATTGGTCTAAAATTCTCTTTTTTGGTTGTGTCTCTGCCAGGCTTTGGTATCAGAATGATGCTGGCCTCATAAAATGAGTTAGGGAGGATTCCCTCTTTTTCTATTGATTGGAATAGTTTCAGAAGGAATGGTACCAGTTCCTCCTTGTACGTCTGGTAGAATTCGGCTGTGAATCCATCTGGTCCTGGACTCTTTTTGGTTGGTAAGCTATTGATTATTGCCACAATTTCAGATCCTGTTATTGGTCTACTCAGAGATTCAACTTCTTCCTGGTTTAGTCTTGGGAGAGTGTATGTGTCGAGGAATTTATCCATTTCTTCTAGATTTTCTAGTTTATTTGCGTAGAGGTCTTTGTAGTATTCTCTGATGGTAGTTTGTATTTCTGTGGGATCAGTGGTGATATCCCCTTTATCATTTTTTATTGCATCTATTTGATTCTCCTCTCTTTTTTTCTTTATTAGTCTTGCTAGTGGTCTATCTATTTTGTTGATCCTTTCAAAAAACCAGCTCCTGGATTCATTAATTTTTTGAAGGGTTTTTCAGCAACTTCAGCAAACTCTCAGGATACAAAATCAATGTACAAAAATCACAAGCATTCTTATACACCAACAACAGACAAACAGAGAGCCAAATCATGAGTGAACTCCCATTCACAATTGCTTCAAAGAGAATAAAATACCTAGGAATCCAACTTACAAGGGATGTGAAGGACCTCTTCAAGGAGAACTACAAACCACTGCTCAAGGAAATAAAAAAGGATACAAACAAATGGAAGAACATTCCCTGCTCATGGGTAGGAAGAATCAATATTGTGAAAATGGCCATACTGCCCCAGGTAATTTACAGATTCAATGCCATCCCCATCAAGCTACCAATGCCTTTCTTCACAGAATTGGAAAAAACTACTTTAAAGTTCATATGGAACCAAAAAAGAGCCCGCATCACCAAGTCAATCCTAAGCCAAAAGAACAAAGCTGGAGGCATCACACTACCTGACTTCAAACTATACTACAAGGCTACAGTAACCAAAACAGCATGGTACTGGTACCAAAACAGAGATATAGACCAATGGAACAGAACAGAGCCCTCACAAATGATACCACACATCTACAACCAACTGATCTTTGACAAACCTGACAAAAACAAGAAATGGGGAAAGGATTCCTTATTTAATAAATGGTGCTGGGAAAACTGGCTAGCCATATGTAGAAAGCTGAAACTGGATCCCTTCCTTACACCTTATACAAAAATTAATTCAAGATGGATTAAAGACTTACATGTTAGACCTAAAACCATCAAAACCCTAGAAGAAAACCTAAGCAATACCATTCAGGACATAGGCATGGGCAAGGACTTCATGTCTAAAACACCAAAAGCAATGGCAACAAAAGCCAAAATTGACAAATGGAATCTAATTAAACTAAAGAGCTTCTGTACAGCAAAAGAAACTACCATCAGAGTGAACAGGCAACATACAAAATGGGAGAAAATTTTTGCAACCTACTCATCTGACAAAGGGCTAATATCCAGAATCTACAATGAACTCAAACAAATTTACAAGAAAAAAAACAAACAACCCCATCAAAAAGTGGGCGAAGGACATGAACAGACACTTCTCAGAAGAAGACATTTATGCAGCCAAAAAACACATGAAAAAATGCTCATCATCACTGGCCATCAGAGAAATGCAAATCAAAACCACAATGACATACCATCTCACACCAGTTAGAATGGCAATCATTAAAAAGTCAGGAAACAACAGGTGCTGGAGAGGATGTGGAGAAATAGGAACACTTTTACACTGTTGGTGGGACTGTAAACTAGTTCAACCATTGTGGAAGTCAGTGTGGCGATTCCTCAGGGATCTAGAACTAGAAATACCATTTGACCCAGCCATCCCATTACTGGGTATATACCCAAAGGACTATAAATCATGCTGCTATAAAGACACATGCACACGTATGTTTATTGCGGCACTATTCACAATAGCAAAGACTTGGAACCAACACAGATGTCCAACAATGATAGACTGGGTTAAGAAAATGTGGCACATATACACCATGGAATACTATGCAGCCATAAAAAATGATGAGTTCATGTCCTTTGTAGGGACATGGATGAAATTGGAAATCATCATTCTCAGTAAACTATCGGGAGAACAAAAAACCAAACACCGCATATTCTCACTCATAGGTGGGAATTGAACAATGAGATCACATGGACACAGGAAGGGGAACATCACACTCTGGGGACTGTGGTGGGGTGGGGGGAGGGGGGAGGGATGGCATTGGGAGATATACGTAATGCTAGATGACGAGTTAGTGGGTGCAGCGCACCAGCGTGGCACATGTTTACATATGTAACTAACCTGCACAATGTGCACATGTACCCTAAAACTTAAAGTATAATAATAAAATAAAAAAAATAAATTAAAAAAAAAACAGTCAACATTTCAAAAGGTACAGAAATATACTCTACCTCTTGCTAGGAAAATGGTCAGTGTCACATTGCAGAAAAGGCACTGAGAATATATGCTAAATTATATTAGAATTATAGGAGTTTTACATAATTTCAGAACATATACATATATACATATACAACATATACCAATAACATATAGACCAAAGAAATATAGACCAAATAAAATATAGACCAAAGAAAGCCAGACATCATTTCATATTTGACAGTGCTTCCTGTATGATTTTTGTACCAAATAAGCCAAATGTCATCTTTGAACTTTAGAGGACCTAATATCTAAAATATTAGGTAAGAAAGAGACAGAATTTATAATTTGATTTTGGAAAATTTGTCAAATATCAAAGGTTTAAAACACTGGATATCACAAAATAGAATCCCGGGTCACCACAAGTCATTTATTTGGCCAAAATGATAACTCCCAAAAAAATTTTAAAAAAGAAAATCCTTTACTCTGATAGAGGAGACTTAGCTTTCAAACAAGACCCAATGAAGATAGCATGAGGCCAACTGAATCTGTCTCTTCTCTCTCTCCTCCTTTCTTTTTTCTACCATTTACCCAAAGGAGAAAACAAAACCCTTTCATTATCTTTTAACATTACATAAAAATCATCTTCAAAAGGGAAAAATAAATTTTATGCTTGCATTAGTGCATCTTTAATGTTAAAGCTAGTTTTTTAAATAAAATTTTATGTCTCTACCCAGTTTTAATTAGTTTGACCATAAGGTAAGATTTTCATCAACTTTTCAGAACCCTTTACAATATTCCATCAAACAGCAGATCAGTTTTCTAAGAAAACCCTGTTAGTTGGACACATGGGCCCAGATTCTGGCTTCACATCGCTATGACTTTAATGTTTTAACCTAAGGAAAAAAGCTAAATAATTTCTTTTAAATCTTAGCCAACTTGCTTACACCCACAGAATTTTTACAAGATCAACCCTTTACAAACCCTTTCCACTTTGCTTAAACCTTCAGTTTTGTTCCATTGCTCTTTTAGGTTAAGACAGTCATTAAAACCCTCTGAACTAGACAAAATTACATTCCCTTTAACAAAAGCCATATTCCCATGCCTTCTTATAATCTTTTACCAAAAACACACTCCCTACACACCTTGTATGTAAAACTGTTTCTCCAGTGGTCTCAACTACATGTAACAATGTTAACTCTTAGCAACTTTTATTTTTAGTGAAAAATTTGATAAGAAAGAGATTTTAATTATGTACTAGGGGTGGAGCCTAGGACATCAGACAGAAATTAAGATAAGGTCTGACTGCTTTTAGCATAGCTAGCGGGCATGGCTTTCCATATGTCCCCAGCCCTTACCTATAATCTAATGCTCCAAAGTAGGTAAATCAAACAATTTTCAGAAGTCAAAGAAACAGTTTGACCTGAAAGCATTTCGCAAATCTGATATCTGACCTTAATTTAGACCAAATGTCTACGTTTTCAAGGCGTTTGATTTTACCAATAATCTTTAAAACTGTCTTTATTTCCAAAAGATTACTAAAGTCACACAAACAAAAAGGCATTAAAGTTTCTATTTTTCTGACAAAATATTTGATTTAAGTGCTTATTTTTCTAAGCCAACTAATCAGAGCTCTTTTATATATAAACATACAGCACATAAATACACAGAGACAGACAGAAGATTCAGCACTTGTAAAGTTTTTCATTTGTCAGTTTCTTAATTGGATGACTATTCTCCATCTGAGAAACCTCCTCAAAATCTTCCTGATTGAGAAGAAGTCTCCTAAACCAGGACTCTTCCTACTAGTTAGAAGGAGCCAAATGAGACCCAGGAGCTGAACAAACACTCTACAATGAGGCTACAGACACAGACACCCCATGGTGGAGCTACAGATGCCCCACAACGGGGCTACAGACACCCCACCATAGGACTACAGAACCAGTAGGGAGAAGGAAGAATGCATTGGCAGAGCCTAGGATGCTCACCAATCTAGACACCCAACCATGGGGCTACAGACAGATACCCTGTGATAGGGCTACAGTTAAGGGATGTCTCCCCACGACTATTTCTCTATTGCAATTTAATCTAAGCACATTGGGCTGGCAGTGCCCCACCAGTAGAGAGAGTACCAGAGTCAGCCCCCAGTCCAAGAGAACTAGGCAACCTCTTGGGCTGGCTTCTGGATCCATCACTGGAGGGGGTCACTGAAGCACAGCCAGGTAGCCACAAGGGCAATCCTGGACAAGCCCCGAATTTGTACCCACCCAAGAGGTTCACCTTGCCTACTGCCTAGACAGAGCCAATTCATCAAGACAGGGGAATTGCAATAGAGAAAGAGTAATTCATGCAGAGCCAGCTGTGCAGGAGAGCAGAGTTTTATTATTACTCAAATCATTCTCCTCTTGTCTTTTTAAAAATAGCCATTCTAACAGGTCTGAGGTGATATCTCATTATGGATTTGGTTTGCATTTCTCTGATGATTAGTGACATTGGGCACCTTTTTTTCACATAAATTTTGGATATTTTATTTTTTTCTCTGGAGAAATGTCTATTCAAATCCTTTACTCATTTTTTTTTACCAGATTACTTGTCTTTTTCCTATTGGGTTATGGGAGTTTTTAAATACATTTTCAATATTAACTTCTTATGTAGGAAAAACTGAAAGCTTTTCCTGTAAGATCTGACATAAGACAAGGGTGCCTACTCTTACCACTTCTATTTAACACAGTACTAGAAGTACTAGCAAGAGCAATCAGACAAGAAAAAAATTAAAAGACATTCAAATCAGAAAGGAAGAAGTAAAATTATCCCTGTTTGCAGATGACACAACTCTAGATGTAGATTCCACTAAAACACTATTGGAACTAATAAACTCAGTAGAGTTGCAGGATAAAATATTAACATATAATAATCAGTTACATTTCTGTACACTAATAATGATCTATCTAGAAAAGAAATCAAGAAAACAATCCCATTACAATGGCATCAGAAATAATAAAATACGAATCAGTTTAGCCAAGGAAGTGAAAGATCTCTACACTGTAAACTATAAAATGTTGATGAAAGAAATTGAGGAAGATACAAATAAATGGAAAGATACCACATGTTCACAGATTAGAAGAATAAATATTATTAAAATGTTTACAATAACTAAAGCAGTATACACATTCAACACAATCCCTATCAAAACCCCAATGGAATTTTTCACAGAAATAGAAAAACAATTTTCTGTATTAACACAAAAGACCCTGAGGAGCCAAAATAATCTTGGGAAGGAAAAACAACGCCAGAGGCATCACACTTCCCAATTTCAAATTATATTATAAAATAATAGTAATTAAAATAGTATAATACTGACATATATAGACCAATAGAACAGAATAGAGAGCCCATAAGTAAACCCAAGCATATATAGATGTTCCTCAACTTACAATGGTGTTGTGTAACAATAAACCCATTGTAAGTTTTAAAATATCGTAAGTCGAAAATGCATTTAATACTCCTAACCTACCAAACATCATAATTCAGCCTAACCAATCTTAAGCATGCTCAGAACACTTAGATTAACCTGCAGTTGGGCAAAGTCATCTAACATAAAGCCTGTTTTTGTAATGAAGTATTGAATATCCAGTGTAATGTTTTGCATACTGTACTGAAAGTGAAAAACAAAATGGTTGGATGGGTACCATTATAAAGTCAAAGAATTGTAGGTTGAAACATTATAAGTCAGGAACCATCTGCACAGTCAATGAATTTTCAACAAGGCCACCAAAAAGACACAATGGGCAAAGGATAGTCTCTTAATAAATAGTGTTGTAAAAACTGGATATCCACATTCAAAAGAATAACACTGGACCCTTATCTTACATCATACATGAAAGTCAGCTGAAAATGGAGTAAACGCCTAAACCTAAGACCTGAACCCATAAAACTGCTGGCAAAAAAGGGAAAAAACAGAGGAAAAAGCTATTTGATGTTGGCTTTGGCAAGAACTTTTTTGGATAGCTCACCAAAAGCATAGGCAACAAAAGCAAAAAATAAACAAGTGGGACTACATCAACCTAAAAAGTTTCTTTAACTTTTAACTTTTCTTTTTTGTTTGTTTGTTTGTTTGCTTTTTGGGTTTTTTTTTTTTTTTTTTTGAGACAGGGCCTTACTCTGTTGCCCAAACTCAAGTGCAGTGGTACAACCATAGCTCACTGCAGCCTTGAACTCCTGGGCTCAAGCAATCCTCCTGCCTCAGCCTCCTAAGTAGCTAGGACTACAGGTGCATGCCACCATGCTCAGCTGTTTTTTAAAAAAATTTTTGTATAGAAGGGGTCTTGCTATTTTGCCCAGGCCATTCTAAAACTCCTGACCTCAAACAATCCTCCCACTTTAGCCTCCCAAAGTGTTGGGATTACAAGTGTGAGCCACCATCCTGGGCCCAAACTAAAAATTTCTGCAAAACAGAGTTCTTTGTGTATTCCGGAGAGATGTATTTTATCAGACTTTTTTTCTTGCAGACATTTTCTTCCAGTCTATAGCTTCTCTTTTTATTTTGTTAACATTCAAAGAGCCTAAATTTTAAATTTTGATTAAATCAATTTCAGTTTTTAAAATTTTTATTTTATACTTTGTGCTTTCATGTTCTAGTAAATCTTTGCCTAACTTAAGGTGAAAGCATTTCCTTTTATTATTTTCTTTGATAAGTTTTATAGTTTTGTGCTTTATATTTCTTTTTTTTTTTTTTTTTTGAGATGGAGTCTCGCTGTGTCGCCCAGGCTGGAGTGCAATGGCGCAATCTCAGCTCACTGCAAGCTCCACCTCCCAGGTTCACGCCATTCTCCTGCCTCAGCCTCCCAAATAGCTGGGACTACAGGCACTCGCCACCACGCCCAGCTAATTTTTTGTATTTTTAGTAGAGACAGGGTTTCACTGTGTTAGCCAGGATGGTCTCGATCTCCTGACCTCGTGATCCACCTGCCTCGGCCTCCCAAAGTGCTGGGATTACAGGCGTGAGCCACCACGCCCGGCCTATATTTAGGTTTTTAATCTATTTTGAATTTTTTTCACATATGATACAAGGTATAGTTTGAGGTTTATTTGTGTGTGTGTGTGTGTGTGTGTGTGTGTGTGTGTTTGTGTATCCAACTGTGCCATCAATATTTGCTGAAAAGACTGTTCTTTATCCATTGAACTACATTGGCACCTTCTCACAAAGTCAACTGAATAAATATTTGGATCTACTTCGCTATCTCTATTCTGTTCTATTTATTAGTATATCTAACCTTTTACACATATTATACTGTCTTAATTATTGTTGCCTTATGGTAAGTCTTGAAATGAGGAAGAAATATTCCTCATTTCATAAGGAATATTATCTTCTTTAAAGAAAAATGTTTAACTGTTCTAAGTCCTTTACCTTTCCATATAGATTTTAGAATCAGCTTTCTGACTTCTACAAAGGCCTGCTGGTATTTTCAATGGGTTGCAATGAATTTATAGATTTATAGATATATCACTTCATTTATTTAGGGCTTATTTGTTACCCTTCATTAATGTTTTATAACTACATCTTACAAATATTAGAATATATTTTGTTAGTACTTTGTATTTATAATGCTTTCATAAGTGGAATTTTTAAATTTGTATTTTCAAGTGTTCATCTCTAACATACAGAAATATAATTTATTTTATATTGACATTGCTAAATTTACTTATAAATTCTAGTAGCCATTTTATACATCCTTTGAAATTTCTACATAGACACTCATATATGTGCAAATTAAGACAGTTTTATTCCTTCTTTTCCAATCTAGACGCCTTTCCTCTTTTTGTTGATTTCTTTTTATTCTTCCTCTCTCTCTTTTTTTCTCTTTCTTTCATCCTTTTTCTTTTTCACCTTATTTCCCTGGCTGGAACTTCCAGTAAAATGTATCAAAATATTCAGCAACTATAAAACTTACAAAAGATAATACATGATAAAATCTACATGACCTTGGACTTCGTGATGAATTTTTAAATACAACATCGAAAGCATGATCCATAAAAAAATTGATATATTGGACTTCATTAACATTAAAAATTCTGATCTGCTGAAACCACTGTTAAGAGAATGAAGAGACAAGTTACAGACTGGGAGAGCATATTTGCAAACACATATCTGATATAAGGCAAGTATCCAAGTTATACAAAGAACTCTTAAAATTTAACAATAAAAAAATTCAACCTAATTTTAAAATGGGCCAAAGATCTGAACAGACACTTTACCCAAAAGATATACAGATGGCAAATAAGCAATTGAGAAGATGGTAATCATCATTTGTCGTTAGAGAAATTTGTTAAAGTACACAAAATTACAGGTAGATAAGAATAATAAGTTTTAGTCTTCTATACCACTATAGGATGACTATAATTAACAATAATAGATTACATAGTTTCAAATAGCTACACGGAGGATATTGATAAGGATGTGGAGGAACAGAAGCTCTCATTTATTGCTGGTGGAAATGTGAAATAGTACAACCACTTTGGAAAACAGTTTGGCAGTTTCTTACAAAGCCAAACATACTTGTATTAAATGATCCAACAATCACACTTCTAGGTATTTACCTACCTGTTTTGAAAACTTATTAATATGTGCACAAAACCTGCATGTGAATATTTATAGCCATTTCATTCATAATTACCCCAAAATAGAAGCAACCAAGGTGTCCTTTGATAAGTGAATGGATAAACAAACTGTGGCACATCCATATAATGGAATACCACTTAATAATAAAGAGGAATGAACCATCAAGCTACACTAAAACATGAATTAATTTTAAATGTATATTGCTAAGTAAAATAAGCCAGTCTGAAAAGGCTACAATACTGTATTATTCCATTTATATGACATTTTGCAAAGAACAAAATTATAGAAATGGTAAATAGATCGGTGACTGCTAGGGGTTTAGGTCAGGAAGAGAGAGCTGAACAGGTGAAACAGGGATTTTTAGAATGGTGACATTATTCTGTATGATACTGTGACAGTGGATACATGACACTATAAATTCGTCAAAACCCATAGAACTTTACATCACAAACAGTAAACCTTAATGTATGCAAATTGTAAAAGATCATTTAGGAGGTTAAGGATCCCAGGGTGGAAATTAGAATGTGACAAAAGAATAAACTATATTACAAATGCATGGAACAACCACACTGAAGGAGATAGGACAAAAGGTGCTGATCTAACCTTTGGAAATGAATAGAAGCTATAAGACTGAAAACAAAAAGACTTGACCTTAAGCACTGTACTGTAGTTGGTAAAATTGCTTCCCATGAAGGTACAGGTCAATAATTCTGAAAGCACTATATATATATACTGGAATTGAACAATTAGGTAAATGGATGGCAGATGGTAGGACACAGATTTCTCACTGTTGGTGTAGGATTTTGCAGATGAGCATGGAAGGAGGATAAAACAATTCATGTGGTACTGAATTATAGTTGAAAATGTCAATATGAGTTCATGTCTAGCTTAATATACATTCAAATGTTAAATACAGGAATATTTATAGACATGTATATATTCATTGGTTAGCATACACATATCTATTCCCTGCTCTGTCAGTTGAGAAGGCCTAGAAGTGATGTCATTTCGATAGCAACAAGCATACCAAAAACTCCAGCTTTGGTTTTCATACCATTCTCCAGTAAAAAGAACAGGGCTATTTATTTTATTTCATTTGTATTTTTATTTGTTTGGAGAAATAGCTGATTCTAGGGCTGGAGCAAGAAATATACAAGATGAGCTTGGAGCATCACTCAATGCCATAAAGAAATGTTTAAAGAACAAAAAACGCATAATGATGAGGATATGACAAAGGGACAAAGGAGCCAACTGAAAGAATTGTCAGTGGCCAAAGCTGGAACAATTTGAGCAACAAAATAAAGTGGTATTAGATTATAAGCCAAGGTACAAAATAAATATTCAGGAGCTCACACTGACATAAATAAATCATTGAATAAACAAGCAAATACATCAGTACATAAATGGGGGAGGAGGAGAGGAGAACAGACAAATCAGCCATGCAAAATTCCCAGCAATTCAAGAAGATACTCTGCTTAAAGGAAGTGAAATGTAAGTCCCAACTCCTTAGGTGTGGGTCACACATACTGACTTCCTTTCAGAGTCAAGTATGGAAAGGGGGGAAAAGGGAGGAGCTTTATGGTGGAGAGGCCTGACTCCCTCACCCAGGTCATCAGGGTTAACACCAACAGTGATAAGTCATGGTTATAATGTGTTTACTTTACATGACTTGATGAAAATGGCACTTTACCTCTGATCTTCCTCCCAGTCCAATCATGAGAAAAGCATCAGACACACACCAACTAAAGGACATTCTACAAAATACCTGATCATTATTGCTCAAATTGTCAAAGTCATCAAAAATACGGAAAGTCTGAGAAACTGTCATAGGCAAGCAGAGTCTAAGGAAACATGATGACTAGATGCAATGTGACAAGATCCTAGAAAAGAAAAAGACATTTGGTAAAAACTAAGGGAATCAGGATAAAGAATGGATTTAATTAATAATAATGCACAAATATTGGTTCATGGACTGTTGCAATTTAACCATACTAATGTTGATAATAGGAGAAACTGGGGTGGGGTATATGGGAACTCTGTACTGTCTTCCCATTTTTCTTTAAAACTAAAACTATTCTAAATTTCACAAGTTTATTGAAAATTTAGGATGATAAAATTTCATAAGTTGTGTCAAAAGAAATGCTTTTAGCACATATGACAACAAAAGACTAATTTCTTTAACACATAAAGAATTCCTATAAAACCTTCAAGATATCAATAACTTAATAGAAAGGTGGTCCAGGTTTAACTAGATAGTTAACAAAAATGAAATTGCAAAAGACTTTTCAGAATATAGAAATTTGATCAATATTACTCATAATAAGAAAAATGCAAAGTAGACTACACTGAGATACCATTTTCACTGATCAGATGGGTCAAGTCTGATAATATACTTTGTTGGGAGGGAGAAAGAATGATCTTCACTCTTTGTAAGAACATAAATACGTACAAACTCAATGGATGGGGACTTGACAATACATATCAAAATGAGCAATACATACACACTTTGACCAGCTCTTTTAGCTCTTTTGACATCTAGGAATATATTCTCTTGAAATACTAATCTATGTGTACAAAGATATTTATACAAGGAGAATCATTGTAGTATTGTTTGTATAACATCAATTACTTTTTTTTTTTTTTTTTTTTTTGGAGACCTAGTCTCGCTCTGTCCCTAGGCTGGAGTTGCAGTGGCGCAATCTGGGCTCATTGCAACCTCTGCCTCCTGGGTTCAAGTGATTCTCCTGCCTCAGCCTCCTGAGTAGCTGGGACTACAGGCGCGCACCACCACAGCCAGTTAATTTTTTTTCTATTTTTCATAGAGATGGGGTTTCACCACGATGGCCAACATGGTCTCAATCTGTTGACCTTGTGATCCGCCCGCCTCAGCCTCCCAAAGTGCTGGGATTACAGGCGTGAGCCACCATGCCCGGCCACATCAATTACTTTTTAAAAGCCAGAAATCTATCATTAGTGGACTTGTCAAAAAATTACACGTATGTAAAATAGAGAGTGAAATACAATGTAGCTATTAAGAAGAATTGAAGTTCCTCTACGGGTACTGACATGTAACAATTGCGAAGATACAATGAGAGAAGAAAAACAGCAAAGTTCAGAATATTGTGCACCTAAAATTAACTCTTATTAGTATACAAAAACAGCAATTTAAAAGAAAATTGCATCCGTAGAAAACTGGACAATTTAAAGACTGCAATCAGAAAGCAAAATGTGTTTTTAGTAATCAAATATGATTGCAAAAATAAAAAAAATATTGCATCTTGAATAATAAGAGCCCAGCTGAAAACAAAGTTGGTTCCCTGGCAAATAAAGTTATGATAGTGTCTCAAAACATAGAGCAAAATTAAAAGTATTATTGAAAGGTACTCGCGAGACTGAGGCAGGAGAATGGCGTGAACCCGGGAGGCGGAGCTTGCAGTGAGCCGAGATTGTGCCACTGCACTCCAGCCTGGGCGGCAGAGCGAGACTCCGTCTCAAAAAAAAAAAAAAAAAAAAAAGAAGGAAGTTAAGGAGCTGTCAGACAGATACAGCAGCTTCAACACCCTCATAGAAGAGATTTAAAAGGAGTAAACTGAAAAAAGAAAATGGTTAGTGGCAAATTTTCAAGGAAATGTTAGAAGAAAACACTCTGGAGCTAAAGAAAGAGACTCTTTTGACTGAAAGGTCCCACCAAATGCCAATAGAGATTAATGCATAAAAGCTTTTGACAAATTATAGATTTTTAATGTTTTAATAAGACCACTCATAATGAATATCTGGCTTAAAAAATAATTGATGTTATACAAACAATACTACAATGATTCTCCTTGTATAAATATCTTTGCACACATAGATTAGTATTTCAAGATAATATATTCCTAAATGTCAAAAGTGCTGGTTAAAGTGTATACATACTGCTCATTTTTATATGTATTGTTAAATCTGCATCCATTGAGTTTGTATAATTTTTATTCCCACCAAGAGTGAGGAGAATTCAGTGTCTTTCTCCCTGTCCAACAAAATATATTATCAGACTCAACTCACCTGATCAGTGAGAACGATATCTCAGTGTTGTCTACTTGGCTTTTTCCTTATGTGAGTGATATCAAAAGTTCTGAACTCCAAAGAATAAAAGATCCTACAACTTCCTAGAGAGAAGAAAACAAGGTTACCTTAAAAGAAGAAAAATCAAATGGATGCAGACTTTTCAGGTCCAACAACAAATTCTAGAAGACAAAGGTGGAATGCTTTCAAATTCTGAGGGACAAATTATTTGAACCAAGAATTCTATGCCAGTCTAAATGATCAATCAAACGTGAGGGTGAAATGACAATTTAGAAAGGTTAAATTCCATTGATGTACATTTTCTGAAACAGAAATGCTCAAGGATATATTCCCAGATAGCCAAAAAGGAAATTAAAGAAAGAAGAAAACATGGACTTTCACAATGAGGTAACTGCTGTGCAACATTTATAGGGCATAGTCCCATAAAAACAGGAGGATAGAGGACTTCCACAAAGAAAGAACGTTTTTGAAGAAATAAGAGGATTTCATTCAATCCATAGTATAAAGAGAACACATAAAGGTCTTCTATTAGTCAAATGTGAAAATAATCTCCGGATGTTTAGGGAAAATGAAAAGCTGCCCAAAAGAAACATGGTCCTGTCATTAAAAACAAATTAAAAATGAGGCATGGCCATGAGCTGGAAGGAATGAGCTGAGAGGGGTGTGAGAAAAGTGCAAAGTATTTGGCTTTACTTTCTAAGCAGTCTTCCTTAGTAACAAAGGAGAATGTGTATTTTTGAAGGAAAAAAAAACAGAGGCTTGGGAAGTGCAATGAGTTTTGTTTGTTTGTTTGTTTTGAGGCAGGGTCTCACTCTATCACCCAGGCTGGAGTGCAGTGGTGCCATCACGGCTCAGTGCAGACTTGACCTCCCAGGCTCAAGCAATACTCTCATCTCAGCCTCCTGAGTAGCTGGGACTGCAGGCAAGCACCACCAAACCCAGCTAATTTTTTTGTATTTTTTGTAGAGACAAGATTTCTCCGTGTTTCTCAGGCTGGTCTCAAACTCCTGGGCTCATGCAATCCACCTGCCTTGGTCTCCCAAAATGCTGGCATGAGCCACTGCACCCAGCCTGCAATGAATAATATTTACATAGTCATAATATTTACAATGCTATTTTTTTGGAATTAACTTATGGGTAGGTTATGGCTAAAATAACTAAACTATAGTTACAGAATAAAAATAAATGTTACAAACTTCGACCACATAAAAGGTGCAAGGGAGAGACAAATGTTTATTTCCTCCCCATATATTGTGGGGAGTAGATAATGTCTAAAATGTTAAAAAACAGAAGTTTGATTATGTTATTTAAAAAGATAATCATTTAGAAAACTAGAATTAATGCTGTCTGAAGCTTGAACATAAAAGAAGATGAGCATATTATTTAATGGTACCCATCAGAAATGCCAAAGACAAGAGGCGTTATAAGTGGTTACAGCGGAGAGGAACTTCTGTGTTTGGGCTGAAGTGGAAAAACTAGGGTAACATTTTCCGTAGTGGTCTCTACTGTACACTGTAAAATTGTATAATAATATGCATGTTTGCTTCTATAATTAAAAAACAAAAAATATTTGCTTATATAATAAAAAATAAAATGAAATAGATTACTAAACCAATGATCAGGGAACAATTAGAAAATAAAGCAGTGATTAATTAAAGCCATAATAAATTCCAAAAAAAGACCTTGTTAATGTGATCTTATGAAAACCGAGCGGAACACTTGTATTCTGGTCTTGGCTTTGCCAAGAACTCACTTTGGCCAAGTCATTTCCTCCCTTGCGCCTCAGGTTCCTTATCAGTAAAATGGAGGTATGAGCTTCACAATCTCTAAATTCTCAGCTATAGCTTTCTAATATTCTAATTTGAACTTTCCTTCACATTTTGATAAAATTACTAGCCCAGCAAATTAAGTGTACCCCCACAGATATCTGTGTTTCACACTATCACGGTGTTTTCACATGGTTAGTCTTTTTATGATTACCCATGTGGTTAGATGCAATGATGCGGGTTGGAGGGCAGACCAGCTCCTGAGCGATCAGTCACTTCTAATGAGTAGGGTTATAGGCTTATGGCAATGTGGAAGGCAGCGTAGTATGTAGCTCAGTCTTTGTTGACAGGGCCATCAACATATCTACATGGGACCTGCAGAGAGGTACTTAGGATTCCTACTGCAGAAAGTCAGCCACCAGAAGCACAATGATGGGATTTGTGGGAATAGACCCCAGACCCCAGGCTTGAGCTCCTTGGATGGCAGGCATAAGGTGGGGTGGATACAACATTCTCTGTGAGGAAAGGACTCATTCTGAAGGAGAAGGAGAAGAAAGGAATATGTCACTTGATCACTCAACCTCAACAGAAGTGGGTCCAGCTTCTGGAGGGAGGGAGTTGTAGTGACAGAATTGTTCTTCCAAGGGCACTGAAAGGAACAGAGAGGATAGCTGTGCTGTTTGGTGGACACCCGCATTAGTTTCCTGGGGCTGCTGTAACAAAGTGCCAAAACTAGGTGGCTTAAACAACAGAAATTTATTGTCTCCCAGTTCTGAAGGCTGGAAGTCTGAAGGCAAGGTGTTGGCAGGGTTGCTTCTTTGTGAGGCTAAGAAAGAATATATTCTGTCTCTCCTCTAGCTTCTAGAGGCTTTCTGGCAATCTTTGGCTTTCCTTGGCTTGTAGAAACATCACCTAATCTCTGCTTTCACGTTCACATGGTGTTCTCCCAGTTTGTGTGTCCCTGTATCCAAATTTCCACTTTCATAGAATGATACCAGTCATATTGGATTAGGGTCCCACCTACTCCACTAAGACCTCATCCTAACTAATTACATCTGCAATGCCTCTATTTCCAAATATGGTCACAGTCTGAGAAACAGGTGGGGGTGGTTAGGACATCAACAAATGAATCTTGGAGGGCACATGATTCAATCGATAGCACTTCTTAATTAGGTAAATCCTAGAGCTCTTCTTGTTCCACAGTACAGGAACTTTTGGCGAAAAGAATATTAGGACCAGCCAGGAAGAATGGCTTCCACCTCATGAACTACTGTGCAAGTGATGGTAGGAGGTAGGTGACCTAAGGGCAGCATGATTAGGCACAGCTGGCATGGCTGGTGATGGGGGCTCAAAGCAAGAAGAGGGGAGCTGCAACACCTGCAAGAGGTGGCAACTACTTACGACATACCAGTTGGCTTGGGGGTAGTTGACTCCCCATTCTAGTCAACTATTACTCTAATGATGCTGTACAAAAACAAAATCAAACTTCCCAAGTTACATGATTTTTTGCATTCAGCATTCTGTGGGTTGATGGGGAGATGGGGCTTTATTCCTCAGGCTAAGGGCCAACTTCAAATCTTCTCCTAGGGCTCCCAATTCCAGGACCACTAGCTACCCAGAGCTTACTCTTCCCAAGGTAGGTGGTGTGCAGCAGAAGCATAAGTCACCAAGCCAAATTGCACCAACAAGTTCAGACCTCTGTTCATATCACCCTGGCTAACATCCTATTGGCCAGAGCAAGTCACCTGGCCCAAACCCAGCATCAGTGGATTAGGTGTGTATGCACTGACTACTCCACTGAGAGATGCTACAGTCTTGCAGCAAAGGGAATGGAGGTATGAAATCTTCCAGGAAGGTAGTGAACAGGCAGAAACAATATCTACTGTCCAAAACTCCAGCTTTCATTTCTTTTTCAAATGATGAAATTAACCCATTTGGAAAATAGTCAAAAGCAAAATGTAAAAATAAAAGTCCCACCATCTGGAGACAGCCACTGCTAATATGTTTTTTTCTTTTGCTTCACTATTATAGTGATCCTCATAAACCACTCTGTTCCCCTCCCTGCAGTTATTCCCTCTAGGCATGAAAAATCAGGGCATGCTTATTAGAACTGTGAAGGAAAGAGCTTCTATGCTTAAGAATCAAAGTAAAAAAATAAAATAAAATAAAAAGATTTAATTCACTGGAATACTAGAACACAGCCAGCTACATGAAACTCAATAAGAAGACATAAAATATACTACATTTAGATGAGAAAAAAAACTGTTCAAGATGGAGAGATGAAAACTTAATAACACTTCATGTGAGAAAGATCTGGGTGTTCCAATTTATCATAAATAAAACAGGAACCAATCACAAAGCTGCTTTAACAGATGTATCCAAGCTAAGAGTAGAAAGTGTGTGTATAATGTTATGTATGTATCTGTGTGTGTGTGTGCGTGCATGTTCATTATTTGAAATGCAGAACACATTTTTTGAGAGATATACAAGAAACTACTAACATGGTTATCTCAAAGTGGAGGAGGAGTACTGGGGAGGGAGTTCTTTACTTTTCATTTTATTTCCTTTCATGTATATGAAATTTTTTACCGTAAGTGTATATTATTTTTATATTGTAAACGTTGTTTAAATTGAAAGAAAATGTAACAGAGATGATAGAAATACTGTTGGGGCTGGATAAACTTATTCAGTTTGGCATGCTGGCTTTTATTATTTTTATTACAATGACATAATATGACAGCACAAGAGATTGTTCAATATATATCCTCATAGTTTCAGTCATAGCACATACACAATTCTGTAACTGTGGTTTTATCATTTGACTGTAGCAGTCTTTAGGCACATAAGTTCTGGAATTAGTCTGCCTGGGCTTTTGCTGTGTGATCGTGAGCAAGTTACCCACCCTGTCCAGGCCTCTTTTACCACTTTTAAAATGAGAATACCATTGCTATCTACTTTGTGGGGTTATTGTGATGACTCAAGGAGGCAATCACTATTATGCTTTGAACAAAGCCCAGGGTGTAGTCAGTGCTCTCTTTAAATGCTAGTTATCAGCTAACTAACATTTGGTTTATTATGAGTGGTTCCCCAGCTGTCTATGTAATTTCTATATATTTTCTATGCATAATGCATAATATCTCATAGCCTGGATATGTCATAATTTAATTAATCATTCTATTGTTTGGCATAGAGGTTACATGTAAACATATGTGCATGTGTGTATGTGAATTGCTATGAAGATGCTATAAAACAACACTTCTCCAGCTTTAATGTGTGTATAAATCACCTATGGATCCTATTAAAATGCAGATTCTAATTCAGGAGAACCAGGACATAGCCTGAGATTCCGCATTTCTAGCAAGCTTCCAGGTGATGCTAAAACTGTAGGTCCGTGGACCACACTTTGAGTAGCAAGTTATAAACATCTAATGAAAATAGGAGGATTAAGAGGGACTTAGAAACAGTTACTGGAGAAACAAGGGGTGATTTGCCTGGCTACGATGAGATGTTGTGTCTCTTGAATACCTTCAAATACTTGGAAGCCTGTCACATAAAAAAGAATCCTGATTCTCTGGAACTTCAGAATACAGACTAATGGGTAGAAGTTCTAGGGAGGCAAAATTTCTGTCAATATAAGAAAGAACTTTGTTACAGGTCCTGTTTATCTCTACAGCTTTAGGAGTCTGTGAAGTAACATCATTGGCTTGGCCAGTTACCACAGTGACAAAGCTAACACCCTTCAGCAAAGCTAGGGCAATGTGGAATCAAATGTCCCCAACATGCAGTGGCAGCTTGCAGGGAAGGGACTCTTCTAAGAAAGTGCATCAAGTGGAAGACCTTCTGAATGTTGTCAAGGAGGAACCCTGGAGTTCCCATGATATTCTTCATGCCCCTGTGGAGACTTGCAGGGTCCTCTTCTGCCCTGAGGGGATGTACTGAGACTTTGTCACATTGCTGGACCATTCTGCCTCTGAGTTCTTCACAGAGCCAGACTCTTGAAGTCTGCCTGCAGTCACACTACTTTCTAACTCCAGTTTCCTGGCTCTAGGTTTCTCCATGAACTTGCAGTCTATAGATTGCCAAGGCAGCAGACTTCAGTGACAGATTTTTGCTCACCACGTGGCCAGGAAGGATCTGGGCATGTCCTTCAATGGGTTGTAGACATCCCGTCCTCCTGCTAGCAGAAATCAATGGCACCTAAATTCTCTCTTCTCCTTAAGTGGAAAGCCTGGCTTGCTCTCCACCCACTGAGCAGGAACAGCTGTGGATCTGTGGGAAAGGAAGAGCACCAGATTTCCCATCCCAGTTTTGCTTGGAAACTGAGTATTGCCAGGGTCCTTAGGTGACTTCTGAAGGGCAAAGGAAAGAGGGGAATCACTCAGGAAGTGAGTTGGATATCTTCAAGGACAGTCCAGGCTCTGAGTGGAGCAGTGCCCATGGAGCCAGCAGGGGAAGAGGTATCCTAGAGCAAGACAGTATGGCCTGGGGGCCGATGAGTGAGACACAGGAGAGACCCTCTCACCAGTGATATCCTACAGCAGGACCACTCTTGTCCTGAGTGACAGCTCTCTCCCAATTCCAGAACCATCTTCCTCCTTCTCAACCCAGCACAAAACCTACCAGGCAGAGCCTTTTCCTCTCCTGTCAGTCATTTCTGCTACAAAAGAAACTAGGTACAAGATTGAACTGTTTTTTTCTCACAACTCTTCTGACACTACATGTCAAGGGTGGGGTTATCACACCAACCAATTCTCCAACTCTCTGGACACCAACTGAGTGTCCTACAATTCAATTCAATTATGACGCTCTCTACTCAGAGTTAACACTGACCCCATAGGTAAGGGCTCAGTCCCACAAGACTTTCCCTACTTCAGATGTCAGTCTTAAGTCTTAGGTTGCCATGTGTACTTCTGGCTATAAATGGGGGAGGAGCATCCCACAACCCCATGTGCAGACTCGATAATTTTCTAAAATAGCTCACAGAATTCCCGAAGGCACTTTATTTACTATTGTGGTTTATTATAAAGGTTACAACTCAGAGAAACAGTCAAATGGAAGAGATGCATGGGGCAAGGTATTGAAGGGGGCATAGCATTTTCATGCCCTCTCTCCAGGCACACCACCCTCTCAGCACCTTGATATGTTGTTCACCAACCCTGAGGCTCTTCAAACCCCATTGTCTATGGCTTGAATGGAGGTTACATTAAGGGTTGATTAAATCATTGGCCATTAGTAATTGACTCATTCTCCAGCCCCTGTTCCCTGCCTGGAGGTCAGGGAGGTGGGGCTGAAACTTCCAATCCTCTTATTATGCCTAAAGCTATCTAGGGGCTCCCAGCCAGCAGCCATTTCATCAGCATACGAAAGACACTCTGATCACTCCAAAGATTCCAAGGTTAGGAGCTTTGTGCCAAGAAATGGAGACAAAGATCAAATATTTGTTTTGTATTATATCACATAGGTTAGTGAGATACTTTGCAAAATTAAAACTTGGCCAGACATGGTGGCTCATGCATGAAATCCCAGCACTTTGGGAGGCCAAGGCAGGCTGATCACAAGGTCAGAAGTTCGAGACCAGCCTGGCCAATATGGTGAAACCTCATCTCTACTAAAGATACAAAAAATTAGCCAGGCGTGGTGGTGTGCACCTATAATCCCAACTACTCAGGAGGCTGAGGCAGGAGAATCGCTTGAACCCAGGAGGTGGAGGTTGCAATGAGCCAAGATCGCATCACTGCACTCCAGACAGGGTGAGACTCCATCTCAAAAAAAAAAAAAAAAAAGTAATTAAAACTCAAGACTAACATCCTCTCTGTGTTATCTAAGGTGCTATAATAAGACAGACAGCGTTAGAAAAGTGAAAGACCACACTATTAGTCGCTCACAGACACTGCTGTGAAGGATGGAGAAAACCCAGAAGGCAGGAAGCACCTCCAACATTCGGCCGGGGTGGGGTCAGATGGTCTTTCTCACATGTCCATCTCCTGACCAGACAATGAGTCTCCAAGGGTCGATACTGTCCATTTGTCTTGTATCCCCTGTGCCAGCCTTCATGTACCACACAGAGCTGGTTCTTGATAAACACATGCTGAATTACTGTGTCTTTGGATGAGAGGAAAGGTCCAAGAAAGGACAGAAAGGAGATAGGAGAGTAGCAGCAAGGAACTCTCCAGCACAAGTTCTGGCACATCATAAAGATCCACCCCACAAGACAGTAAACCAGCTTACCAGGTGCACTGCCTTTTTCATTACCATCTGAGAAATGGTTATCATTTCTCTCCAGGTCAAAGAATAGGGACATTAAATGAATCAACTGAAGGTATTTCTTGAGCGCACATTATCACTGTTCTTCCCTATGCCAGCATGGTCAAAAGTTATGTAACCCTAAGCTCCAAGCTACTCACCTTGACATACCCAATATCTTGGAACAGAGAATGTACCTGACAAAAATTGTCTGGTGAATGAATGTGAAGCATGAGAAAACAATGGGACATAACATGAATACCTTCTCTTCAGTTTATTTCTACAAGGGGCAGGAAGAAGATGTGAAGAAAAAAGAAAAAAAGGAAGGAGTGATCCCCAGTTGACACCTAATTATTCAGTCTGGAGGAATTCTGAGCTAAGTTTGTGTTGAGTGTGACTGATGCTGGCAGGTGGAACTTTAGCCTGAGTTGTGCTGGTGGACACACTGTTCGCTGATGGTGGTGAGGGGGGCTCATCAACAGCTTACTGTACATCACACTTGTTAGGTTCTGAGTCCCTCCTCTGCCCTCCCTGGCCTTACACTGATCTCTCTCCATTTGATTATCTTACAAACATTTTTACTAGGCAATTAAATGCTTAATTTGGATAAAAGAAGAGAGAGTGCAAAAACAATAGTTCACATGCACATATAATTAGCATTGAGTGGATTAAATCACATAAGACCCAAACTGGAAGTATGGAGAAAATGAAGCTGGAGATGTAAAGTTGAACTTTTTGTTAAGAATGGGGAGGAAGACAGGTGTCAGCTTGATCTTACCAGTGTCTTACTGAAACTGTATTTTATTATATCTCCCCACTCCGTCTTGACACAAAACACTCACTTAAAATTATTTGTTTCTTAACAGTAAGTTTACAAAGCCCTTTGGATCACATGACTGCTATGGTAGGTTTAAATGCATTATCAAGACATCTTCAAGGGATAGAAAGTATAAAAGGAGGGGTTTTACATGCTTTGTGTGAATGGCTTGGTTTGCAGCATCTTTCAGAGCTGGGGACCAGTGGATGAGGGAGAAGGCCTTATGCAACCTAACTGATCCACTATTTGGTGGGTTGGCCAGGATCCAAAGATTGACCAGTCCTAAGGCCCTAGGGAAAAGTACGTGTCCAAGCATTAGGCAACTGAAGATTGACCAAGCAGGGTAGCAAGAGGGAATAGTCTCCTTCCAGAATAAAAACAAAGCCCAGTCACCCATGTTTGGAAGTAGGTTAAATTTAATAGATACCATTTACTCAGAATTTACTATGTTCTAAGCACTGTTCTGTTTTGCATATATTATCTCAATTATTAGGTTGCTGTAATAATCTTGTGATAGAAGTATTACAGATTTTATTTTGCAGTGAGAAAACTAAGGAATAGAGATATTTAACTAATTTACCCAAGTCATAAACCTAGTAAGTGATGGAGACAGTTCTGTAACTTAGATCCGTCTGCATCCAAAGCCTATGCTTGTAACTACTCCACCACTACCAACCTACTGAGGAGGGTGGGTTTCCAAGTGGGGAGAAATAGTAGAACCAGTCAGCTCAGATTCTCACTGCCAAGGTTCTGCTTCCCTTTGGATCTCATTAATAGCCACTGCCACCTCCTCTGGGTTACTCTCGGTGGTCAAACTTTCTCTTTCGCATTCTGCCCAAACAGAATCCTGAACATACCTCTTATGGCTACAACCAAGCCATAAGGCTGGAAAAGACTTTACTTGATACTCAGGGTACCACCACACCCCCTCATACCATCAGGATTGTCTTGTTTGTTTTTAATAGAGTAGGTTGCCCATAAATGTTTGTAACATGGCTGCTATAGTTTGCTTTTGTTTGTCCTCTCCAAATCTCATGTTGAAATTTGAGCTCTAGTTTTGCATGTGGAGCTAATGGGAGGTGTTTGGATCATAAAGGTGAGTCCCTCATGACTGGCTTGATGCCGGGCTAATGATAAATGAGTGAGTTTTTGCTTTATTTGTTTTCATGAAAGTCGGTTGTTAAAAAAGAGCCTGGCACGTCCCTGCTCATGCTCTCGCTCTCTCTCTCTCTCATTTCCTCTCTCATCATGTGATCTCTGCACACACTGTCTCCACTTTACCTTCCATTATAAGTAGAAGCAGCCTGAAGCCCTCACCAGAAGCAGATGCTTGTGCCATGCTTTTTATATAGCCTGTAGAACTGGAAGCCAAATAAACCTCTTTTCTTTATAAATCACCCAGTCTACAGTATTCCTTTATAGCAACGCAAATGGACTTAGATAATGGCATGAGGTAACCAATTACAAAATAGGAACAGCTTTCTAGAGCTCATCTCTGTAGCCCTTTTTACTGGCTGCCCTGTACCCTTCTGGGGGACATCATCAAAATACCCTTTACAACCCTGGAGTACATGCTTAGGTCTCTTGGCATAAAACAGAGTTCCTCATGAGAACTCCAGAGAGGCAAGTGGCCTCCTATACCCAACTGGCCTTCATAAAGTCAGCATCCAGGTGACTGTCCAGAGGGATACCCTTACACTTCAGAGGAGACAGACGCAAGGCACAGTCCAAGCACAGCAGATCATGGGGTCAGTGCAGGCAGCAGTGGGTAGGAGGAGATCTTGCCAATTTCTCCTGGCAGGTAGGACAACAGGAAAAGGCAAAGAGGTAGCACTGAACCCACCCATTAGCAGTTGGGAGCCTAGGGCATGAGGGTAGGGAAGATAAGCCCATGTCCAGTGGTTACAACATCCCAAGATATAGTCTGGGAAGACATTTACTATGAGGTTATGGCACAGGATTCAAATCCGAAGCAGCAAAGGACCCTGGCAGGTGTGCATAGCATTGAGAGGGCATCAGTAGCTGGGTCCAGGGATGGGATGGAAACTGCAGGTGGAGATCAGAAGGGAGGAGGTGACAAAGACTGAGAACAAGACAAAATCTGAAAGGTATCAGGACCACAACACAGACTCAGGGGAAGGGCAAATATCTGGGAGGCTTGAGGTCAACCAGGCCCTGCCACAGATCAGGAGGAGCTGGAACCCAAAGATGAGGTTTTACCAAAGTGAATGAAGCAAGTTTCCACAGGGTCAAATGAAGATTAAGGCAGAGGGCTGATCCCAGAAAAGGGTAAGCACCTTGGTTCTGTAATTCAGAACACTTGAGATGGAACCCACAGTGAGACTGATGGAACCCAAACCAACATGTCACAGGCCCCAAGCTCCTTACAGAGCTCCTGCCTGGAGCTGGACATGGTCCCTGAACCTGGCAGGGCTGTGCCTGCATGCAAGGGTTAAATAGTCCAGCTACAGGGGAGGGCAGCAAGAGCCAGTATCTGAGCAGGCAGCTCATCCCATCACTCTCCTTCCATCTAGTGTGATATCAACTGAAGATCAGCCATCTGTGGAAATCCAATAGACATATAACATGGATATGTCAAGTAAATCAATCTCCAATTGACCTGGACCAGCCATTTCTGTTTCTCACCCTGAGCAAGTGCCACACAGGAGCTGGCTGACAGTGCACTCCACAATGTCATGACCTTCTAGCAGGCTGTCCCAGGTTCCAGTTCACTGTGCCAGGCTCTTCTCCCTGGGGTGCCAGAGCAGCTTTGGGGTATGTGCATGGCCTGACGGCAGTCTGAGTGTCACCAAGGGAAACTTCATGCCAAAAGCTATGCTAAGTTATGTCAGTGTCCTTAGCAGGCTCAGGGGACACTAACCTCACTGCCAAGAGCAAGCAACTCAGCACTTGCCCATGAGGGGTTGAGCCACAGATCTAGAAATCTCTGGTCTTTTCTCAGGGGTCTCTAATCCCCTGGGCAGGAAGCTTAAAGCCTGAGTTCTCAGCACTGGTATTAAGGCTGCCCTTCCCCAGCTGCCTGGCTCTGGGTTAATCCCAACCCAACCACCAAGAGACAAGAACTTCATTTCCCCCATGATAGGCTGTGAGTCCTTGCCAGGACATGAGTCCTTATTCCTGTCAGACTCTTCTCAGGGCTGGATCCTGCTATAACAACCCAAAGGAACTGTGATTCTGGAAGGCAAGGCCTACCCACATCATCTCCGTGTAGTGAGGTTCTGGTACTGAGGAGGGGTGTGTCAGGTTGAGGAATGAATTAATGAATGAAGAAATGAAGACAGACACAAATGAGAATCATCTCTATCCACGAGAGCTTTTGTTAAGGAGATGTGTCCAGAGGAGGAGGCAATTTCTATTCTTTTGCTGCCAGTATCCAGACCTTGGTAGAATATGGGTGTGCTCTGATGACAGAAAGGCAGGTATCTGTAAACCACTATTACCAAATCATTAATCAGGTATTTATGTCCTGCTTTCAGAATCAGCTAACAAGAGAGCTCTGCCTCTCTCAGGGCTTGAGGCCTTTTTTTTCCTTGCAGAGGTTAGGGTGAGACAACTGCTTTTGCACCATCATCGCAATTCCCCCTGTTCCTCCTTTTCCTTCTTCCTAACAACCCTCAGTCTATACATAAAGATATATGCCCACACTCACACACAGAGCTGCCCACAGCAGCCTTAATTCCACCTGTTCCAGCATTAAGCATCTCTCATCTGTCATTTCTGTATTTTCAGATGCCACTGGAATGAAGCTCTCCATTCATTATTTGGATAATGAACCAGTGGTGGCCTAAGGCTGGCAAACTAGAGGCTAATCAATGGTCTTGGGACCCAACACATTTTGATATTTCTCTGCTCCCATCCCCGCATACCACACAATGGCACGGTGGGCTGTGAGGGTGCTGAAGTGATGTGTGTCCTTTGGGTAGTGTTTTGGGAGGGTCTGTGGGCTCCAGCAGCTCCATCTTTGGGTATAGCTCAGGGAAGGCAATGCCCTTGAGACACTGGTAGTGACAGATTTCACAGACTCAATAGCTGTAGAGGAGGCCAGGTCCTTTGTCTTACCACAGTGAGCAGAGTGGGTCCTGAGCCAGCAGCCTGTAGACTCCCCTTCCTGCCTGAGGCTCTGCCATCTTCTCAAAGGAAGATGAGGCTCAGCTCTCAGTTCCAGCCTTTCCTGACCACAGCTGTCTCTGAGAACATAGTCAGTTCCTTTTTCCTTTCTCCATTCTCATCCCAGACACACAGAGCCCATTCCCATATTTTTGTCCATTACCACACCCTTCCCACCAGTCCCTCAGAGAAGAGAACTACAGATGAACTGCCTTCATTATTTCTTAGGTGTTTGGTTTCTTGCTGGATGACAGGCCTTGTAAATGTAGCACTTATTCAGACTGACCACAGCATGAGCACAAAAGGGATCACCATCACAGGCCTAGGTCAGCCAAAGAACCATTATTACATTCTCTGGTGGAAATATCCCTCCTTTGAACAAGAAAACATCTAGTAGAGCAAAGGGGCAGCATGGGGAAATTTGAGATGGCAGAAATATTCTGCATCATGGTCATGGGGTGGATAAATGACCATGCATTTGTTAAAACCCATGGAATGATGTGTATGTGTATACATACATATGTAAGTATACACGTGTGTGTGTATATATATGTATGTAAGTATATGTGTGTGTGTGTGTGTGTGTGTATGTGCATGTGTGTATGGAGAGAGAGAAAAAGAGAGGGAGAGAGGGCACTTTGAATCATGAGGATAAGAAGCACAACTAGGGGATTATAAGGAGTGCCATCCTTTCGATTCCTAGACCTGTATGTTTGGAATCTAAGAGATACGGCATATGAAACACATTGTGGGATAATGCCCACCTCTTGCAGGGTGCCATTTCCTAGCTGGTGTCAAGATGGACTCTTCAACAAGCCATTCCTGCTCTCTATTCTTCTGCTAGATTATGGAGGGCATAATCCAGGGCCTTCTGGATCAATTTCCTAGGAGTGTAGGTATTTCCAGGCTCTGGACCCAGGTAGTGTTCATCCATCCCTATGTCACAAGTTTCTCGTCTTGCTCCTTCGCAGATTCTAACTATGCATTCAATCTGGCAGTCATGGCTCAGAATTCATACAGATCCTCACCTCAGCTCATCTGTCCTTCCAGGTAAAATTGGCCTGTTAGGAAGATTTCCTTTCCCCTGTGGCGTTTCAGGCTATCTCTAAGTGGGGACATAACTCCCAGCATTCGCTTCTTGGTGGTACTGACATAGGCTATTGGAGCCGCCTGAAAGCCAAACTCTGAATCTTCCCATTGTTATTTATTTATTTATTTATTTATTTATTTATTTATTTATTTATTCTTTTAAAATTTTATTAAGGGAGTAAATGTACTTCTTTGTTACATGAGGATTGCATGTGTACTGGTGAAGATTGGGCTTCTAGTGAAACCATCACCCAAATATTGAACATTGTACCCAACAGGTAATATTCAACCCTAACTCCCTCCCACTCTCCCCACTTTTGGAGTCGGCAGAGTCTATTCTGTTCATATTTATGTCCATATGTACTCAATATTTAGCTCCCACTTATGAGTGAGAAATGTGGTATTTGGTTTTCTGTTTCTGTGTTAGTTTACTTAGGATAATGGCCTCCAACTCCACCCATGTTGCTGCAAAGGACATGATTTTATTCTTTCTTATGGCTGTGTAATATTCCATGGCGTGCGTGTGTGTGTGTGTGTATCACATTTATTTCCAACAGTTGATTGGATAAATTGATACATCACATTTTCTCTATCCAATCAACCATTGCTGGACACATGTTTGTTCCATAACTTTGCTATTGTAAACAGTGCTGCAATAAACATAGGAGTGCAGGTGTCTTTTTATATAATGATTTATTTTAAAGCCACAGGGAATTTCATGGAGGTGTAGGTGCTATGTGATATTCAGGATGATAATGTGGTAGTCAGGAATTAGTTTTGTTTCCCATATATTTTCAGTTCTCCACATTTAAGCACACCATAGGACTGCATTTCCTGGCCTCCTATTTGTTGAGTGGGAATATGTGACTAGCTCTAACTGATAAGAAATCGCCAGTGTCCCTCCCTTGAGGTTGAGTATTTAGGTGATTTTATGAGTCCCTCCGGATCTCCCTTTGGCTGACTCATCAGCCTCGGCCCTGAATGACTGTGATGATCACAGCCACTCCCACTAGCTCCTCCCTGGCTGACCCTCAGTCAAAGACAGTGTTGAATGAGCGAGATTTGAATATTTGTTATTTTAAGCCACTGAGATTACTGGAGCATCTGCAGTATGTGTTACTGCAACATAACCTAGCCTGAGTGATACAGATGCTGAGGTGGTCATAGTCTCTGCAGGGCACATGATTGATTAATTACAGCTGGTGATTGTTACAGGTAAGACCATTCACTGAGTCTTGACTACCACACTTACAAAACTGACTATTATGAGAGCCAAAACGGCTTTGCTTCTAGCTGTGCCTGGTAAATCTACCTGTCATCCTAAGATGATTCTGTCCCCAGGGACAAGCAGGGCCCATTTTATAATGGCATCTTATCCACAGTATTCTTGGCCCAGCGAGGACTATTAGTATAGCATTTTTTGAAGATTTTGGCATTTCCCTTATCATCTATTCCTCAAGGCAATAGGGTAGGTCTTTGAATTCCCTTCTCCACATCTCTGAAGAGATTTCTGGCCTTTTGTTTCACCCAGCATGGGTCAGTCTTCAGTAGAGATTTTCATTAATGGAAGAATCAAATTGTTGGAATCCAGTCAACTGTCCAAGCAGACACACAGCAGGTACACTTTCTGATGGGTAGACCTATAACAATAGATTCTGCCTCATTTATGATTATATTCCACCCCCATTATTTAAGCACTCTCAAAATTTATGCCCCACAAGATTTCCCAGACGATGGACCTGCAATTTTCCCCAGGCATAACTTTTGCTTCTGTACCCTGATTATTCATTTCTCCCTCCAGGCCATGTTAAGTCCAAATCTTGTTTATTCAGAGAACAACAATGAGATGGAGGCAGAGAGTCAGTGCCACTTCTATAGGCAAACGAGGGGCAGGGGGAGTATGGCCAAGAGTTTGGAGAGGCAGGGTTCTCCAGTCCTTCAGTGCTCACAGATATCCCCATCCCAGTATCACGATCCCCACCCAACCACACTGGTGGCTGATAAGGTTATAAATTGACTAGTGTTGCCATTCATAAACCAGAAGGCTCAATCCCTGAATTTTTCTAAGAATTATCAGCTCAACAGCCACAAGCAATGAGAGATTCTTTAAGGAGAGAATTTTGATGTCTGAGCTCAGCTTAGGTTATTTACATAAAGCTATCAGATACTTTCAGAAGGACCCATCGTGCCCGTGTCTCTCTCCAGCAGCTGCTGGGACCCAGCAGTGGCCCCTTATTGAGTTCATGTCATCACAAGTGAGCACAACAGGTAACTAGATTTGCTGCTCCTTCTCTGTATACTTATGCATTCCATTTGTGCCATGACCAATTCCACATACCCCGAGGGCCTGCTGCCTATGGCCCTGGAACCAATTGCTATATCGGCCAAAATTCTGCTGCAACAACAGAAACCAATTCTGATTCACTCAAGCATGGGCGTGGAGTGGAAAACAAAACCAAACCTGGTAGAGGCAGGGAGTCTGTGTGTATAATTAGTCAGAATTATCTTGAGGTAACTCAAAGAACTGAGAAATGAAAAACTGTCCTTGGAAATGGGAATCTTGGGGACAGGGATGTTCTATGCATCTAGGAAGCAGCAGAAACCAGGAGAGGTTCTCATATGATGCACGCCAAACTTTCCTCCTCCTTTCCCCACAATGTGAAGATTTCCAGGGTAGGACATGTTATTTGTTCAGCTTGAAACACCTGTCCAGTCATGAAAAGAGTCAGGGTCTGTTACTAGCTGAAGAGGAAGAAATGGGTGTCCATGTAGGAGAGCCTCAACCACTTCACCTAGCCCAAGACCACACAGCCCCCTTTTTTTCTGAGCAGACCTCTTCCCACCTACCCTGTGATAGGGGAGAGTGGAGAACAAGGTTGCTTGGCAATAAGCACATCATTTGTTTATAGGGGAAATTTGAATCTCTGAGATCCAGGACATGGGGACCCATGGGCCACTAGTCCTGGCTCTGTCCAGAAGGAAATCCTCTGAGACTCTCTTCATTAATCTCCCAGATTCTCCTACCTTCACTTACAGAGCAGATTTCTCAGGCATTGCAGAAGATTGAGAATGGGAAACCAACCATGCAGAGATGCGGACTTTCTCTTTTGCTGTGGGGACTTTCTCTGTGCTGGGGGATCTTCATCAGGAAAGATACCATTCTCTACCGCCTTTGGATGGAATTAACACACCCCTGGATGAACCCTTTATCTTAGTCCATTTTGTGCTGCCGTAAAAGAATAGCACAGACTGGGTAATTTATAACAAACAGAAATGTATTAGCACATGGTTCTTGAGGCTGGAAGTCTAAGATCAAGGTTCCAGCATCTGGCAAGAGCCTTCTTTCTGTGCCTCACATGGCAGGAGATGGAAAGATAAAAGAGGTTCAAAGTCATCCTTTTGTAAGGACCCCACTCCTGTGATAATAGCATTAATCCATTTATGATGGCAGTGCTCCCCATGACTCATGGGGTGTCCTCATGACCCAAACACCTCCCAATAAGCTTCATCTCCCAACACTGCCACATCGGGGGTCAAGTTTTTAACACATAAACTTTGGGGGACCTATTCAAGCCACAGCATTCCCTTAGCACACTTGACAAGAGAACAGCTTCACTCAGGAAAGTGGTTTTAGTGGTTTATCAGCAGTAGCCTCTCTTGGGAGGACTGAACCCCTCTTGAGTTCATGAAGAGTAGCACATTTCCTCCCTGAAAGTGTGAAAGCTCACTTTGCCAACAATGTGCATCTCCTCAGACAGCACAGGAAGAACTGGCCTCCAGGGATCACTACACTCTAGATGACAAACTCTCATAAGGCTCCATATCCCAGCCCAAAAGAGTGTTGGAAAAGTCCCAGGTGGCTGTCCATGACTAACAGTCTTGTAAGTTTCCAGAGATCCTTTAGGGTGACCAGCAGTTCTTCCCCCATCATGACAAATTGCCCATCTTACCACACAGACTCTTACCAGGGCTACCATTACTTTCTAGAGGTAATGCTGACTGGTACCAGGTCAGAACCCTCTCCAGGAATCTGCTAAAGCCCTGCAATGTCTCCTGCTGCCTTTCTGTCTGCTACCTGTCTACAACGTAGCCTCATTCTTGCCTTCACACCTGGCTTCCATGCCACCAACTATTTATTTTTTAAACTCATCCTCTTTAGATCCCTCTTAATCACATTTTCAGCCCCTCTCCCCAGGAGAGCTGGCCACTTCTTTGTGCTCCAATCATCCCATATTTCTGCTAGAGTACCTTAGCATTTCTTATGCAATTATTTGCTTAACCACCTGCCTTCTCCAATACATGATGAGCTCCTCCAGTGAAGTGACCATATTGTTCACATCTCTGTATCCTGAGGGCCTAGCACCATGCTTCATGAAAGTCATTCAAAGCATTTATTGAATGAATGGATGGATTGGTAGAGCAGCCCATCCCCTGTGTACTTAGGACAATGCCCTGATACAGGACCTGGTACAGGGAACAGCACAAGCACGGTCTCACTTCTTCAGCAAAACTTGATCCACACTGTGAGCTTTTCAGAGCCTCCTCGTATTCCTCCCTGATGCCACTTTGTAGATTTTCAAATCGTTTCAAAGCTTTAACTTTCTACCAACAGTATCACCAGGCCTTCTCACACTGTCTCTAGTGACAGAGAATAGGAGGATGGGAGAAGAATTATGCAATGCATCTTTCCATTTTTAGTAAATTCCAAATTTGTTAAAGCCAGGTATCAAGATAAGCCAGAAAGCAAAATTGGATGATGAAAAGAGAAGCAGACTGGCTTGGGTCTCAGTGCTTGCTGCACAGCTCCCTTTTCTGATCATGGGTTTTACTATCTATAAAAGAAACAAACCTTCCTCAGAGGCTTGCATGAAGTTTAATGGAGTGAAACAGGTTAAGCACCTAGCAGTGCCCGGCACATGGTAGGCATGTGACTGTCACAAATATGAACAGTCAAGAGGCTGATTACATGATAATTTTCAGGAAACATCTAAAAACAATAAATATCTAGGAAAATCAGAAACATGAAATCTTAAGAGGAGCTTGTGAGAAGATGTCATTAACTCAAATACTTTTTATCAGAAGCTCTTTCTTCCCTCTGCAAAAGCCAGTGATCCTACCCCTTTCAGAGGAAGGCCTGGCCTTTGGACCCAGGGCCAACAGTAACTTGATTCTGAGAAAGAAGTGTCTTACATCTACTGAAGCTGAACAGACACACGCTTCAAGACACATCAATTTCCTCTGACAGAAATGTGTTCACAAATTCTTCAAAAATCACCTACAAGACTATTCACAGCAACACTGTGCATGATAGCCTGAAACTTGAAACTACCCAAATGACCATTAACAGAAGAGTGAATAAAGTAACAGTGGTGTATTCATACATGGGATATTGTACATCAGTGAGAATGAATGAACTACAACCACATGAATTGACATGGCTGAATCCCATCATTGTAATGTTGAGTGAAAGAAGATAGGCACAAAGGGCTACATGCTTTGTGATTCCATTTATATAAATTCCAGAAGCAAGAAAATCACATCCATGCTGTTAAAAGTCAAGATAGTGGTCACCTTGGAGGGGTACTATTGATAGGAGGAGGGGAGGATCCCAAAGAGCATGGTTTCTGGGATACTAGTAATGTTATGCTTCTTGATCTGGGTGCAGGTTACATGCATATGTTCAGATAATTTAAATTCAACACATTGGACATTTATGATTTGTGCTCTGTCATACATAGAAAATGTGGCTTATGTCAAGACTTCCAAAACAGTGGCCATGTGGGATGTCTGAGTGAAGTGTAGTTCCTAGATCTGTGGCAATAGGACACCCACTCCATGCCAAATAGAATACAGAATTCTCCCAATGATGGCATGACATCTCATTAACTGCATGAAGCCAAAGAAGATTTTGTAATCAATTCCGGTTCTAGGATTTCCTTAAACCTGCCCATGGTTAAGGATCTGGTGCTTGTAAAACACTTTACCCCCAGATAATTGGGCAGGTATGTCCTCTCAACTCTATCTCATGACCAAATAAGGTAATCCGTGTCTCCCTTAAATTTTAGATCCATCAGATCATTGAAAGTTGATGCCAACTTTGTTTTAGATAAACTTCAAGCCTAGGCACTTTAATCTAAAATTTTCTGTGAGGTTTATTTCCCTTAATTTGAAATGCAAGTAAAAATTACCTAAGATCTGGAAGCATGTATTGATCTTGTCATCAACTGTTTATACCACAGACAGAAATCAAACCTGGCCCAAGTTGTACAACTTCATTATTGACCCAAACCTATTTAACTCTCTCCCAAAGATCTTAATGCAAGCATCAGACTGCAAGTCATGTAATTCTTTCTCACAAAATTACCAATGACATAAAGAAACCTGTGTCCTAGATCTCTCCCGATAGTTTTTAGATGATTTGAATTTGCATTTGTCTGCTAGAGAAGAAAAAGATGGGCAGCATCTACTGTCTGAAAGTAGTGTAACATTCCAAGGAGGAGTCCCACAAAGTAGTTTCTGGTCTGCTAAGACCAGTTAACCACTAGTTATGCTTGCGGCAGACACTGCTGGTTGGTGGGCCCAATAGCCATCTCCAACCTCCTTATCCCTTGCCACTCTTCACTATGGAAGATGAAGAGTTAAATACTTTTTCATCCTTTGCTACAGCAAAAATGGTCAGACTACACATCTATGACCAATGAGACTTAAGCAGAAGTTTTCTGAAAGCCTGTTTTACTGATTAATGGGAAAGCCAGCTGGCATTTCCTTTATCATTTCTTCCTGCACTGACTATGAATGATGTCTGGAAGTGCAGCAACCATCTTACCACTGTGCGATATAAGTCAGAGCCTGTGAAGGATGGTGAAGAGAAAAATGAAGGGGCATGGACTGCCTACTTCCAAACAAGAAGGGCTATTATGAAGATAAGTCTCAGAATATTTAGCAAAACAGCAATATAAACTATCTAGGCTGTAACATAACAGTCTACTTGCTGTGGGTGCCAGAATATCTTGCAAAACTATCTGAAAACTAGGCCTCGATGTGTTTTCTTTTTGGAGGGAATTAATGCTTAATTATTTATAGGGAATTTTCCATGATGAATCTATATCACCTGCAAATACCACTTACTTGGTCCTGCAAGACCTGCTTGAGTTTGATCATCTATATTTTCACTTGACAATGGATTGCCTCTATACATGCCTAACCTTGTGACATGAGTGGTCCAATAATACTCAATTCTTGATGAGCAGCTTAGTTCACATGTCACCTGGAGTTCATGGGCAGATATTCAGGCACTACTAAGGTTAAATAGCAAGCAAGAAGCTATTTCTCAAAAGGAGAATAATTATCTGTAGAAGAGAGATGAGATTTTCTCTGTGATTCTTGCAGAGGACACATAAACCTTCAGAAACTTTCTGTGATGTTGGATCTCCCAAGTCATAAGATCAAGTGGCAGAGCAGCTTTCCCTGAAGCCTGAACTTCTACAGAGCCTCCTCTTTCTCCAGGATTCCCTTAAACTTTTTAGTTTGCTTGATAAATGGATCTGAACATTATACTCAAATGTGGTATGTATTACCTTTGAAATCTAAGGAAGCTCCTCAAATGTTTCTTCCTCTTAGTAGTAGATGGTGCAAGGTATAGGAACTTCTCTTTCACATTGAAGGGCATATCTCATATGATCTAGATCACAGAAGCCCTAGACATGTCACTGATGTAGTAAGTTCCTGAATTTTTATGTGATTTCTCTCCAATCCTCGGGCACTGATGTTTTGGTTTTTTAAGGATTTTTGTTTTTGTTTTTGTTTTGAGGTGGAGTCTCACTCTTTTGCCCAGGCTGGAGTGCAGTGACATGATCTCAGCTTACTGCAACTTCCCCCTATCCACTGGGTTCAAGCGATTCTCCTGCCTCAGCCTCCGAGTAGCTGGGATTGCAGGTACATGCCACCATGCCAGGCTTATTTTTGTATTTTTAGTAGAGACGGGGTTTCCTCATGTTGGCCAGGCTGGTCTCCAACTCCTGACCTTAAGTAATCCTCCTGCCTTGGCCTCCCAAAGTGTTGGGATTACAGGCGTGGGCCACCGTGCTTGGATGCACGGATGTATCTTACTAACACATCTAAAGTACTTTATACTTTTTGGACCAGCAGTGACCAGTGTGAGATTCTGTGGAATGTCAAGATGATAAATATTTCTGCAATGGGCAGGAGAGCTGGAATAGCCTGAGGGAAACACTGAAAGGGTACTGTGGCCCCTTCTAGGTGAAAGAGAACAACTTCTTTTTTTTTTTAATTTTATTATTATTATACGTTAAGTTTTAGGATACATGTGCACAATGTGCAGGTTAGTTACATATGTATACATGTGCCATGCTGGTGTGCTGCACCCATTAACTCGTCATTTAGCATGAGGTATATCTCCTAATGCTATCCCTCCCCCCTCCCCCCACCCCACAACAGTCCCCAGAGTGTGATGTTCCCCCTCCTGTGTCTATGTGTTCTCATTGTTCAATTCCCACCTATGAGTGAGAACATGAGGTGTTTGGTTTTTTGTCCTTGCGATAGTTTACTGAGAATGATGATTTCCAATTTCATCCATGTCCCTACAAAGGACATGAACTCATCATTTTTTATGGCTGCATAGTGTAGCCATAGTATGCATGCATAGAATACTATGAATGCATAGTATGCATGCATAGAATACTATGAATGCATAGTATGCATGCATAGAATACTATGAATGCATAGTATGCATGCATAGAATACTATGAATGCATAGTATGCATGCATAGAATACTATGAATGCATAGTATTCATTGTTGGACATTTGGGTTGGTTCCAAGTCTTTGCTATTGTGAATAGTGCCTCAATAAACATACATGTGCATGTGTCTTTACAGCAGCATGATTTATAGTCCTTTGGATATATACCCAGTAATGGGATGGCTGGGTCAAATGGTATTTCTAGTTCTAGATCCCTGAGAAATCGCCACACTGACTTCCACAATGGTTGAACTAGTTTACAGTCCCACCAACAGTGTAAAAGTGTTCCTATTTCTCCACATCCTCTCCAGCACCTGTTGTTTCCTGACTTTTTAATGATTGCCATTCTAACTGGTGTGAGATGGTATCTCATTGTGGTTTTGATTTGCATTAAGAGAACAACTTCTTGTGGTCCTTGTAAACTGATATAGTGCTAAAAAGCATTTGCTATACAAATAGTTACATAACAATTTCCAGGGGTTGTGTTGATTTGTTCCAGGAGAGATTCCACATCTAGAACAGCAGCTATGATTGATGTTAGCACCTGATTAAGTTTATAATATTGCATTGTAGTTTACAGTTTATAATATTTCATTAAGTTTACAATTTTCCAAGATCCAATCATCTTCTGCACAAATGGAGCAGACTAAATTAAGAGGGATATGGGCAGAATCACCAACCCAGCCTCTTTCACATCTTTAGTCTCTGTAGTTTCCCTTGAGATATGATTTTGCTTTGGAATTACTATCCAATTAGTTAGGGCAAGTTACAGAGGCTTATGCTTGGCCTTTCTATCATAAAAGTCTTTATTTCCTAGATCAGGGAGCCAATGTGACGGCTCTATAGTTGCTGAGTAGGTCTATTCTAATTACACATTAAAGAGCTTGGAAAATAAACACAATGAGGATCTGTAGACCCACTGGTATTACTATGATACAGTTTGGGGCCTAATTTATTTATGATTTTACTTTATTTTATTTTTTGAGACAGAGTCTCACTCTGTCACCCAGACTAGAGTGCAGTGGCATGATCATAGGTCACTGCAGCCCCGATGTCGTGGTCTCAAGCAACTCTTCCATCTCGGCCCCCCAAGTAGCTGGAACTACAGGCATGTACCTCCATGCCAAGCTATTATTTTTTATTTTAGTAAAGACAGAGTCTTGCTATGTTGCCCAGGCTAGTCTTGACCTCCTGAGCTCAAGCGATCCTCCCACCTTGGCCTCCCAAAGTGCTGGGATTATAGGCATAAGCCACCACACCTGGCCTGGGTCTAATTTATTACCAAACCTTCATAAGCCTTCACTCTGCCAGCAGACTACTATGGCATTTTGAATCCTTAAGGATTAACATTAAGTCAGAGCCAGTGTCTAATAATTTCTGCAAGTTCTGGGTATATTTATTCTCCTGTGTGGAATTATCCTAGGAAATAGCTTCAGATTCCTCTGGAAAAGTTGCAAAGAAATGCATGGAGGTAATGTTGCAAGGACCTTCTCAAGAGAATCCAATCTTTGCTTCAACCAAAGGCTCTGGGCCTGTGAACTGGCTTAGACCTTAAAACTGGGTGGGAGAGCAAGATTCTCCATTTTGGCGTCCCTATCCAATTTTCTCACCACCAGACTCTAGTTTGTCCTGTTATATAAATTAAGTAATATCTTAATACGTTGTCCATCTATTTCATTCCTAGGGACACTGTGATTATCCAGCCACTGCCAAAGATTTCTGCAGGCTAAAACCAATTTTTGATGACCATTTCATTGTTGCTGCTCATTGTGATAATTATGTCCATCTTGTCTCTGGAAGTTCGGTGTTGTCACATGGCTTCTGCTACTTCAGAATTCCATCAAACTTATCAAAATCAGGAAACCTTCTCAGTGGCAGTAGCTCCCAGCCCACAGATGGCTGCCAAAGAGCTATGCAAGAATCCTGGTGCTCCCTCACTGATGCTCTTCTCAATACCTTAATTAAGGGATTGCAGTCTGGACTCTTTCAGTGGATTTAGTGGGGCTGAGTAATGTGAAAGTTGTACAAGATAAATCTACCTCAACATTCTTATATTGCTAAGCATTTTGATTCTTTTCTCTATAATATGCCAGGGAAGTTTGAGCATCTCAACATCATTGAGTTTAGGTTTCAGTCAACTAACCAAGCAACCATATAGATAAATTCAGCCTCATTCACTATTGTAGAAAATCCTCTTGTTCTGTCACCTTATAAATCATTCCCAGACTATTTTCCAGGCCTCTGCTTACATATATTAGCAAAGTCTTACCATTTTTTTGGAGTATAAACTATTTCCCTCTGGGACAGACTTTGTACCTGTCCTCTGGAACATGTGTAATCTAACTCTAGTAACATGTCTAGAAACAATGAGGGTAAAGAACTGAGGCAATGGCTCAGGTGAGGATGGTGCCAGAAGGGCCAAGAGAAGCTGAAGGCTGGAGCCAATCTTCTGCTGCTATTGAAGGGAAGATGAAGGAAACTGGAAAATTGAAAGAGATTCCTCATTTTTCCTTTCCTCTTCTCCAGTCTTCCTCTAATGCCTCCCATTGGAAGAACTTAATGGGAAGCCAGCTCACAAGGGAGCCTAGGAAATACAGTTTGTAGAGTCTCAGCCCTACTGTCACAGAGCAAAGTATGAGAGAGTGCTCTTGGAGGTGAGATACCATGGGTAAATAACTGACCCTGGTATGGCCCCAGTATTGTTGTATTTATTCATTTTGCCACACAGCATCCATTCACCTTCTTCCGGAAAAAACAATACCATTGCTGTGTTTGAAAACGACCCTTTCCTCATTTTCAGTCATGCCATTGAGGTACAATGACACACTCCCAGCTCAAGAGGTGAACCTTAAATGGCTTAAGCTAATCAGAACCTCGTACCACACTGGTCACAATGAGGAAGGTATAAAGAGGCAATATAACAAAATTCAATCAAAGTGAGTGAAATGCATGGAAACTTCCTACAAATTCTGGAACAGTGGAAGAAAGAATCTCAAGTCCGATCCTGAAAACTGGTAGACTAGAGCTACTACTAGTATTGTTATAACTTGAATCTAAGTATAAAGTCAACATATGAAAGACAGCAGAGCTAAGACAGAGATAGTCATGTCCTGGTGATATTCTATGAGCCTCAATCAAGCTAAAGCCAGCATTATCCCAGAACATTCACATTTCAGTAATCATATACTCTCATTTTGCTGAGCTAATGTACACTGTTATCTACAAAACACAATGCTCCAAAGAACTACTACCCAACAGTAGTAAATGTTACAAGAAGAATGTCTATGTCTCTAGGGGATCATTCACCATTTCTCCCAGCCCCACTATTACATTTATGGCTAACGCTGAATTTTAAGCTCATAGTCAAACACCAGGGCAAAGTTCAGTCATTCATGGAAAGATCAAATCCTGGAGCTAGACCTCACTAGCATGGTGTTAATAACCAAATAAATGTACTTAGTTATGGAGTTATAGTCTGCCAGCTTCAAAAGAGTGTTTGAGGTGCTTATAAAACATAAAAACATACAGAGTACAATGATGCAAAATGAAAACAAATAGAAATCTGAAAAAAAGAGCATAAGAATAGAAGCTGGCTGCAGTCTGTAGTTAAGCCCTGAGTTACCTTTGCTTTTCTTAACAATGAAAAAGAAAAGAGAAATAAACAGATGTATACAGTCCTCACACTCTTAAGAAATGAAGCCTACAAGTTTCTGTTTGCAGAAGAAAGAAGGCATCAACATTTACTTAGTGCCTACTATGTGCCAAAAACCTTCCATGTGTTATTTCATTTATTTCTCTGAGTAGCTTGGTGGGAAAGTGTTAGTTTCCATGGTTCGAGGAAAAGAAAGTAGAGGTCATAGCAATTAAATACCTTGCCCATGGTCCCAGCCGTAGAAAGTAGTGCAGCTAGGATTTGAGCTCTTATGTACCTGGTTCCAAGCCCACTACTTACTACATTTAAAGGTTATATATTGATCAGAAGAAGTAAGCAATATTTATTTAGTGCCTAAGAGGATCCAACGATCTTTACATGTGCAGTTGACCTTCCCAACAGCCCAGAAAGGTAGCTGAGCAACCCCCATTTTACATACAGGAGAGCCATGGTGAACATTTTTCTTGGTGCTGAATAAAAAGAAGTTTCATTCTGAGAGACGCCTCAAAGAAAAGATATTGGGTACTTGATAAACAATGTCTTTAATCTTAATTTGACAAAAACACAGAGCATTTTTCTGGGTGAATGGTTCTTACGTAAATGAAATATCAAATTCTAGCTTGGCAACGGCATGTCTGTGGGGAACTAAAACAGCCCAGGCCAGACATTTTGGTTTCTGATGACCTTGCTAAATAAGAGGACAGAGCTTAGGGGATCCAGGAAAATGGGGAGCTAGCATGTTCCAGCTGTCTCTCTCAAATTGCTCATGTCTTGAGCAGACCTGTGGGAAAGGCTGGGTCTCTGTCTATTTGTGCTGGATTCTCTAGACTGCAACTAGAATGATCTTTCTAAAATGCAAATCTGAGCATGACATTCTCCTGCTTAAAAACCCTTATTAAAGGCTGCACATTGCCTTCGGGAAAAAGTCCAAGATTTTTAATTTGTTCCTTTATGATTAAGCCCTCACATGCTGGCCTCATCTACCTCTCTCTTCTTCTTCCCAAACTCTGTGGTCTAGTCATACTGAGATACTTTTAGCCCCCCAGTGAACCCTCTTCCTACCTACTGACATTTCTTCATTCTGCTTCTTCCTCTAAGTATGTCCTCTCTTTCGCTGCTCCCTCCCCATGCCATCTGAGCATGGCCTACAACTATTCACATTTTGGGAACCAAATCAGACTTTTCCTTCCCCTGGAAAGCCTTCTCTGTGTCAGTCCTAGACTGAGATGACCTCAGCAACTGGGCTCATTTGCATACTGGCACTCCCGCTGCCCCACCCTGGGGCATCTTGTGTCTTTTCACATTGGGCTCATTCATTTCTCTGCCAAAGTCTCAGGACAGCTACCATGTCTAAGGTGTTTGTTGGATGAATCAGTTGATATAATCAATAAATTAAGCGTATTGAGCAAGAAGTGTCTTCACTGAAAGAAATTTCCATAAGTTTCAGTTACTAGATGTACAGGTAGAAAAGATAACAGCTTGTCGTAGAAGCCTGAATTCTGAGTTAAATTTTGCCCTAGACGTAGGGATTAAGCTATGGACAAAAATAATGTATTGATTCAAAATGGGCTGAAATTCAGTCACTGAAAGATGGTATCACCAGCCAGCCACCGTGGCTCATGCCTGTAATCACAGCACTTTGGGAGGCTGAGGGAAGCAGATCGCTTGAGCTCGGGAGTTCAAGACCAGCCTGGGCAACAAGGTGAAAACCCATCTCCACCAAAAATACAAAAAATTAGCCAGGAGTGGTAGTGCGTGCCTGTGGTCCCAGCTACTGGGGAGGCTGAGGCACAAGAATCACTTCAGCCAGGAGGCAGAGGTTGCAGTGAGCCAAGATCACACCACTGCACTCCAGCCTGGGCAACAGAGTAAGATCCTGTCTCAAAAAAGGAAAAAAAAAAAAAAAAGATGATATCACCTAAACTAGCTGGACCAGCAGCCTCTGAGCCTGGAAGCTGTAATTTCACCCAGGAAGGCAACTGGCCAGGGCACCTATGAGACAGAGGAACTGATGGTCCTGCTCCCATGACCCGGTATGGGCTAAGTCCCGAGGTTGGGGAGAAGAAACCACCGCTACTTAGATTTTGGACATGAGAGCAGGGGACAAGATCTGTCAATGCTCACATTTATTTCAAACTTTATTTTGCTCATTGTAGCACAGGAAGTCATCTTGTGGGTCTATTCCTAGCTCAGTCTCCAGAACTACGTGCAGAGTGGTCCAGAGAACACATACATCTTGTACACTGGACGGAATGCCAATTTCCCAACTTCTCAATTCCTGGTCTCCCAAATGCCAGTTGGGCAAGGAGGCACAATTTGCTAGAGCCCCAAAGTAGCCATCGAAGGCTCAGAATTGCTCTAGTGTCCTCTAGCTCGGGGGTCCTGTCACCTTGGGGCATATCTCCACCTCTCTGAGCCTGAGGTTTCTAATCTGCAAAATGGTGATAAAGATAGCCGCCCTGCATACCTTGAGGGTTGTCATAAGGATCAAATAAGATAATGGCTGTGAAAGAGCTTTGAACACTATAAAGTGCCATGGAAATTCGAGAGAGTGTGATTAAGAGAGCGGCTGCTCCCATACTTACTTCAAAGGGGAGAAACAGGGTGGAGAAGGCTGACATGCTCTGCTTTTGAAGTGCACAAGAGCAGCTCTCAGCAGAGAAAAAACAGCATTGCTGCTTAAAAGGCAACTTTCAAAACAACCATTTTCTCTCTGAAGGGAGAATATAGTTCGGAGTACTTCAAAGGCTGGGGAAAATTTCCAGAAAAAAAAAAATGACGTTCTCAATCCAACTTTTAGTCAAGTCAGAGTTATTAAAAAAAAAAAAAAAAAAAACCTTCAGAACTCTTCACTTATTTAAAAAGAATTTTAATGCATTTAAAAATTAAAAACTGCTAAGAGGGGCAGACAAAGGCGCAGTTTCCCATTCCTTAGGATCACACTGCGGAGGGTGGACGTGATGACTCTGCCCATCGTTCACTGCTTCCTCTGATTAAACATTCTCTCTGAGGCTTTCCTCCCTGCCCTGATAAATTTCATACCAAGAATAAGTCACCAGGAATAGGCCCTTATCTTCTCCTATCCACCTCTGACACCTAGCTATCAAACACTGTGAGATTATTTATTCGGTTTTTCTTTCACCCTCCTTTAAATATGGCAGCCTGCAAAAGATCAACTTCAAGAAGCCAGAGAAGAATTACAATATCCTACTTAAAGGGAAAAAGCAAACCCACCTGCAAGCAAAAGAAACTCCCTTTTAAAACAACCAAATACTGAAATAAATAAAGCTCTAGCCTTCATTCTAGTGGGCAGGGAATAGCAATACAGGAGTACCTGGCCATGATACCTGGGAGGTGAGCCAACTGGAACTTGGCCAAACCTGTATGGAAATGTAGCCATGTCTTCTTTCCAGCACCCTGTCCCTTTCTGCTACCAGCATTGTGCTGAGAAAGCAACCTGGAACTAAAATTCCTAAGGTCCCAAGAAACCAGGCTTGCCCCTCAACTCTACCCTTGAGGGACTGTCTAATCCCCTGTGGCCGTCTCAGCAATGTAGTTACTGAGACATATGGCTTATTTTCCCCATAGATTGTATCTACACTTATAGAACATGATCAAATTGGATCTCTCTTAGGCAACATACAATGCTCAGATGGGTGTTCACGTGTTCTACTCTTACTAAGCATGCACAATCAGACAGGGGGAAGGGTTGTTCAGGAGAAGGTCCCGAAAGAATTCACTCTTCCGAAAGAGGTGACCCACAGAAAGGAAGCTCTTTTCTCTCTATACCCCCCACTAGCTCCAGCCTCAGAGTTTATTTTTGCAAAGGGCTTTGAAGGCAGAAGTTAAAGAAATCTCAGTGGTCTGAAGTCAGAGAAAGGCAGCTGCCAAGGGAAGATTAGTCCCGAGGAAGGGAGAAAGAAGGCCCACAAGCAGGGTGATGTCATAGAAGGAGAGGCTGTCTAAGCCCCCAGCTCTTCTATCGCAGTTTTAAGCAACCCCATTTAATTAAAGTTGTGCCTCTTGCTGGCATGAGAGCAGTGGAAGTGTCAGTTGCTTGTCAGGAGCTCCTTTGCCTGGAGCACAGATCGGAGTACCCCTGGCTGAGTGCCAGGCTTCATCTCCAGCACAGATGGGAAGGCCAGGGGTAATCACCCCGCCCTGGTCAGTCGCCTTCCTGAGTGAAATTACAGAAAAGTAGAAGACAGCACTCCATCAGATTCTTATTCAGCACCACTTCCAGAGAAGTAATGAGGACAATTAAGCATAACGTTCTGATTTGGGCATAAGGTTCTGATTTGTGCAGGAAGGCTGCCCCAAACCTTCCCACTCCATGGATTGCTGTGTAGGAGAGTAAGCCTGAGATGGAAGCATGCTGTGAACTGGTCCCTCCCCGGTGACCCACAGGCCTTCAGCTCCACAAGGTGATGAAACTGTCTGAACTCTACAGGGCATACACAGGAAGGGGTTTTCCCCCAATCTTTACCTTCAGTTGTGCTTTGTCAAGTCTCCCCTTCTCACCTGTCAAGTGTATCTTGGGAAATCCTAGGCTCTCTGGTCAATTTGGTCTAGATTGCAAATTTGGATTTCACCTTCCTTATTATGGGCCAGGCTTTGGCCATGGAGACTTGAAGTAGGGAGGAGAGAGCACTGTCTGTCCTCTCACTCATTCCCGTATTTCACACCTGGCACTGAGGAGAGTATAGCCTCCCCCAGGGTGTGTCAGCCAGTGGTCAGTGTGCCCAACACCCTTCCTGATAGTATTACCCTCTCTTGGGGTCCACCTATGCAGCTGTAGACCTGATGTCTATCATTCATTCTCTCTGTGCTCCAAAGAGACCATCTAAGACCACTTCTGTGTGTCTGAGGACCACTGGCAAATGGAAGGTGCCCCATCAGCTTTTGAGGCAAACCAGTACACAGTTTCTCCAGTGCAGGTCCCTTGGAAAAGCCCTTTTCTTCAGCCTGGAAAGAGGTTCTATTATATCACCCTCCTATCATGCCTAGCTACCCATTTTGTAGACTAAGAAATTCAGATTCAGTCAGTAAGCACAAGATACCGTAGTGTCATGAAGAAATCTACAGGAAAGGCAGATCAGAATGCTTTGCTGAGTGTGCAATTTGTAAGAAGTTGGTACTTTAGAAATCACAGATCACTATCTGTGTCTCTGAAGTTATTGGGGGAAACATGGCACTGTGGCAACAGTCTGACCAGGATCAGCATGCATCTGGCAAAAAGTGAATGTTTCCTTGGGCTTGCATACATTTTGGTGATGATAATGATAATAATAATAAGAAAAATAACAAGGATTTATTGAGCATGATATATCAGACACCTCTTATAACCTCCTTCACATCTTTGTAGCCTTTTTGCTCCAGCGTTCATTGGGACAACCACCTTTTCTAACCTGATGGCACCTTGCTTCAGCTGCACCTTGTCTCTCTTGCTTTGTGTGGGGTAATTTAGGAACCTGTTGGCATTTCTGTATGCTGTCAGAAGGTATGAGAATGTTAACACACAAGAAGGCCATCCTTGGCCAATGGACATTGATAAATGCTCGCTTCTTCATGCCTCAGGTGGACAATTCCAAGATGCATGGCTTTGCATAAGATTCCAGCAGGAATGAGCCCCAGTTGCCAACAGTGGTGACCAGCTCAAGACAGTCCCATGTATTGGCCTTCCCTCCTTCCTGCTTCAGTCCTCTCAGGACCAGTATGTGAGTCTCCTGGCTCCCATTTTTATTTTCTGCCTTATCTTCTCATGAAAATTTTCTGCCTGCCAGTCTACCCCAGGCTCCAGAGGGGACCTAGGCTAGATTGATGAACCACATTTAGTCAGTGTACTTTATGTGGATTATTTGCTTTAGCCCTCAAGCAAACCTAAGAGGTAGGTACTATTTTATCCCCCTTTGTGGATCAAGAAAGTGAAGTACAGGTAGGGTTGAGTAACAGAAGCAGAGTGCCCTAGGGAGGGATTGGTGACTCCAGTAAACTCAGGTGAGAACCCATCCCCCACCTGGAGGGCTGTGTTTGCTTCTGGACTCTGACGCCATCACAGGGAGGTATCCTTAGGAAGCCTCAGGAACAATGAGGGAACCAAAACCAAGCCTTAGGAGAGAGAATTGGAGGAAATAAATGGCTGAGCCCAGAAAACATTCAGAAGGCACATGAGAGCAGTCTTCCTTTCAGGACTCCATGCCAAAGAGGGGATGATTTGTCCCGAGTCAGTCGGGAAGACAGAACAATCACACTACAGGGAGGCCGGTTTTTGCTCCATGTAAGACAGAACTTTCTGACAGAGCTGCCCAACGACAGAATGAGTAACCCTGGCAGACTGCACACCTGATGCTGCAGGTGAGAGAGCTGAGGGTGTGTGGATTGCCATTTAACGAGAATGCTGTAAGGAGAATCATATGGGGGAATTAGATCAGATTAGAGTAGTATTCTAATTTTTAGCTCTCTTCATTCACCAGTCTAAGATAGCCTGCATCATGGCAATCCCTGGTGCTCCTTTGAATTCATGCTGCTCTTACAGCCACTAAGAGGTGAGATTTCACAGGGTATGGGGGAGCCAAATGTCTTTCTAAACTAGAAATACCCTGCTGTTTCATGAATGAATAAAAAGGTTTGTTCTGCTAAGTAAAATGTAAAAGTGGAATCCTTTCTCGAGATTAATTTCTATTCTCCGTAGTACTTCAAACAGGGATGGGTACAAAAAACATTCCCAGAAATGCCCATAGTATGCAACTGGGTTGACATAGTTATCAGACTTAAGCCATCCGTTAGCTCCAAATTGGCTTGATTCCTCATCTGCAAAAAGCCAGTTCTGCCCCAAGTCCTCTGTGATGGGCTTGTAGCATCTTCCTGACTATAGAAGTCACTATCCTCAAAACCAAATGGAGACTCCGCAGATGCACAGAAGGAGCCTGGAGTCAGAGACAGGGCAGATGTGGAACCAACCCAAGAAATGGGTCAGTGGACCTGCTGAATAGATTGTTCCTGACCTTTTGGGGGCTGTGAGGGCTGAGTGGATGGATGAAAGGCTTTCTGCTGGAAGCTGAGTTGTCAAGACTGCACTCCACCCACAGACACAAGATGTAGAAGGGTTGTTGTCACTAACCTTGCCCTTGCTATGTAAATTACACATGCATGGAGAGAGTTGGGCTGGAAGGGAGCCCCTTACCTCTATTCAGATTCTCAGAGAGAAGTGGTTTAGAAAACATGCAGTTTGTTGGAGGATTTAAGGAAATGAATGAATGAAGGGCCAGGTTGGGAGAAGCCCAGTCCTCATTGTGTACTCTATCCCTCCTCTAAGTCCACTGACTATATACAACCAGGAAGAGTGGCCTCTGGCCCTTGGTGAGCCCCAGTTTCTGGAGGAAGAGACCCAGATTATGAGGAAGTCTGAGCAAGGAGCAAATACATCAGTGAAGGTTTTGGGGCCACAAGCTGCCTCAGCTCCAGCTCGGCAATGCTCAGAATGGAGGAAAGATCCTCATCAATCAAGAACATGGTCCAGGAGGGTGTTGTCCTCAGACTAAACGGATGCCCTGGGAGAGTTGGACCCCTCCCAACCTCATCATGCCAAGAGGGAAAGGATATGCACCTGGGCTCCTCCCAGTTCTGCTTGTCTCCACTGCAGCTCAAGGCCTGGACGGCTGCAGCAGCTTCCCCAGGATCTCCCTGTTTCCTCACCTGGCTCGGGGCCCAACCACTCTCCACATGGCAGCCAGGAAGAACATGGGTGTTTATCAGACTGTGTCACTTACAATCAAGTCCAGACTCCACACCACAGCCTGTGAGGCCTTGTGTCATCAGCCCCTGCCCTTCTCTCTGGCTTCCCTCACCACACTCCAGCCACATAGCACAGTTCCTGCTTCCTGCCTATGAGTGCTTGTCCATGCAGTTCTCTCTACCCAGAGCATGCACTCCCCATTCTTCATGTAGCTGCTCTTTCTCATCCTTCAGGACTCAGGTTTTTTTTGTTTTGTTTTGTTTTGTTTTTTATTGAGATGGAGTCTCACTCTGTTCTGGAGTGCAGTGGCATGATCTCAGCTCACTGCAACCTCCACCTCCCAGTTCAAGTAATTCTCCTGCCTCAGCCTCTAGATAGCTGGGACTACAGGCATCCACCATCACACCCGGCTAATTTTTGTATTTTTAGTAGAGACAGGGTTTCACCATATTGGCCAAGCTGGTCTCTAACTCCTGACCTCGTGATCTGCCCACCTTGGCCTCCAAAGTGCTGGGATTATACGCGTGAGCCACCGCGCCTGCCTCAGGGCTCAGTTTGAAGCCTCCTCCTAAGAGTCCTCCTTTGACCTCTGAAGCTAAAGAGACCCTGGGCCTGTTTGTCTTCAGATCCATTCCTTGCCTACCCTGATATTTTGTATCTTGGGGTAGTGGGGGATGGGGAAGGCTGATTACTGCAGGTTATATTTTCCACGGGCCCTTGTCCACTGGCCTCTGGCAGGTTCAGCCAGTGGGAGGATGGACAGGATATTGGAGGGAAGGGGAAGGAAAAAGCTGGGGGATTTCCCTCCCCTTTCTCATTGCCTCGTATATCTCCAGCAGCTTTTGAGGCAATTGGAAGCCTTCGAAGGGTGTTAAGCAAAGGAGGCATTGTCCAGTTTATTTATTTTTTTTAATCACTATGATTGCTCTGTGGAAAATGTGTTGGGCTTGAGGAAAAGATTTAGGAGGCGTTCCCAGTGAGAAATTGTAATAGCTTGGACTAGGGTGATTGCAACTCAGAGGGAGAGAAGTAGACAGATTAAAGCTGTCTTTGAAGGAAGAATTAACAGAACTTGGTGATTGTTTGGATGAGATGCTTGAGGGAGAGGTAAGGTTGGGAATGACTTCCAGGTTTCTGGCGTGAACAACCAGGTAGATAGAGATGTCATTTATTACCATGGCAAAAACTAGGATGAAACAGATATTGTTCTATTTGTGGAGGAAATGTTCATATGTCTTTCTGTGGTCTTTCTCCTCTATCCTCTAATACCATTTATCTATCTGTCTAATCTATGATCTAACATCTATTTATTATCTATTATCTATCTAGCTATCATGCCTTGAAGTTTGGATTATACTGTATGTTCTATGTTGTGATTTGATTTTCCAGTTGTTTGTTCCTATTACGTAGATATCATTTGCATATTGTGTATTGACTTCATATTCTGTAGTGTGTCAAGTTCATAAATCAGATTCTGTAGAATGTTTTGGTATATAAATTCCTAAATAATTATTATTAATTATTATTGTTATTTGTTGGCTATCTGCCTCCTTAGCTTACATAATTGTTTATGTAAACAATTACATTGTCTATAGTGAGTTTTACTTCTTTGTTCATAATCTTTGTGGCTTTGCTTCTATATCTTGCCTTATGATAATGGCTAGAACTTCATATACAATGTTGTATTCAAGGGGTGAGAGAATATTCTTGCCTCAATACCAATCTTAGGGGGAAAGTCTTAAAAGCTTCATCATCAAGTACAATGTTAGCTATAGGATTTTTTGTTTGTTTGTTTTGGTAGATACTTTTCATCAGATTGAGGTTATTTCCTCCTATTCCTGGTTTCTAAGAGTGTTTTTTTTTTTTTTTTTACCATGAATAGTTATTGAATTTTGTCAAGCTTTTTCAATATCTCTTGAAATAGCCACATTTTCCCTTCATTTTTATTATTTTTTAAATTATACTTTAAGTTCTAGGGTACATGTGCACAACGTGCAGGTTTATTACATATGTATACATGTGCCATGTTGGTGTGCTGCACCCATTAACTCGTCATTTACATTAGGTGTATCTTCTAATGCTATCCCTCGCCCCTACCCCTACCCCACGACAGGCCCTGGTGTGTGATGTTCCCCATCCTGTGTCCAAGTGTTCTCATCGTTCAATTCCCACCTATGAGTGAGAACATGTGGTGTTTGGTTCTCTGTCCTTGCAATACTTTGCTCAGAATGATGGTTTCCAGCTTCATCCATGTCCCTACAAAGGACATGAACTCATCGTTTTTCATGGCTGCATAGTATTCCATGGTGTATATGTGCCACATTTTCTTAATCCAGTCTATCATTGATGGACATTTGGGTTGGTTCCAAGTTTTTGCTATTTTTATTCTTTTTTAAAAATTCCACTTTATTAAGGCATAACCAACGTACAAAAAGCTGTCCATATTTAATGTGTACAACTTGCAAGTTTGGAGATAAGTGCATGCCTGTGAAATCATCACCATAATCTATGCTGTTAACATATCTAGCCCCTTCAAAAGTTTCCTCTTGCCCTCTTCATTAATTATTATGATGATTTTGTGTTGAGAACACTTAACATAGATGTACGCTCTTAGCAAATTTTTAAGTATGTAATACAGCATTATTTAAAACAGGCACTATGCCATATATGCAGTAGTTCTCTAGGACTTATTCATCATGTATGACTGAAGCTTTGTACCTTTTAACTAATACCTTTCCATTTCCTCCTCTCTCTAGCCCCTGGCAACCACCATTCTACAATCTGCTTCTATAAATTTGGAGCCACCCCTCCAAGATATTCAGCAGCCTCTAAGTCAGCTATCTGCCTCCTTAGCTGAGTGAGATAATGATCTGCCTAGGATCCACCTCTCTGCACCATAGTAGGGAAAGCCAGACAGAAAACCAGGTGAACTTGGGACCATTGGGTAAGTGGTGTCATGTATTATCTGTCTGTGTGTGTCTGGCTTATTTCACTTAGTATAATGTCCTCTTGTTTCATCCATGTTATCGCAAATGGTAGGATTCCTTTCTTCTTAAAGGCTAAATAATATTCCATTAGATGTATACACCTATTTTCTTCATTCATTTATCCATCAATGGATATTTGGATTGCTCCCATATCTATTTTGAGTAACGCTGGGATGAACACGGAAGTGCAGATATTTCTACAAGGTGCTGGTTTCAATTCTGCATTCTTGGGATAAATCTTACTTGGTCAATTGTTTTACTGTTTTTATATAGTGCTGGATTCAGTTTGCTAATATTTCATTAAGGATTTTTTGTTTATGTTATTATCTTTTTTTCTTATAATGTATGTGGATTTTATACCTAAGATGTGGGCTTTTTTGTGGGGTTGTCATTTGAATATTCCAGGGATTCAGCAAGGACTCTTCACCCTGACTAGATACAAACTCTAAGGTCTCTGAACACTGTAAGACCTCTGAGAGCCCTGTCCAGCTTTCACCCTGCAGCACCTACTCCCTGCTGGCCACTACAGGTCCTTTCTCTATGCACACAGAGCCATCCCTCCCAGATATTCAGCAGCTTCTAAGTCAGCTATCTGCCTCCCTAGCTGAGTGAAATAATGGTCCACCTGGGATCCACCTTTCTGTATCAAGGTAGGGAAAGTGTCCCCAGACAGAAAGTAAGGTGAACCTGAGACCAACTCCTGTTGAGTTTCCTTGTCTCAAGAATTATAGTTCTGCTCTGCTTATTTTCCAATAGCTCTAAACAATTACATGTATTTATTCACTTTTATAGATGATGATATTAATGATTTTTTTCTTTTAATTGTTTATTATAAAGGATATTGCAAAGAATACAGATAAAGAGATGTATAGGGTGAGGCATGGGGGAAGGGATATAGAGCTTTCATGCCCTCCCTGGGAATGCCACCCTCCAGGAGCCTCCACAACCACAGCCGTCCAGAAGTTCTCCAAACCCAGTTCTCTTGAGTTTTTGTGAGAGCTTCATGATATCAGCATTCCCTCCCCCAGAGTGTAGGGCAGGACCTTCTTTGGGGAGGGTCTTAAGGCCCGCAAGATGATAAAGATTTTAATGATGATAATGTGGCTCTATTTTTTGCTGAGCACTCAATTGGTCATTTTTTTTCAGGAAAGATGCCTTTTAATTCAGGCAACTTTCCTTAATTTCTTCACTAACGAATGCCTTCCTTCCATTTTCTCTGTTCTCTCTCTTGGGAATTTCTATTATTTAGATTTTGGATCTCTGAGACATTGTTAAAATATTCTTTGATTTCTCTTCAACGTTATATTGCTTTCTTTTTGTACTACTTTCTGGGTGATATCTTCACCTTTATCTTCCAGTTCTTCTATCAAGTTTTTCACTTTTGTCATCATATTTTTCATTTTCAAGATTATATTTTTTGCTATCTGAATGCTAATTTTTATAGTCTCCTATTCTTTTGTTTCATAAAGATAATGTATTTTACTAGCTATCAGATAATACTGATGACAGCTTTTAAGTTTTCTTATTCTTGCATTTTCTTTATTCCCTCCAATTTACTTTATTTCCCCACTTGTTTTAGTCTCTATGTTTTCAGTTACAGAACATCTTTGACTTTCTGGTAATTCTTAGTTGTCTGCTTATGTTTTAAATTAGGAAACTAAAAGTCTGATTGGCAGTGCTGTGCAAGTGGCTAGGCTTCCCCATCGTGGATGTCACGTATGGAGTGCTGTGATCTGTTACTTTGGGCATCCTCAATTTCATTATCCTTCAATTTGTCCTCCTAGTCTGGTCAGATTGCCCAGACAAGATTCTTCTGATCTCCTTCCTGGAAGGTAACATCTAGCTGCTGAGGTTCTGAGACCTGAAAGTGAGAAGAGGCTGGTGGCTTCAACATTCAGTCTATAAACTTGCTTGTAATCCCTCTCCTTCCCTCGTGGTAACCTTACACTTACATGGGCCTGATGCCCCCAAGGCAGAGACCCTCTCTTCAGCCTCTGTTCACTTAGAAAAGTAACTATACTAGCCATCAGCTATTTCCAGAAGCCTTAAGGAGAGAACAATTTTTGAAGACCATCTTTTCTAATAAAATGAATACCCTTCCTACAATCAGCAACCCTTAGAAGGCGAGGAAGGGCCTAGGACAAATGGACCGTCATATTGCGTCAGCACCTCTTGATTTGAAAGGTAGGTCTCTTTCTGGTGCCGGAGCCTGGAGACTACAACCTACTACAACCCTATTAGATACTCCAGCCTCCCTGGGACCATATTCTCAGAGACACAGACAAGACTGAAAATCACACCCTGTCTGAAGCAGCCTCCTCTAGAAATTCATGGACCTGAGCTGGTCATCTCCTCAGTCTTTTCCCTTCCCACTCACTCTCAGAGGACACCAGCAGATATAGAAAGGCCTGCAGGGAGGACATTATCAGGTAGAAATTTCTTCTTCAGGTTGAGAGATTTCATTTTGATCCTGTCTTCAGAGCTACGTTATGATACAGCAAAGTCATGATCACTTCACAGCCACGGAAGGAATTATTTCCACCGGCATCTTTCATTTCTGATCCCCTCATCCTCATGATCCCCTCATCCTCATGTGTCTGCCTGCTGACAAACCAGAGCTGTCAGAGCCACCTGTCACTGCAGGGGGAAAAATACCTTTTTGACAACTGTGTCTTCCTCTAGCATACTCTTTGTACCCGATGTCTGCATTCCAACCTGTGTTTGTGACACTTCTGTTATTTCAAAAGCCCTCATGAAATTCTCTGAAAAGGAATCTCAAACCCAATTAATTTAAATTCATTTTCATTTTGAATGTGCTACATGACATATTTAGGAGGGAGTGTGTGTGTCATAAAGCCAAAGCAATAGGAGGGCCTTGTAAAGAAACAGCCTCCCTCATTAAAAGCAAACACAGGAGCATCCAAGGATTGTAGCAGGCAAGGGCACCAGAAGGTGACTCTTATTATGGCTGTGGTAGGAGTGGGTAGAGAATGCTTGGTTCTAATTCTGGTGTTAGCCACACACTGGTGGGAGAGATTTTCCTGGGTGGAAAAAAAAATAGTCTTTCCCTTTTTTCCTTTAAATAGCACCCACTCCCCCCAATGATAATAACAACTTGCCCTTCCCTTCACCAGCCTCACCTTACCCTTGGACAACATGACTAAGCCACATCTGGGCTCCAGGAGTTCTTAGTGCCTTACTAAATCCAAGCTTGCATGTCCCTGGCTCCTGAGTCAGGTTATGTTGGCTTGTTTTGATTTTTGTTTAACTAAATACCAACAGAAATTTTTTTAAAAATATTGTTTACAAAGGAAACTTTAGCCAGTAGGAAGTTTCTTGTTCTGCAAATTCAATGGCAATCTTTTGGCTTTAGATTTGGGATGGTGACCTATGCATATGCATTGCCCCCTCTCCCCTCAGGACCCCACAAAAGTGTCAGTAACATTTGGCAAAAAAGAATAAATTCATGCCAGCACTTAAACATAAGGAAGCGTGTCATCGATGGAACAGAAGTGATAAAAAATTTATGTACAATGGAATACAGATGTGACTGGATTGTCGCAACTCAAAACCCACAAGGGAGAAGGCTCTAGCAGCAGTAAGTGCAGTTCCTCCCAGGGGAGCACCAGAGGGTCTCTCAGCTTGAGTTTGGCTGTGGAGTGATAATCAGGATCATTAGTTGGAGGACTGTCTACAGCAGTGGTTTTTACATTGTTTTGAATCAGGTACTCATTATGTTTTTTAAAAAATGTACTCATTATGTTTTTTAAAACATGAAGCACACAACTACAATTTACGTAAATGTATTTATAAATATATACATATTTTTATATATAGCAATATACATATTGCTATTCTCATTAGCAAATATCTCAACATAATTTATATTTGGGTGAGATTAATCATTAATGATCATGAGTGAAAATTTATCTTCAAAATAAATAGTCTTCATGATAGTTTTGAACTTTATGGGGCCAAATTCTCATCGGATTTTATGAAATCATCAATATTTGCATCACATAATGGGGTGAATAAAGGTTAGAAGTATCAGCTTTGCTATTCTCTAGTTGTTTACCAGTGTCGGCATTTTGAGTTATCCTTGATCCACATTTTCTATGCCAGAAATTTTAATTACTTAACCATTTTGCAAGGATTAGATTATTTTAATGGAACATATTATCCATAAATCCCTTTAACCAAGAAGATATAACTGCAATTCATCACAAGACAATCAAAGAAGCAAACAAGTGGATTATGGAACTCTTACCTCTTACCTCAGGAATGACAATCCATATTAAAATTAGTATGACAATCCATATATTAAAATTAGTAAGCTTTGATATCTTTCATATTTTAGCTAACATTCAGGTAGGTAAAAGTTCCAAGATTTTCTTTGCACACCAAGTGGATCAGCTTGCACAACCCTCAGGGATAATACCCACCAGCGTTCACTGGGGTGTTATCCCCTGGGCTGGGTGACGCCATACTTTCCTGAGGTCCAAGGAAGCTGGCTGAAGCATCCAAACCTAGCTGACACCCTGAAGCTCACAGTGTGGATGTTGAGAAAAGTGGAGAGAAGAGACTGGGAATTCAACCAACCTCCTCAGCAGATGAACTGCAATGAGACCTGGCAACAGTGCCACTCCAACACGGGTCAAGTCTATTGTATTCAGCCAGGGGTGGAAATCATGAGATGAGCCTGCTTGTCTGTCAAGCTCAGCATCAGGCATCCTGCCATGCCTTACCCACAATAGGAAAGGGTTCCTCATGCACTACCCATACCAAACAGCTGTGCCCTTCACTCATAAATGTGGAAAGTCAGCCAGAGTCTCCAGACCTTTAAGAAAAATCAACAGCATGAAAGTAGAAGGACAAAATGAACCAAAACAACATTAAATTAAAGAAATATAAACAACAAGAAGAAAGCAATTTTAAAATTGTACTTCTTATTTGAATTCTTGGCTTCATTAGAGAAGAAGGAGCAATCATGGGGTGGTGGGGGGAACATGATTAAAAATTTGAAATCTGAAAATTGAAGTGATAAATAGCTGGGCAAAAAAATGGAATAAACATATATAAAAACTAAAGTAGTGACAGAGAAGATAAGAAAATCTTCTGTAGCAAAAAGACAGAGATGGAAAACATAAGAGTAAACGTTTTCAAAAGTGAAGTAAGAAAACAAAATCCAAAACCCATTTAATAAGCATTCCAGTAGGAGAGAGTAAAGTCAATGAAGATAAATCATCAAAAAAAAAATGTCACTCTAGTTGGACAAGATGACATAGGCCTTGTTTTATCTCCTTATTCCTGCTAAGCACAGCTATAAACCCTGGAAACAGAGCAAGAGACAACTGAAGAAGAACTCTGAAAAGTGGTAAGAGAAAGAAGAACTGGTTTGGGACTTTAAGACTAGACCAATAACAAAGAGGTAGTGTCTTGCATTCCCACACCCAAGAGAAGAAAGCTACCCCAACCTCGTATTTTCCAGCCGCCAATCTGGCAACAGAAGGCTCATTCTTCCTCTGGATCCAACGAGAGTCCTAACAACATGAGGCATACCCAACACCACTGGCAAGGGGAATTCATTAGAAGCCCTGCCAGAAATAAGCAGCCAGGGGAGGCACTCTTCCCCCCCGGCTCCGACTCCCATTCTTGAGGGTCACCTTTTCCACCAAGAAGTATAGGGGCTGGCAGGTGAAGCTAGCAGGAGAGATGCAGTTACAGCAGGTGGCCTGATTTGGGAAACCCCTTTGTCCCTATGTGTTAAGACTCTCCTCTCCTGCCCAGAGACCCTAGGCCAAGAGGCAAGGGACCCAGCTCCAGCAAGCAGCCTGGTTCCAGAAGCTTCTTTTTCCCCCCGGCCCTAGAATCCCATCTCCCACCCAAGACAACCTGGGGGTATGTGTGATGATGTAAAGTGGGGCAAGGGATGTCAGGGGATTCTACCACACTCCTCTCTTATTGAGGGATACCTGGTGGCCCCACCTCAGGAAGCTCTTTCTGCCCCACTAAGGCCTTATCAGCAACCGTCAATGGGAACCCCAGTGGTAGTAGACAAACTAAGAAAACCAAAATAATACCATAAAGACATTGAAAATTAATCTGCTTTTGAAACCACAGCCTACAAAGTAGTCCAAGACCTGCTTTCTAAACCTAAACATGTGACTGCCATTCCAGATGTAGAGGAGAAAGAGTAGGGCAGAAAGAGTATTTGAAAAAATAATGGCTGAAAACTTCCCAAATCTGGTAAAAGACACAAATGTATAGAACTAAGGATCTAAGTGAACACCCCTGAAAATAAACCCAAATAAATCCATGCCAAGGCACATCACAATTAAACTTCTGAAAACTAAAGATAAAGAAAACATCTTGAAAATAGCCAATGAGTTACCTGTATGGGAATACCCATTGGAATGATGGTTTCTCATTTGAAACCATGGAGGCCAGAAAGAAGTGGCACAATATTTTTTTGATACTGACAGAAAATAATTGTAAAAACACAAATTCTGTATCCTGTGCAACTATTCTTCAGGAATGAAGGGAAAATGAAAACATTCTCAGACACAGAAAAACTGAAAGAATTCATTATTTGCATATAAATCCTTAAAGATTGGCTAAAGAAAATACTTCGAACGGCAAGAAAATGGAAAAATAATGTAGTTTCAGGAAGACGGAACAATGAAAAAAGTAGATATATGGATGGGTACACACAGCTAACTACCCTTTTCCTCATGTGTTTTATACACCATATTTGATGACTAAAACAAAAATTATAACACCATCTGACATCTGAGACAATATTTAAAAGTGGAGAAGGTAAAGAGATCTAAATAGAAGTGAAAGTTTCCACACTTCAGTGGAGATGGCAAAATGTTGATACCAGTTGTAGTAGGCTGAACAGTGGCCAAAAGATGCCCATGTCCTAGTCCCCAGAACCTGTGAGTAGGTTATCTTACATGATAAAAGAGGCTGTGTAGATGTGATTAAGTTAAGGGTCTTGAAATGGGGAGATTATCCTGGATTATGCAAGGGCTCAATGTAAATACCAGGGTCCTTATAAGAGGGAGAGAAGGATCAGAATCAGAAAAAGGAGATAAAAGAATGGAAGAAGAGATCAGAAAGGAGAGAAGATTCCACTCTTCTGGCTTTGAAGATGAAGGGAGGGACCACAGGCAGAGGAATGTGCAAAGCCTTGACAAGCCAGAAAAGGAAATGAATTCTTTCCTGAAGCCTCCAGAAGGAATGCAGCTCTGCCAATACCTTGATTTTAGACCTCTGACCTCCAGAGCTATCATAGAATAAATTTATGTTGTTTTAAGCCACTAAATTTGTGATAATTTGTTATAGCAGCAACAGGAAACTGATACACAGTAGACTCTTATAAATCACATATGTATACTATAATGCCAGAGTAACTACTATGAACACTATATCAAGCGATATTACACTAGGCAACATAGCAAATAATCAATCATTGTAATATACCATATTAATCGAATGAAGACAAAAAAGCACATGATAATCTCAATTTTATACAGAAAAAGCATTTGACAAAATCCAAAACCCTTCTGTAATAAAAAGTCAACAAACTTGGAAGAGAAGTGAATGTCTTCAACCTGCTAAAGGGTATTTATGAAAAACCCACAGCTAAAATAATTCTTAACAGTGAAGACTGAAAGCTTCCCCAGGAGATAAGAAATGAAACAAAGATGGCTGCTTTTGCCGATTCTATTCAACATTGTACTGCAAGTTCTAGCCTGGACAGTTAGTCAAGGAAAAGGAATAAAAGGCACCCAAATGGGAAATGAAGAGATAACATCATCCCTATTCAGAGATAACATTATCTTCTATGTACAAAATCTTAAAGAATCCACATAAAGCCATAAACAAATTCATCAAAGATATATAGGATACAAGATCAACACACAAAAAATTTATTGTATTCCTATATACTTGCAACAATCTAAAAATGAAATTTAAAAAACAATTATATTTACAATAGCATCAAAAATAATAAAATATTTAGGAAATGAAATTAACCAAGAATATGCAAGACTTGAATACTGAAAAACTACAAAACATTCTGAAAGAAATTAAATAAGACCTAATAAATTAAATGACATCTGTTCATGGATTGGAAGACTTAATATTGCTAAGATGGCAGTACTCCCCAAAGCAGTCCACAGATTCAATGCAAGCCATATCAAAATCCCATGGTCTTTTTTGCAGAAATGAAAATGTCGATCCTAATATTAATATAAAATTGTATGGGAACTTTAATAGCCAAGACAATCTTGAAAAAGAAAAACAAAGTTGGAGGACTGGCATTTTCAGATCTCAAAGTTTATTACAAAGCTACAACTAATCAAAACAGGGTGGTAGTGGCATAAGGATAGAAAAAAAGATTAATGGAATAGAATTGAGAGTCCAGAAATAAAGTCATGCATCTATGGTCAATTCATTTTTTGACAAGAGTACCAAGATAATTCAATGGGGAAAGAATAGTCTCTTCAACAAATGGTTCTGGAATAACTGGATACCCACTTGTAAAAGAATGATGCTAGACCTCTACCCATGCCATATACAAAAATTAAGATGGGTCAAAGACCTAAATGTAAGAGCTAAAAAATATGAAACACTTAAAAGAAAACATAGGGGTAAACCTTCACAACTTTGGACTTGGCAATGGATTCTTAGATATGACACCAAAAGGACAAGTAACAAAAGATAAAAAATAGATAAATTGAAGTTCACCCAAATTAAAAATTTTGTGCTTCAAGAGACACTATCAAGAAAGTGAAAAAACCTGACTTTTTAAAAGTCAGGAAACAACAGGTCCTGGAGAGGATGTGGAGAAATAGGAACACTTTTACACTGTTGGTGGGACTGTAAACTAGTTCAACCATTGTGGAAGTAAGTGTGGCGATTCCTCAGGGATCTAGAACTAGAAATACCATTTGACCCAGCCAACCCATTACTGGGTATATACCCAGAGGATTATAAATCATGCTGCTATAAAGACACATGCACACATATGTTTATTGCCGCACTATTCGCAATAGCAAAGACTTGGAACCAAACCAAATGTTCAACAACAATAGACTGGATTAAGAAAATGTGGCACATATACACCATGGAATACTATGCAGCCATAAAAAATGATGAGTTCATGTCCTTTGTAGGGACATGGATGAAACTGGAAACCATCATTCTCAGCAAACTATCGCAAGGACAAAAAAACAAACACCACATATTCTCACTCATAGGTGGGAATTGAACAATGAGAACACATGGACACAGGAAGGGGAGCATCACACTCTGGGGACTGTTGTGGGGTGGGGGGAGGGGGGAGGGATAGCATTAGGAGATACACCTAATGCTAAATGACGAGTTAATGGGTACAGCACACCAACATGGCACATGTATACATATGTAACAAACCTGCACATTGTGCACATGTACCCTAAAACTTAAAGTATAATAATAATAAAATTTAAAAAAAAGAAAGTGAAAAAACCTACAGAATGGGAGACAATATCCTCAAATCATGTATCTAATAAGTGACTAGTATCTAGAATATGTCAAGAACTCTTACAATTTACCAATCAAAAGACAACTCATTCAAAAAATGCGCAAAGGACTTGAATAGATGTTTCTCCAGAGAAGAACACATGAAAAGATGCTGAACATTATTAGTCATTAGGGGAATGGAAATAAAAACCGCAATAAAATATCACCTCATACCCACTAAAACGGCTGTAATCAAAAAATGGAAAATAACAAGTGTTCCTTCCTCAAAAAGTATCAAAATTCCCATATGAGCCAGCAATTCCATTCCTAGATATATACCCCAAAGAATTGAAAACAGATGTTCCATCAAAAACCTATACATGAATGTTCACAGCAGCATTATGTACAATAACAAAAAGTGGAAGTATCCCAAATGTCCATCAACTGATAAATGAGTAAATGAAAATTTGTTATATCCATGCAATGGAAATATGATTTAATCATTAAAAGGAATGAACTACTGATACATGCTACAACATGCATAAACCTTGAAAACATTATGCTAAGTAAAAAAAAAGCCAGATATAAAAGGTCACATATTATATGATTCCATTTATATGAAATATCCAGAATAGGTAAATCCACAGAGAAAGCAGATTAATGATTGCCAGGGGCCATGAGGAGGGGGCAATAAGGAGCGACTGCTTAATAGGTACAGGTTTCCTTTTGTGTAATAAAAATATTTTGGACCTAGTAGAAGTGATGGTTGCACACTGTAAATTACTAAATGTCACCCAATTTCGCACCTTTAAGTAGTTAATTTTATGTTATGTAAATGCTACTTTTAAAAGAGCCAATCCCCAAATCACATACTGTATGATTCCACGTATGTAACATTTTTGAAATGATAAAATTTTAGAAGTGGAGAACAGAATAGGGGTTGTAGAGTGGCAGAGTAAGAGATAGAATTGTGTGTGGTTATAAAAGGGTGGCTACAAAAGGGATTCTTATGGTATTGCAATTGTTTAGTGTCCTGATTGTGATAGTGGATACACAAACCTACACAGGTGATAAAATTATATAGAACTTAATTCATACACACAAGTATAAGTAAAACCAGGATAACTGAGTAAGGCTAGTGGACTGTATCAATGTTGATATCTAGATACTACTACACTATAGTTTTACAAAATATTACCATCCAGGAAAACTAGGCATAGATCTCTCTGTATTATTTCTTAAAGCTGTATGTGAATCTGTAGATACCTCAATTAAACAAAAAATATGGTATAAATTAATCCAAATCAGTAATCACAATATAAATTAATTAAAATAGCATCTAAAGACATCAAGGTCACCAAGAGCCATACCTGAAACAAAACAAAGCATAAAGATTGAAAATGAAGGGACAGAAAATGATTTACCAGTGATAATCAACACATGTCTATTTAGTGCCTCCTACATACATGGCACAGTATGGGACACACTGGGACAAATCCATAAACAGAAAAACAAAAAATAGATGATGTTTCTGTTTGCTTGGCGCATGCATACACCACTAGAAGTGGTGAAGGAAAATAGATAAACAATGAATAAATAAACATACATATATATATATATTACATCAAAGCAAGACATGGAGACTAGAGAGTGACTGGGAATACTATTTTACAGAGGGAATTAGTGAAAGAATGTCCAATAACATTTAATCAAATTTTAAACAAAAGAATGCTAATGTAGGGATATTAATTTTACTCAAGATACTATACTTCATTATGCTTCGCAAAATAACTTATAAGAGTAACGAATGGTTGCCCAAAATGATAAAAGGAACAATCTAGAAATAAAATATAACAATCACAAGTTATCAACCGAGATTCCATTGCATCAGTCATGGAACTTATGTGATTAAAAACGTGTAATCTTAATGGTTAAATGAAGGCACATCTGACCTCTGCTAATAAGAAAAAGAACTTTTAAGCAAAACAGCAGCCAGTTTTCAAAATCCTGCTTTTTCCACTAAAGTAGCTCTAGATAGTATAGTATATACCAACACAAATCATGTCTGGAGTCAAGGTAAAGAACCAACAGGTGAGGAGGACCAGGAAACTTGCAGTGTTTTTGTGAAGATTAAATGAGGTCATGTTATTTATTCATGTGTCTCATTTACTATTTAACACATGGTAGACACTTGGGTTTTTCAGTATAGTAAGACAATGCTGCAGTAACGAATAAACTCCTAAGCCTCATGGTCTTAGTCTGAAAAGGTTCATTTATCACTCACATAAACTGTATTGCAGGTCATATTGCCCCCTTCCATCTGGCAACCAAGACACATGGAATATGTGATCTCCAGGATCAGTGCAGTCAGGAAAGAAATGTTTGAAGGGGTTTTTTTTTTTTAATGTTTGTAAATACCAGCCTGGAGCCAGCTCATAACATCAGTTCCATCTACATCCCCGTGGTCAGAATTTTGTCATATGATTCTAAACTAACTACAAGAGAAGCTGGGACATGTGGTCTCCCTGTGTGTTCAGAAAGATGAAACCATATGGAGGTCACATATCGCTATGGTACCATGGCATTCAATAAATGGAAACTCTGCCCTCCTGCTATAGCTTCTGTTTCTTTCGCCATTACTTCTAATGCCATAAAAATAATGATAGTGACACCTAACACTTGTTCAGCTATGTGGCAGGCATTAGCTACTTTTCATTATCTCAGTTTGCACAACAATCCTACCAAATAAGTTTATTATTTATTACTATAAATCAAGGCTCAGAGATGTTGGAACTGCCTGAAGTTATAAGCGAGTAAATATTTGTCTTACTACTAGTACTCCCTCTACTTAAAAGAGAGAGACTGTTTTTTCCAAGGGGCTAGGTGACCCCAGCATAGTCTCCCTGGAAGATGCCAGTTTTTCCCAGCTCTAAGTCACCTGCCTAGTACATAACCATTGGAACATCTGTAAAAAGCTTCCCTCTGCAGTAATTTTTCTTTGATTTACGGGTTGTGTTAAAATTGTTGTTCTATAATGGTCATGTCTAGAGACTGTTGCACTTAAAGGGAAAATTGCTCTAAATAAAAACGAATGATACTAAAATCCCTTCTCTCCCAATGAAATGATTCTCCTGTATTTTGTTCTCCTTGTGTGCTCACCAAAAAAGCTTCTTTGGTCTATTATTTCCCAATTACCTCTTCTGATGTTAGCTGAGAGCAGAGAAGGAGGATGGGATCACGAGGCTCATAACATTTGATCTTTTCCAGGCTTCAGCAAACCTGTGAATCATTTTCATAAGCTAAATCAATATCAGGTGTCACCTGGTGGCAGGTAAGGGCAATCCGATGGTTTTTGTAATACCTTGTGGACATTGATTTTCCACATATCAAGAGAGGACACGAAATAGGGAATGGATGAGTATGCAAAAGTAAAATGACCACACAGCTCTGCAGTTTGGTTCAGGGCTTGCATGTTTCCTGACTTCACTCTGACTTCTCAACCTCTCCCAGCCATGCCCACTGCCCTTAGAGGATTTCCAGGCACAGGAGTCAGGAGAACCCTGCATAGCACCCATGTATTAGAGTCAACCTGGATCCTGCACTTACTGGCCGAAATAGGACAATTCCTCTGCTTTCTCTGTTTTAAAGGGCTGAGCCACCCAGATGGCATGACTAAAAACTGCTCTGTCAAAGAATGCAAGGTGGAAAATATGGTTTTCAAAGTTTGATCCTCAACCAGCAGAATCAGCATCACCTGGGAACTTGTTAGAGATGCAAATTCTCAGGCCCCAGCTAAGACCTACTAAATCAGAATCTCTGGTAGTGGGACCCAGCCGTCGGTGTTTTAACAAGCCCGAGAAGATTTTGATGCAGTCTCTAGTTTGAGAATCGTTATACTAAAAGAACCTTAAGAGATCATTAGACTGAGCTTTCTATCTCACAGAAATGAAAACAGAGGCCCAGGGAAAGGGAGAACCATTGCATGCCTGGATGGGGACCCAGTATCCCAGTCTTGGGACTTGTGTGGTCAGCTCTAGCCTTTGCTGCTTCCTCTGTGCTATAGTTTGGCTTGTTTGCCCTCCAAGTCTCATGCTGAAGTTTGATTCCCAATGTTGGGAGTGGGGCTTAATGGGATGTGTTTGGGTCATGGGGGTAGATCGCTCATGAATAGATTAATGCCTTCCCTGGGATAGGGTGTTACTGAGTGAATTCTTGTTCTATTAGCTCCCAAGAAAGTTCCCCTGAGATCTGGTATTATAAAGAGCCTGGCATCTCCCCCATCCTCACCTCGCATCTTCTCTTGCCATGTGATCTCCGCACAGGCCAGTTCCCCTTTCTTTCCACCATGAGTGGAAGCAGCCTGAGGCCTCATCAGAAGCAGATGCTGGCCCCATGCTTCATGCACAGGCTGCAGAATCATGAGCCAAATAAACCTTTTGATAAGTTACCCAGCCTCAGGTATTCCTTTATAACAACACAAATAGACTAAGACAACTCTGGGTAGCCAATAAGATAGACTGGGTCTGGACAGGGTGATCTCCCAGGCCTCACAGTGGGAACTGTGACACAGAATTGAAGTCCAGAACTTCAGAGCCACACGAGAGCCACTGCTGAGAGACACTATTGTAAGGACAGTGAGGAGAGCCACAGCATCCTGGCAGCTAGGAGGTACTCCTCGGCCAAGGGTAAGCCACTGTGCACTAAGTGGACCGAGGACATTTAAAGTCCCACCAGCTTAGTTGTTGCTGGGGTAACTTCCAACAAACCCACAGATACATGTGTTTTGGGGAAGCATTTCCAGGCTAGACACCAGCAGGCTTGCCATGTAGGCATGCTTCCTCCCTGAAAAAGGGCAAAGGCAAAAGATGTGTTCATCCTTCCTCTTGGAGATTCTGATACTGTTCCTGCCTTCCTGCCTCAGGACTGCTCATCTCTTATCTGGTCTAGAACAGGAGCTTCTTAAAGGAGTATCTCATCCAATGTCACTGTTCTCCAGCCATTCCCCACCCAAAGCTGAGGGATATTGCTGATCTGCTCATGCCTCTCCATGCTTAAAATAATTCCCCAGATTCCATCACTTCAGGATGAAATCTACATTGCCCCTCTGGCTGATTCAGTCTTCTCAACCTGACCCTGGTCCTTTCCAGCTTCCCCTCTGCCATGTGTCTTCCTGAGTCACATCCTCCTGGGGAAAGCACTTGCAGTACCAGGAGTGCCACTCTCTCACACCCTTGTCACTTAAGTCCCATTTCCTTCAATGCCCAGATTGGGATCCACTCATTGGAGGAGTCAGAACCCCTTGCCTCATCAGCTCTCTGACAGCAGTTGTATAGGTCTCTAACATAGCCCTGATTACAGTTTTGAAATATACTTGTCTGTCTTTCCTACCAGACAGTCAGCTCCCAATGGCAGAGACTCGGCATAAAGTTAGCATATGGTGATGATGCCCTGAAACCCCATTAGCAATTATATGTGTCCATATTGCACATACCCTAAATATTTTTAATCACTTGGGTATTGAACAAACTTATCTTCTTACAGTGCCACCTCAGACGGGAAACACAAAGAAGTTCAAATTCTTCTAGTTCCCCACCTTTTTTTTTCTTTTTTTTCTTTGAGACAAAGTCTCGCTCTGTCACCCAGGCTGGAGTACAGTGGCACCATCTCCACTCACTGCAACCTCCGCCTCCTGGGCTCAAGCGATTCCCCTACCTCAGCCTCCTGAGTAGCTGGGATTACAGGCGCCCGCCACCGCGCACAGCTAATTTTTGTATTTTTAGTAGAGATGGGGTTTCACCATGTTGGCCAGGCTGGTCTTGAGCTCCTTACCTCAGGTGATCCACCCACCTCAACCTCCCGAAGTGCTGGGATTACAGTCGTGAGCCACCGTGCCTGCCCTAGTTCCCTATTTTTTATCCTAATTATGCATTATTCATTCAGGCTGGAAGACCCCTTGAAATGTCATCTCATCCAGCCCCCTGCCTTGGGGGTGGACTGAAGGAGGCTTCTGGGCTCTATTTTACAACAATCTGTCAGTACACCTAAGTCAGTGTGGAGAAGACACAGATCAAATGCTGGTGGGTGACGCCTGGTGCTGACACTGCTGCAGACCCATCCTCTGAGCATCCACTGTCCATGGGCAGAAGGAGAAGCCTACAGGGCTGGACCGAGGCTCAGTCTAGAGTATTTACCCAGAGAAACTGTTTAAAATACATTATGTGCCACTTGAAATTTACTATGTCTCCTTGCTTTTATCTAAATTTAACCCCATTACTTTTACTATCTTGGTAATAAAGCAGATTGAAGTGTGTGGTAGAAGTGGTTTGAAATACAAAGCTTTCTTCTTCTCTTATTTGCTTTCATTTTTGTTTATGTCCTACGTTGGTTAAACAAAATTGAGGCACTTAAGGAGTATTATAAATCCTCATGAGGCTTCTCATCTTACAAATGGAGCAATGCTCAAAACACTCTTGTTCAAGTGGTTGCTTGAAGCCCAGATCACATTTTCTATAAGGCTTTGTTAATGGTAGTTCCCAGAGACAACTCAAGTAAGTTGAGGCAGAAATGAGAAAGTACCACCTTGATCTTGCCTTTGAACCTGGGAGTCATCAGAGGATGATTAAGAAAGCAAGTGAGTCTACCATATTGGCAGAGTATTCATCAAGAAACCACAGACTTACACAACCAAGAGGGAGGGAAACAAGCTAGGGCACCCTTGATAACACTGTGCCAGATGGGGACATCTGGGTGCATTCTCCAGCTGTCCTTGGGGCACCCGACCACAGCCTGGCCTGAGTGCTGCAAAGGACAAGACCAAACTGCAAAGGACAAGGCCTGCCTTGGTCACCAGGGAGGATAAGGCTGCCAGGACTGCCTGGAGACCTTGGGTTCTCCTGAGGTAGCATCAGACACAGCTTCATTCAGCCTATTCCTCAACTTTACATGAGTTGTCCTATCTGTGCCTCTCTGCTCCAGAGTCTAGCTGCTCTTTCTTGCCTAAAATATTCTGAGACTCTTATGGCTAGCTATTCCTTCTTCCAGAACAAGAGAGAAATAACCTAAGATGTATAGCAATAGGTGTTCTCCGGCTCGTTTTGATATTGTGGATGCTTCAGCTCAGAGTGGCCCTGTAGGAACTTCCCAGAGAGTGAAGCTGGGCTAGCTCTGGTCACTAGTGGATCAGTCAAGATAGACTAGGTTATGCTGCACCAGCAAAAATTTCAAAATCTCAGTGGCGTAACACAAAAATGTTGTAAGCCCCTATAAGAGTTCTGCTAAGATTAGACATGCAAGAACACAGAGTAATAGAGGCTTCTTTTGGACAGGTGCTTTCATGATCATCACTGTGTGGGAAGGAAGCCTGGATCTTAAAATAATCTACTTGGAAGGGGCACAGTTTATGCCTGCTCATATTTCACTGGCCAATGTAAATCACACAGCCCCATAGAACCTCAAAAAAGGACAGAGGCATGGTCCAACGATGTGACCAGAAGGTAAAAGACAAGCTGGAAATATTTAGTAAACAACCACACCAGCATCTTGTGGATCCAGACAACCCGCCTTCCCAAGCATGGAGAGCCTTCCAGGTCCCTCTCACACCGTGCGCCAAGAACTACACAGAACCATGCTGATGCCTCTGGATATAAACCTGGTCTGTTCAAAGACCACACTCGTCTTTCAGCCATCCTAGGGGAGCTTTAATTATAGCAAGTGGTCCTGTCATCTCTGTTACAGAATCTCAGGATATCGGGCAGAGTAAAAAAGAATGTTAACCAGTCTGCTCTGCAGCCTTCTTGAAGAAGTAGACTCACTCTTTTTAAGAAAATTATAAAAAGAAGGAAAATCCTAGAGACTCCTCTCCTCATCTATTCTGGTGCCAAATAATTATGTCCTTTCCATTTTTCCTTTCCTGATTGTATAAAGCACTTGGAAATAAAAACAAACAACAACAACAACAAAACACAAAGCAGTTAACGAACATTAAATATTGAAAAGAGATATCATAGTGTGTGGGTGGGAGAGAGAATAAAATAGATCTCCCCAACCCACGTACCCTCCCTCAGAAAAACTGTCTAAGTTGGGCTGCAGGCTATGATATAATTAGAACAATATTGCCCATTTGCAAAGACATGTGCCTGTTTTCATGAAATGGAAGCATCTGCTGAAATTATTTGAGGTGTCCCATCACTAATTAAAAGAGCTTTCATTTATAGAGGATGCACCATATGGGTGCTGTTGATTCTTGGGTTGCTGGATGTGAACGAGCACTGGGGGAGTTGTTGGGGCAGGTGTATGGTGAGAAATATCTGGGAAAAGTATGATTTAGCCTTCCAAAAATTCTATTATGCTTACAAGGAGGTGGGGGCGGGAGAGGTGCTGCTGGAAGTTGTTTAAGACTTGGAAACGTGACACATCATCCCAAGTTGCCCTCAGTTTCATCTTTGTCCACTTATGAGCCTTGCCTCCCAAGCCTCGCTATACTCTTTAACTTGCCAAATTGCTACAATGTCTTCAGGGGACTTTCCAGATAAAGATATCAGTTATAGGACTTGTGGAGCCCTGTGCAAAATGAAAATGTGGGGCTCCTTGCTCCAAAGTTATTAAGAATTGTTATTAAGTTATTAAGACTGTGACAGCAGAGCATGAAACCAAGTGCAAGCCTTTTTGAGTACAGAGCCCAGTGCAGCTGCATATGTCATGTACCCAGAAACCAGCCCTGCAGGTCAAGATCTGCTGGAGAAATGGAGCTGAGAGGTGGTGAGATTAAAGCAGAGAGCCATGCCAGACAATAGTCACCCCACACATTTTAACTACACTCTGCCTTGAAGACCACACAGCACATGCTCTTGGCAGGACAGGCTCATGGCAGAGCTGTGATTAAGCCCAGATACTGACTTCTGGCCCCACATGCTTTTCTCTACTTTATAACTCAGAAAATTCTGCTCCCTAAAGTCCTACTTTGAATTATTCTCACCCACCATATACATACTCTAGGAGCCCATGTACATCCTATTTAGCACTGTGAAGTAGCCCAAATAGGTGTCAGAAAAAAAAAAAGTCAGTCCCAGCTCAGCTGGAGACAGATGCATATAGGACACATCAGTAAAGCTAATTCTTATAATTCTCAATAGCTAGAAGAATCATAACAGATTATTCAAGATGTGTATTTCCAACTGTGGGGTCAATACCTGAAATGTACTTGAGGCAATTATAAAATTATTTCTTTTAAAAAAGATATTAAGGGCAAGGAAATAGCCAGTGAACTAAGGTCTCAGGTCTGGAGCTAGTGTTTTTTATTTGGTTGGTTGGTTGGTTTTTAGTGTTTTCTATGTTCAAGGGAATAATTTCACTCCAAAAATACTTTGGGGTACAGAAATATCCTCATTTTTCATATTCCAGTTTTTAAAGAATTCTCTTGAGGAGGCAGGAGAGCCACAATATCCAATGGGTAAAATACCTTTTTAAAAAACAACAGTTACAGCACATCAAAATTTGTCATGTGCAGGCAAAGCTGTACTTCTAAAGAAAGACCTAAAATCAATTACCTAAAACTTTCAACTTAAGACACTAGAATAGGAAGAGCAAGGTAAACCCAAAGTAAGTAGAAAGATAGGGATAATAGAGCTCTGAGCAGAAATCAATGAAATAAAATGCAGGCAAAAAGTATAGAAAATTAGTTTAGAATAAAACTAGTTTAGAATAAAAAGTATAGAAAATTAGTATAGGAAACTAATTTTCTAGCTCTGGCTATTGGAAAGTTCAACAAAATTGATAAACTCTAGCTAAATAGACTAAGCAAAAAAGAGAAAGAACACATATCACTAATACTAGGAAAAAAAGTGTTTATCACCACCAATCCTACATACATTAAAAGAATAATTAGAAACTACTATGGATAACTTTAGGCTAAAAACTTTGACAGTTTAGGTGAAATGGAGGGTTCTTTTTTTTTTTTTTTTTGGAAAAATACAGTTCACCAAAATTGACGTAAGAACAAACTCAAAAACTAACAGTGCTTTATCTGTTATTTTTTTAAAAAATTAAATTTACCTGTCAAAGAAAACTCCGGGAGATGATGTGGGAGGCAGAATAATGGCTTTCCAAAGATGTCTACATGTTATCCCTGGAATTCGTGACTATGTTATGGTAAAAAGGAATTAACACAGTAGAAGGAGTTAACGTCGCTTGCTCATCGGCTGGCTTTAAAATGGCGAGATTATTCAGGATTAGCCAGGTGGGCCCCATGTAATCACAAGCGTCCTTAATGTGAAAGGAAGCAGAAGGGTGAGTGTCAGAGTGAGGGCACCTGAGAGAGAGGTTCACCTGGCCACTGCTAACTTTGAAAATGGAAGGCGCCATGAGCCCAAGAAGGTAGGCAGCTTCTAGAAGCTGGGAAAGGCAAGAAAACAGATTTTCCCTCAGAATCTGAGGAAATTCAGCCCAGCTGATGCCTTGACTTTAACCCAATGAGACCTACTTCAGAGTCTGGGCCTTCAGAACTGTAAGATAATAAACTTGTGTTATTTTAAACCACTAAGTTTGTGGTAATTTGTTATAGCAGCAGTAGTAAATAAATAGTTTTTCTGGTTATTCCTATCAAACAGTCAAGAAAAACATAGCACTAATGTCACATAAGTTTTTAAAAATAGAGAAGGATCAATGTCTAATTCATTTGCTGAATATTTTCAATACCAAAACCTAACGAAGACATAGCAAAGGTAAGAAAATTGCAGACCAATATTCCTCATGACTATAGATGTAAAAATCTTTAACAAAATAACAGTGAGTTGAATTTAACAATATATATAAAGGACAATGTACCATAATTAAGTAAGGCTTATTCCAAGGATGCAAAGTTGGTTTAATATGTGAAAATCAACATAATTTACCATGCTAACAAAATACAAAAGTAAAAAATATATATATAATTATTTCAATAGATGCAGAAAAAGTATTTGACACAACTAAACAATCATTCATGATGTTAAAAATAGAAGAGAACTTTTTCAACCCAGGCTTCTGTATCTAAAAACAATGCAAAACAAAACAAAAAAACAAATAACATCATACTTAACTGTAAGAGACTGAATGCTTTACCCCCTAAGATCAGGAAAATGCCAAGGATGCCCACTGTTACCACATCTATTTAGCATTTTTCTATAGATTCTAGTTATGGTATTATAGCAAGAAAAAAATACAAATACAGACTAGAAATGGAGAAAGATGCAAAATCTCCCCTATTTGTAGATGACGTAATTGTTCATCTGGAAAATCTCAGGGAAATTACAAAAGTGATTATTAGAATTAATGAATGAATTCAGCAAGGGCATGAATTATAAGATTAATATAAAAAAATCAGTTTATTCCTATACACCAATAGCAACCAAATAGAAAGTGAAATTTAAAAAATCCTTTTAGATCAGCACCAAAAATATAGTATATGTAGGAATAACTCTAAAAAAGAGGTTTAAGACCTCTATACTGAAATTATAAAACTTTGCTAAGAGAAATTGAGACCTAAATAAATGGAAAAATATATTATTTTACTCTTATAGGTTGGAATATTATTAGATGTTAATTCTCTCTACATTCAACACAGTCTCAATCAAAATTTCAGTAAGCATTTTTATGGAAGTTGACAAGCTAAAATGTATGTAAAAATTCTAAATTCTATATAAATTCTGAAAGTTTATAAAAATGCAGAGTTCTTGGAAAGCAAATTTTAACAAGAACAACATTGGAGAACTTCAGCTGGTTTCAGTAATCAAGACAGTGTGATATTGGTAAAAAGACAGACATATAGAACAAAGGAACAGAATAGAGAGCTCAGAAATATACTGCACGTATTTGATCAACTGATTTCTGACAAAGATGCTAAGGCAATTCAATAGGGAAAAGAGAGTGTTTTCAAAAATGATGTCCAGTTAGCTGTGTGGTAAAAACTAATGAGCATTGATCTTTCCCTCACACCAAACAAAACAATTAACTCAAAATGAATCATAGATCTAAATGTAAAACTCAAAAGTATAAAATTTCTAGAAGAAAACATAGGAGAATATCTTTGTGATCTTGAGGTTTGCAAAGATATCTTAGATAGAACACAAAAAAAAACCATAAAAGAAAAAATGATAAATCAGACTTCATCAAAATCAAATGTTCTGCTCTTTGAAAGACATCATTAAGGAAACAAAAGGCATACCACAAACTAGAAGAAAAGATTCACAACACAAACATCAGACAAAGAACTTGAATCCAGGATAGACAAAGAATTCTTGTGACTCAATAATAAGACAAACCAATGGGCAAAATAAATGTGAACAGTCACTTATAAAAGAAGATATCCAAATGGCCAACAAGCACTTGAAAAGATGCTCTACATTATTAGTCATCAGGAAAATGTGAGATAAAACCACAATGAAGTACCACTAGATATCATTAAAAAGTCTACAATTTAAAGACTGGCCACAGCAGGGTTGGAGAGGATGTGGAGGAACTGGAACTGTCATATTCTGCTAGTAAGAATAAAACAGTTTGGTAGTTTCTTCAAAAATTAAATATACACCTACCATAGGACCAAGCCATTCTACCCTTAGATATTTACTCAATGAAAACACAGAGACTTATATATAAATGTTCAAAGCAGCTTTATTTGAAATAACCAAGTAACTGGAAACAACCCGAATGTCTATTCACAGATGAGTGGCTAAACAAATGTGGTATATCCACACAATGGAATACTATTCAGCAATGAAAACTAATAAACTGTTGTTGCACACAACAACATGAATGCATGTGAAAATAATTATGTTAAGTGAAAGTATCCAGATAAAAGAGTGCATAAAGTATGATGCAATGTATATGAAATTAGAGAGAATGCAAAATGATCTGTATTGACATAAAACAGATCAGTGGTTGCCTAGGAATAAGGGTGGATGGAGGCAAAGATTACAAAGAAGCAGGAGGTAACTTTTGGGGTTGATATAAACTTTGATATTTTAACTGTGGTGATTATGTAACAGGGGAGACAGTTGGATCTCAGAGAACTGCAGCAGCTTGGAGAGGGTGGCCAGTGCTCCAGAGGCAGGTCTCAACATAGACATGTCTGTCTCCCAGATCCTAGTCTACAGCCCTTTTCCTACACCACCAGACCTCTGCAAAAAGAGTTCTGCTGAAACCCACAAGTGCTGTAATCCCCAAGACATATAAACATATTGAAAAAAGATCTTTGGGAGGCTTGTTAAACAGAGATCTTGAGTGGTTTCACAAAAGTAACAGAAAAACTAGTTTCTGGATACTAACAGATTGAATCCCCGATATCCACTGCAAGGGAACCTTCTAGCAATAATTTCTATTTTTGGAGTTCTCTATCCTCAGCACCATTTTTCGGTTGCTTACTATGACACAAAGGGAAGTTTAAGAACATTGCCATGCCACTTAGAAAATTGGTGGCAGAATCAGGATTCAAATGCAGGCAGCCTGACCTCAGGGCTTGAGCACTTAACTGGGATGCTACTCAGACTCTCTTCCTCTGCCCCAGGCAGGCTCTCCCTTGAGCAGACAGTTACGTTTCCTTGCCACCTGTCCAGATTATACAAATCAGCTTTCCAAGGTGATAGATGTGTGGAGTCCTATTCTTGGTAATCTATTTATACAAAGACCACAGCAATATAATTGCAGCAAGCAGTCATCTATTTATTTGGCCACAGCGGTTCAAAGTATAGAGCCAATCTCCTTGGATTGAATTCCCTTAATAGGGACCACTTCTCATCAGTGTAAATTTCAATAAACAATTGTCACTGAGAACCTGTGAAATACTTCTTTCGGCACCTTGGTGGGAGAGAGCTTCTAAGACCTCAAGGAATTTTAAGTGGGTTGGGGTAACAACAGCCAGCATGGGAGAGCAGCTGAGCATATCTGTCGAGGCTCAGGCAGAATTCAGGTGATGGGGTCTGTTCTGGAGAGGTAACAGTGGCCACGGGAAAAGAAAGATAGAGTCAGAAAACTTCAGGCTTGATGAATAAAGACAATCTCATGGCCCATTTTTAGCTTCTTCCTGGGTCCTTTGTTTATGTGGGAGAAGGTTTCTGATCAACCTCTCCAGAGGATTTTCCAGAAAGCTCTACCTTGGACTTCTTCAAACTCCTTGGCCCTGAAGTGCTGGAGAGAAAAGAAATAGCACTGTTTCTGTGCCTTGAGTCTGAAAAAGAAGCAAATCAAGCAGCTGGGAGATCCAGATTTTGCTCAATAACCACCTACAAAGAACGGAACAAAGAATCCTATAATTGGTTTAAGCCCAAGATAGGAATATGATTATTTTAACCAAGGTAACTTTGTGTATTTCTGAATTAAAATAATTATGTTTCTGAATCAATCAAAATGTCCAATATAAGCAACCTCCTTGCTAAAATTACCGGAACTTACTGATTTTTTTTTTTAAGAATAAGGAGTATTTCCCTCCCTCAAGTTAAAAGTATCAGAAATCAATTTCCAATTTGTCCCTGAGGAAGTTTCCAGGTTGGTCCAAACGATTCTCTAGTGCATTAGCATGTTTTGAGGGCCATTCATGTCATCAACAGGTGTGTCAACTTAGGACTAGCCAGCATCTGTACTCTCTCCCTATTAGCCCCTTCCTCCTTCTGCCCAAGGAGGGAGCTTAGGAGACAAGATCAAGTGGCAGATGCCGAGAGGGGACTTAGCCATGGGGGCTGTGCTGACTGATTAAGAGGTTTGGAGGGGTCTCCCTGGTCCACAGAGAAGGGCTGGCCTGAGTTTGGGAAAGATAAGCACACACACAAGAAAACTCTGTGAGAAAGAATTAACTTCACCAACCAATTATTTGCACAGGGAAAGCAAAAGGCAGAGGCAGATGCAAAGTGACCACCAATATTCTTCCTTTAAAAATGGGAGAGGTGACTGTTTAACCATTACAGTGCTAAAACTGGGATTAGGGAAAGGACAGTTGAGCAGCCCTGTGGTCCTATGTTAGTCTGGGGGCCTCAGTGTGGACATCAATGGCACAGCTGATCCCATGGGAAAACCTGTGGGTGAGAGCAGGTTCCTGTCACTGAGGCTGGACGGGGCAAATGCCATGCAGCAGGGATCATTACCTGGCTGTGTCTTTCCATGACAAAGGGAATTTTATGAACAGCAGACTGTCAGTGGGTCTTCAGAGTCTTGAGAATAAAGCAAAATCTCCCCAGCCTGGCCCTCGAGGCCCTCTGTGAATGGACAATTGGGATGATTTTCCACTGACCAATCAAAATGGACAGTGGCCATAGTGCTGAAGAATACTGGACCTCAAGGCCCCCTGTGGTGCTAAGCATTAATCTTTAGCTCTAGGTTTTGGAAACTTCTCGGGGCAGGAGGTCAGGGGAAGCAATTGTCCCAGGTTGTTGACAGCATGTGGAGCAGATTTCGGTACTTTAACAATCAGCATGGCCATATTTCATTGCCCAGCTAACAGCATTATCTGCAGCGGCCCCTTAAGATGAATTATCTTGCCAGCAAGATTGGTTTCCTCATAGCCCCCTAACTTCTCACACTAGGCTCTCTGGCTTTGCTTCTGACGTTCTCTTGCCTGGAATGTCCTCACCCCATCTTGGATTCTTGCTTAAAGCGGAGTATGTATCCAGCTCTTGCTCTCTCTTTGCCTGAGCAAAAGCGATACCAAGTGCCTACAACCAGATACGCACACACTGCTTAGAAGTGTCCTAATTTCAGATAGAAAGCTCCTTGGAGGTGGGAATGGTGCCTGGTACTTACATCTTGCTCCTCCTTGTGGGTTCCCTACAGAATCTTGCACACTGCCAGGCCCATAGCTAGTCCTTAGTAAGTGCTTTCTGCTAGAAACTGAACTTATGCAAGTGATGTCATTAGAAGGGTGGGAGAAATCAAAGGTGAAGAAGCGAGAATTCCCATCCTCTCCTTCCCTATACCTACCTTTATGGAGCTCCTTTTAGGCTTACTGCACTTGATCTGTGTGTTACCAGTAATATCTGATGAGTATTCAGCATTTATTAGCTTTTAAGCACTTCATATGTACATGCATTTAACCTTTACAACAAACCTGTGAATTAGATATTATAATTATCCCCATTTCATGAATGAGGTATCTGAGGCAGAACAAAGCAAGGTGACTTGCCCAAGGTACCCCCAGAATCCATTCACTTAGCCCTTTGTTATACCAGCTCTCTCAGATGAGCGAGGCTCTCTGTGGCATAGCTTGCTTCTTGGGTTTTCTTTACAATGATTTTAGAATCGATCCTCCTGTACCTCCTCCATCCCAATATGATGCTGATTTCTTCTTGGCAACATTACAGTAGAAGACAAGCCAACACTCACATAAGATCAATTTGTAAACCAATAGAATTTATCTAAATTTGTTTAGGATCAATGGGAGTCCTTTTCTGCAAGCCCCTGTGGAAAACAGAATCTAGATTGAACCTTTTAGCTGAAACCTCTAGGCCAGTGCCCAAATACTTTGTAACTGTACCGATAGGCCCACACTGGTTGTGTTGAGAACCCATTAGAAGAAGTAAACCATTTGTTGCAACTGAGCAGTGTTTTGATATTAATTATTATGGACACTTTTTGAACACCTTATATAGAGCAAATATTGTCCTAAAACATGTATATTCATCCTCTCATTTAATCCTCCCAAGAATCTGATGAGCTAGGTATAATTAGTATTCCATTTTAAAGTGGAAGAAACAAAGACACAGTGAAGTTTACTAAGTTACAAAAGCTCTCACAGGTAGCTGATAATGGACCCAGGATTCAATTGTTGGCAGACTTATTTCATGCCCAAGTACCTAATCAGGATTTATGTTTATCTTATTATTATTTTAAAATTTTCATTGGTACCTGGAGTTATGCTACATACTAGAATATGGTGTGCTAGAAAGCATGCTCAACCGAGAATCAGGCACCATCCAGAGCCTGAACCAAATCATCAGCTCTTAGGGGTCCCCTCATTCCAAGTCTGTAGGATCTTATGATTCTCTATCTCAGTTGATAGTATGTTATGTGGTTTCATATATATAGACACAGATATTAATATATACAATACATATCTTTATTCTCTTCTGGACCCCATCCCAGACATCTTAGACTCATATTTGGTATTAAACCTCACACAAAATCTTAGAAATGAGATATTACATATTCATTTTACAAACACGGAAATCAAGATTCAGCAAGGTTGAATAACTTGCCCATTGTTACCCACTTAGGGAGAGGCAGCAGAACCCCTACCCTAGTCTTCAAATTCCTGACCCAGTGCTCCATGGGAATCAGGCACCTTCAGATGGTAGTCAGGAATCACTTGTCAATGGGCATTGTCACAGGCAAATGTCAAGGGGAATATTAAAAACAGAGAGAATACCAATTGTTTGAGATGACTCAGAGAGAATATTTTCTGCCATCCCATGGCTCATGTTTGCCTCCTTGCATATGCTATAATTCTGTCCTTGTAAAATATCCCTCCTTATGTTCTTTGCCAATCCCATGCCCACTCATTTTTGAAAAGTTGGTCAAATGCCATTGCCTCTGGGAAATTTGGCTAGCTGAGCCTTCCCCTACCTCCTCCAGGCCAAGTGATTCTCTTTCTCCTGGGCAACCCTACAGCATTGGGCATTCACCTTTATGGGCCTCTCCTTGGTCTTGTGGCCATTACTTTGGCATCACAAAACAAAGGTTCAAGGCTTAAATCCCACTGTGTTATCTCCTTCAACAAAAACAAAATGCTTGAGTTTGATTTCCAGTTCTTGCACTTACTAGTCAAGTAATCTTGGGCAGATTGTTTAACTTCTTTTTGTCTCCATTTTTAAAATCTGTAAAATGGAGATAATTGGCTTCTTATGAGGACTGAATGAACAGTGCATGCTAAGTGCTTGGTGCATTGCCTGTTATGTAGTAGTAATATTAGTAAGTTCTCCATAAATTGGAACACTTGTTTCATCATCCTGTTGCTGTCTGTACATCTGCCTTCTCCTCCAACCCACAAACCCCTCAAGGACAAGGCCCTGTTTTGCTCATCCCTGTCTCTGCAGAGCCTATCAAGGAGCCTCCATCTGGTAGATGCACAATGGATGTCAGTGAAGTGACAAAATTTTATGCCTTTGATGCTTTGATATCTCTTGGATGCCCTGTCTTCCAATGCTCAGCTCCGGAACTGAGGGGCTGCCTACCTTCCCCTCATCCCCCTAATCAGGCCTTGTTCTCCTTAGCAGCTCTTTGGCTCCAGCTTACAAGGCACCTACTCCCAAGCTCTCCAGTTCCCTCTGATTCATCACTCCCAGAGCTCCATGTCCAACATGGCTTTATGTAGCAACAGAAGTGGCAGTTCAGTGGTGTGTGCAAACTTTGCTTTCATTTTGAATCAATGAAACTTTTAAAAATCTTACCTTATTCCTCAAAGGCCCATAAGGCCCTTCATGGGGCTCAGGAGAATTGTTCACTGTAAGATTTTAAAATTGCTTTCAAGTTACTTATCATTCATTCAAGCTCATGCTATTCTTTAAAATTCTTATTGATTTTTGAAACAGTCCTTTAATTGATATCAAAAAGCAATTACATTTTCCAGGCTGTAAATCTGCTTCACTCCCAATATTAAATTCATCATCTCTGTAAATAATTTTCTCTTATTATGCATACGTATTAACCAAACTATGAATAGCATCATTAGCGTACCCATGGTTGCCTTAACAATCAGTGACCCTTGAATTTGATTTAGAAAAATTGATTCCTGCTGAAATTTTCCCCTAAGTGAAATTGCCGTTCCTGCTGAATGTCTGGGCAAATGAAGGCATTAGAGAGTCGTTACCTTCCATTTCCTCCTGGACTTCAATATAGCAGTTACAAGCAGATATTTGCACAGGCTCACCTGTTGATGAGCCACCCTAGTAAAAATCATTGTAGACATATTTGTTCTTATTTGATGTTCCAGTTTGGGGTCTTAGGAAAAGAGACTTCTCAGAAATGTGCTCCCTTCTAAACACACAGAGGGACACAGTGCCTTCATCTTGAAGTCTGATGTCCAGCTGTGGGAGGCTGTGGGGAGGCTGAGCAGGGTGAGAGAACAGAGGAAGCTTGTGATTCGCAGCAGAACAGCCTACAGCCACAGAGCATGGAAACATCGAGGATCATACAACAACATGGAGAAATGCCCATGGTGTAACATCAGGAGAAGAAATCCAGGATGATATCTGGGGTACATCAAAGGAACATAAAATATGAAGGCATGTGGATAAGGAATAGAAGGAGACAGGAAAATCAAAGCAGTTGATTTAGGATAATTGTATTACATATAAATTTATTTATTTTTTCCCCTTGCTTTTCTTTTCTTTATTATTATACTGTTATTTTCTTAATAAAGGTAAAAATGGGGGGAAAGGAGGAAAATCATATTTAGGTTAGAGTAACCTTGCTGTCAGCCTTGGTTAGAATCATTTACCAACTCTGAGACTCTAAGGAACTGTGGTGTGATAGCAAGTTGTGAATTTTGTGTTAGACCCAAGGGGGAACCCAGTACTCAATCAAGTGGCTGGGTAGCTGTGAGCAGGCTGGGGAAGCTCCACCGAACATGCATCTCCTGATAAGCCAGTGTGGTGATGTCTGTAAGGCACCCAGCACACCAGGAGGCATTCAGACCCTCACCTTCCATCTCTATAAAAGAGCAATATTTATTTATATGCCATCTAAACATTGAATTATTTAAAATCTATGGGAAATAACCTTTAAAATTATAAAATTATGTACAAATACTATTTTTATTAACTGAAATGAGACTATATTTCAAAGGAGGAAGGCAAAATGGCTGCCCAAAGGACCAGGAACTACAATGTTTTCTACCCAATGGTTCCTTTTCAGAGATCATGGTGTGTAAAAGTCTGCCAATGCATCTGCACCTCTCTGGGTCATGATGCCTTTGGGGTATGAGGACTTATTATGACAATGCAACTTCCCCATGGGACAAGAAGGATAATGAATGGTCATTTTTTGAGTGTTTACCCTGAAACAAATTTTGACAGGTAGAGTTTTGTTGACTTGAGAACAAGACCTTTCAGCCCTAGGATGGAGACCTAAAGGTATGTGGGCTCCCCAAAGGCACAGGAAGAGTATAGCTGAAAAGGGCACTAAGGTAGTGTAGGCTGAGGGAGTCCCCCATGGCGTCCTCCACATTAACATACATATAATTGTGGTTTCAAAGGAGGAAAGAAAATTGGATAGAAGAGAGTATTTTAGGTCATAAAGATGAAGAGTTTTCAAACGTGGTTACAAACATCAAGCTTTAGATGCAAAAAGTTCTATGAATCACAGGTAGAATTAACTACAAAGAAAGCCAAGCCTAGGCACATCATAATAAAATTGCAAACATACACACAAATCATAATTTATCAACAAAATTAGACACATGTACACATCCATTTAGCCAACACCCATAATAAAATAGATGGCATTTCCATCACTCTAGAAAGTTCCTTCATGACCCTTTCTAGTCATTTCTTACACAGAGTCAACCACTATTCAATTTCTATTACTGCAAAGGCAAGTCAGGGGACCAGCTGTAGATACATGGAGGGCTGTTCTCTAGGGGAGGGAGCCTTCCCCTCTACTACTCTATCTTTTATGGTGTGTGCCTGGCAGTAGCCTCATCTGAATAATGAACAATTTAGATTCAAGCTCTAACTCATCTAAGTTTCAGACTGTACAGGGAGTTGTTTGAGAGGCCAGTTTCTAGCACCAACTACCCAGTAGGAAGTGAGACTCCAATGGAAGACAAAGCAATGGAAAAGCTGTACGGAAAGCCTCTATCCCAGACACGTCATTGACAGGAAACAGGAGCTTGCATAGTAGCCCTCTTGAGTAGGGCCCACACTGGCTCCCTTCCTCACATCAAAATCTGATGGGGAGAATGTGCACCCTTCCCCAATCACTTGACATGCAGCTCACTCTGAAGACGCACTCCCTCCCCTAGACAGTCTTCAGCTCTGCTGCCAGGCTGCAAGCTCCAGCCAGGTTTTCTGCTCAGCTTCACAGTTCCAATTGCCTTAGCTCCAGAGACACAGGACAGGCTGAGTGGTCCTATAATGCAACCATCTATTAAGTTAAGAGGAAACATTCCTCTCTTTCTTCCACAGACAGGGGAGAGGACATGCCACTACCCCAGCCATTCTTTACAAAGAAATTCTCTCTTCAGACCTCTTCAGCCTCAGCCATTCTATAAGCTGGTGGTGGGTGACCAGTTAATGCTATCACCCTGCTTTGGAATATGAAACTACTTGGCACTCATCATATTGATTTTGGACCATAGTCAAAACTGAATTATAAAGATCCTCATTATAAGCCTTGATAAAGCTGAATGTTGGTAGAGATCTTCACTTTAATATTCTCTATAACTTTTTGTTTGTAATGTGTCCTAATACAAATTTTTAAATGATGAGAAGTAGTTAAGAGGTCAAACAAGGCCTTTTTAGAAAGGCAATATTTTATTTAGCAAAGAACCAAAGGAATGCAAGATGGAAGTTTGTCACAGGCTAAGGCGACAGCAAGGGCAAAGTCCCTGAGTTGGTAATAAGTCCAGCATGTTCTAGAGGACAGGAAGAAGATCTGTAGGGCTAGAGTAAAGTGAGTGAAAGGCAGAGTATAGTAGATAAGATCAAAGATAGGCAGGGGACAGATCTTGCAAGTCCTTGCTGGCCATGGCGAAGAGACTAGATTCTATCATGGATGTGGAAGAAGATTTAAAGGGTTTTGCACAGGAGCATAATATAACACAACACACACTTGTAAAAGATTCCTCTCGCTACTATGTGGAGATACCTATCCTGGGGTGACAGTGAGTGCAAGGAGACCATTTGCAGTGTTCTGAGGGAGAAATGGTGTGTGGCAGAGACCACCACCTAAACCTTCTCCCTTTACTCACAAGGAGACTGCATTTCCCAGCCTCCTTTGCCATTACATATGGACATTGACTTTTTGGGCAATGAAATATACATAGAAGTATTGCATTTCAGTTCTGGGCCAAGGTGGTTAATAAGCAGCATGTCGTCTCTGCTTTCTCTTTGCCTGTCTGCTGGGAGCAGTGAACTCTGAAGAATTAGGAGATGGAAGTGGCCTGGGTCCCTGAAGCCCCCATGGAGAAGGCTTCCTGCCAATTGTGAACACCTGCATACACTCTGATATGAGGGGAAAATAAGCTTCTCTTGTGTTACACCATTGAAGTCAAGAGGTTTGTTTGTTGCAGCAGCTAGAATTCATGTAACTAGCAAAGGATGTTACAGTGAGATTGGTGGGAAGTGATCAAATTTAGAAAACACAACATTCTGAAAGTAGACACTATGCAAAGACTGTGCCAGTGACTGTGTTAGGCAACACGTACATTTTGGCTCTAATTCTCACAATACCTCTGAAAATAAAGTTTTATTATTCCAATTCTACAGTTGATGAAATGAGGCTCAGAGACGTTAAATAACTCACATAGGGTCACACAGCTAATAAGTGGCTGAGTCAGGATTAAAATTCCAGGACTGTCTCTCTGTCATGCTGCTACACTGTCAGGTATGCTGGGGTTAGGGTTACTTATAAGGAGAAAATGAAATAAAGAGACTAAAGTCCTCTGAATATGCTAGTTATTATTATCATTATGGAAATAGGAACAAGGCAGTTGGAGAAGAGAACTTCTTGTCTGAGTCACCCCTGGATGATGTGCATATGTCTCTGATTGGGCCTCTGCTGGGATATAAGCTATGGATCATGACTCTGTCTGGAGCTTCAGAATGTGAGCCCTTCAGGTCAGGGCTTGTTCATCTTCATAGCCTTAGAGATGGATGCAGCCCCCAAGAGGCACTTAATATGTGCTCATGAAACAGTGATATTAGGTATGGATAAAAGTTTGTTCAGTGATAACATGTCCAATGATGATGAAGTCTGCTGAAGAGATCACACCATCACACAAAGGTGAGGCTTGTTACAGGATTCTGAGCCCTCTGAAACTCAATTCCTAACCATTCTTTTAATGTACGCTAGCTGAGGCCTCCCTCAGTAACCACAGGTGCTGCGGGTCCCAGCCATGAGGTCCCCTCCTCATCTTGGGAGACTGTGTCCCAGAATGGTGGGCAGGAGAATTCATCCTGACAATATTCTTCTTCCTCTCACTGAAGTATTTTCAGGTTTCTTGCCTCCCTGAACTACAATGGGTTCACCCATGGGGGTCCTGAATGCTGGTCCGTTTTCTTCTCTTTGTGGTCTCTCACCTTGCAGGCGTCCTTCTTGCCAAAGAGAAGCATGAGTACGTTTGTCCATGCCAAACTGAATGATAGGTGTGCCAAGAACTCACAAAAGCTGCTGAGATTTATGGCTACCTCTCCTTGTTTACATTTATATTGCATGGACCCTGAAGGTGAGAGCCTTTCTTCTGAGACATGTGCGTTGCTGGAGCAGAAGACCGAAGAGAAGAAGGGTCTGCAAGAAACACTGAGACAGAAACAGCCACAAAAGTGCCAGGGTGGGATTGAAACCACTCAGACTAGAAGACAATCACCCAGTCAGACAATGGAGAGTTTGATTTAGCCCCTGGAGTAGTAGCTTATGAGGTCTATAACCGTGGGCAGTATAATAACACCCCTCTGATAAACTGTATTGAGTATTGACAATTATTCACTGCCTCTCCACCCAGTCCATGTTTCCCTGCAGGTGAAGCATAAACTTTCCCACCCTGCTGATTTTAGGGTAAGAGAAGGAACTTGTTTGGGCAATAAAATGAGAGTGTGGATGTGATATAAGTCATGTCTGAGCAGCAGTTAAAAATATACTTGTGTGATTTGGCTCTGTCCTTTTTGTTCCTACCCTCTACCATAAGAAGAGCATGTCTCAGAGAGTAGCTACTCCTTTCTTCTGGACATAGAGCCCAGTTCCGTCCAGCCCAACAGAGTCCAACAAAGCTTCACTAACCTGCAGCTCTCATGAATGTGAATAAGAAATAAGTGCTTAATGGTTATGAGCCATTGAGGCTGTTCGTTACCACAACAGAAGTTAACTAATGCAATCCTTCACATGCATAATGAGGGTTTTCTCAAACATTACCTTCCTGAGCTAATACTTGGGCATGTGTGTGTGTGTGTGTGCACGTGTGTGTGTGTTTACAAGGGGGGCTATCCCAGGCAAGGTAGGCTTCATTTTCCTCATGATCAAATGAAGAGGTTGAGTGTTAGAGGGTGAGTCCAGTGTCAAGTAGAATTCCAAGCCAGACCTCAGCATTAGAAACCCAATGTTCTTCCCACATCTGACAGCTTCCTGGCCACACCAAGCATGTCCTGTCCTCTGGACAAGATACAGTTTCCTGGGGATTCAGCTAACAAGCTGGATTCCCATTCATTCCCCACCCTGCGACCACAAGCCCCATAACCACTGGGGATGAGTCTCAGGCATCCATAGTCTTAAGAGATGATAAAAAGCTCCAGGAGAGACTCTGGTCTGTCAATCAAAAACATCCATGGCAGCCTCACCTCCAATCCTCATTAGCTGTGACCAAAAGGCAAATCACTTAACCTTTTATCAAAAATCACAATAAGAATATTTGAACTCTCTTCTTTTCAGAGCTCTATCAGAACCAAATGAAGTAATTAATAGCTGTGAACATGCGGAATGCACATTGCCTATGGCAAAGTACTGTGAAAGGGGAGCGACCCTGTGCATCCTGGGCATTTAGAAGGCCGAGCAGCAGTCACTGATGCCTCTCCCTTTAAGTTCAGTGCCCCAAGGTGACTCACTTTTCTGTTGTTTGCAGCCAGAGTGGCAACCTCACCACCACCTCCAAACAGCCCTGAGTGTGGGCCTGGTCTCCAGCACAGCTTACCGCCAGTTGGGGGTGAAAGAAGGAGGGATGGGCACTATGCCCAGGGGAATCATTTGGAAGACTGGAAAAAGCTGACAAGAAGTCACCCTGAATAATAGGTCTGAAGATACCAGACCAACTCAGCAGGTTACAAAATCATTAACCAGGAAGGCTGAAACAGATTCATCTATCCATTCACTCATTAATCTTTTCAGCATTTCCTCTGGGTTCCTCAGTGCAGGAGTGTTGGGAGAGCACCTTGATGAAAAAAGATTCTCTTCCTGTTCCTCTGGGACTAGAAACACACTTAGCATTATGTGGTTCATAGCCCTAATTGCCCAGGTGGGGAAACTGAGGCCTCAATGAGAGGAAGGGCCGGCCTAAAATCACACAGTTAACCAAATCATCTCATTATCAGTCAGATCTCCTCTACACTTCATTCTGCTAAAGAAAAATACCCTGTCCTCAGATCACACTTTACAGAAAGTGTTGTATATGCATATGGGTATAAGTGTGTGTTAGAGTGTGTATGAGTGTGCATCTTCGTAAATGAGTATGAGTGGATGTGAGAGGTTTGAGCGTGTGTGCTTGTGTCTGCATCTGTGTGTGTGAGTGGGGGTGAGTGGAGGTGAGGGTATGTCCTGTGTGTATGAAGGGGTGTGAGCATGTGTGTTATGGGGAAAGCACTGATGAACGAGGGTCTAAGAGAAGACCAAGCACAGGGTATGGAGGTCACCCTTTCCAGAGGGGTCACATCTTCTTCCACGGACAGCACTAATGAAGCACTACCCAACTCTTCTTTCTCAACACCACTTATCAGCCATCAAAGCTTCTTTCATGCAATGTAACCTTAAGTAACACTTCATTTTAGTATGGGTTTTATATTCCTACCATCTTCCATTCGCTTCAACTTTAGTCCTTTACTAAAATAATGCAGACTGCTGTGAGTTTGTTTTATACACTCTTTAACCTCCAGCGAATGGGCAAGGGGTGACAATCCATGGGAAGAAAAGAAAAATGGCCCAGGAACCAAAAAAATCTACTCCTAGATAATCTGCACTCATGGGCCTATGAGAAAATGTAAAATGTAAAGAAAATGTAAAATTTTGACATATTTTCAAATTATTCTTTCTAATCTTACAAGCCTAAAATGGAAATGTTGGCAGTCCCAGAAAATTAGTAACTTGGATATAGGAAAACTACTATACAGCTCTGCTTAACACATGCTCTGGCATATTTAATCTATATTCTAAATTTTGGAAGGGCCAAAAGAGTTTGGCTTCTTTAAGAAAAGGGCTGTCAGAAGAAGGCTGCACAATACTGCACACTGCAGGCTCTGGAGCTGAATCTTTAGTGTATCTGAGGAGTCTATTCATCAGAAAAGGCAGGCCAGGGGAGTAGAGGGAGTTGGGCATGAGGCAGAGAGCAGAAACTTCCTCTGCCGGGGACTCAGCCTTCAGGTAACCACGACCTGATAGGAAGGGAACCAGACTGTGAACCACAGGAGCTTTTCATTTTCTTTGTGCTCTGACCACAAAAGGAAAGGAAACAAAAAAGTCAATTGTCTTTTAAAGGACTTGAAGAGAGAGGAAGGAGCAGAGATCCCAGGCAAAAGCCAACCCAGAAGGAACGTGGGCCAGAGGTTCAGGACAGGCAAGAGCTAGGAAGACTGTTAAAAGGATTCCTGGAGGATGAGAGGAAAATCTTAGGTCAAGTAGTAATTAGTCACAGCTCACATTCACATTCGAAGGCACCAATCTGTGCCTTACTGTTCTATTTTCTTCTAGACTCCATTGCAACCTTGAACTTATTCACCTCCAAGAGGATAAAGTTAATTAATGCACATTGTTATTCTTTAAAAAGATTTCTTTGTATAGAAGAATCATGACTGACTGCATTATGAGCACTATCACGGAGATATCCAGCTATTTAAACCTGGAGAACAGGCAACACAAAACCCACGCAATCCCAGACTGAACCTTTCCTGTGTAGTCCTTGACAATTGCCAGCTCAACAGCAATGGCTCCTTGTGGTAGGAAAGATGTGGCAGAAATAAAATAGTGAGTGGCAGGCCACGCAAAATTTCCTTCCAAAACTGTAAATCCACCCCCTTCTCTGCCACTGGAAAAAAAAAAAACATATCCAAATATGAATAAGTGAAAGTTATATTGTTATAAAAATAATTTTGAAACTATTGTTGGAGGAAGACAGAAATTACTTTAATTATTACAAATGTGGACCACACACCCTTGTGCTTGCTATGATGTCAAGCCGCAAACCATGGTCTTAGATAAATGAAGGAGAAAGGAGGCAAGTGGGGAAGTTTTCAGAGACACAGGTCCTGTTAAGATCTCAGGCTCCATGTCCTAAAGATAGAGAGTATAGGGACATCTCTGGGATCCCCTTCCAACCAGCCTCAAGGACACTTTGACAAGTTCCCAAGCAGAAACTTTTTAGGTCTCCTGGCCAAAAAGTATAATCACTGTTATATTATTTTGCTTAGATTCTCTTCATTCTATAGGTTCTCTAACTCACAAAATATTTCTGCCTACTTATTTGGAATATTTTTCATCTCAAAACTGCAGCAAAACATATCTCTTTCATACTAACATCAGCATGATTGTTCAGATACTAGGACCTTTTGAAGCCTTCTTTATTTTTAATAATTTTGAAAGAGCATACTACACCTACTCCCCACTCAAATGGCTACTGTTTTTTGTTTTTTTGGTTTTTTTTTGGACATTTCTGACTATTGTTTTAGTCTCTCCATATCCTAATTGGAACAAGAATTATACACAAAGCTAGTTACTTCTGCTATATTCCACAGCTATTTTGTATAATCCTCTATTATGGAATTTATCAAACAGCATTTTAATTATTCGTCCAACTTCTCTCTCTCTCCCTTGCCTAGATGATGATCTCATTGAAGGATGGGATCGTGTTACATTCATCTTTGTATACTCCTCATCAAAAGACCTGCATGTAGAAATTAATCAATCAATGTTTAGTTTTGGATGGATGAATAGATGGACATAAAAGTTTGACATGATCTGCTTTCCAAAATGTATGAATGTGCTCTGCTTCTCATAATGAGGGAGACCTATAATAACCCAGCCTCTATACTTCTCCCTTCCCTGTTGGAATGTTTACAGCCACGGGATCAGCAGTCCGCAGCCTAGAAATGGTCTTTAGAGGGGCAGATTGAAGTCCCTCTGAGTTGTTCGGGATCCTGATCTCTGCCCAGATTTCTTTCACACTAGTCCAGCCAAAGAGTTGGAAAGCCTTGGTCCCGTATCATGGTGCCCCCTGTCTGCTCACAAGCGCTGTTGTGAGCCAATGGAACTCCACCTGCCTGATTACAATTTGCTTGGTTCACTGAGCCAATTGCCCTGCCTTGGTTCCTAAGATGACTGTGATGACATTTTCTAGGCTTAGCCATTTCCTCTCACTCCATATGCCTTTTTAGTTCTCCTGGCCAAAAAGTATTCTCTGTAAACGATTGAGAAGCTAATTTATACCAAAGAGTAAATGATTCACAAGGCTTAGTGTATTACTCTTTCTCAGGACCTTTGCAACTTAAAGGGGACAACATCTTCAGTCAAAAAATAAATTTCAAGTTGTGGCATATCAGGCATAAGCATGCTCTCAATTCTTTCTGGCTGGGCATACAGTCTCTGCCCAGGGCTATTGGCTGTAGTGCCCTCTTCCCCTCCTCAGCGCTGTCCCCTCCCTGCCATCCTCACTCATATACAACCTTGGCCTCTGAATCACAAGACCTCAGGGTCTACATGGATGACCATCCAACACTCTAGCTTCCTCGTCCCCTTTTTCTCTATTCCACATTGGTCATTTAGTCCCCAAACCAGCTAAGCCTTGTCATTATGATTCATTTTATGCATAGATCTCACTCTTTCTCCAGGTATCTTCTCACTGGAACCTCCAACCAATTAATTCCTTCCACTCTCTGCCACTCTATCAGCTAGTTTCTTTTCTCATTCCCATCCTTTTCAAACTTAGATCTCATGGTCCACCACTCCATAACACTTTTTTCAGAACTCTAAACTCTGGCAATCTTTTTATCACACTCATCTGGCAAAAATCCAACTCAATGAATCTAACTCTCCTCTTGCTCTGAGATAGGGCATGAGCTGCTCAGTTTTATTGAGAAAGTGCTACAACAGGGCAGATCAATTTCACCATGTATTTATTATAACTATTCTCAGATGGGCTCTCAACACTGCCCAGCAAGCATGCCACTTTCATCTCATCAGCTCTGCTACACACTTTCTTCTTGAGCTGGCTTCCTCAAACCTCTGATTCTCCCACCTCTTTGCTCACTCTTGGCTTACAACACTGCCTCCTATTTCACAGGGAACACTGAGTCCATTTCACAGAATTCTCTTGCCTTCCCACCACCAAGCACACAAGCCCACCCACCTCCCTCCTGTTCCCTGGCCTTTTCTCTCTCCCACCAAACAAGGCTAGTTTGTCCACATGGCTTAAGATCCATCTTCTCCTGCCTTCTTGGGAAGCACATTGTCCATGATCTCTTCTTTCTCTAGTTTCCTCCCAAATGGATTTCCCTCAATAGTATTTAAATACCCGTAAGTCTTTTCCATTTAAAAATAGACCTTTTACAACCTTGAATACCCCTCCTCCTATTGCCCTTTAAACCAAACTTTCTGAAAAAGTCCCTCCCTATTTCCTCTTTACAGTTACTCACCCCTCTCACTCCCCAGCCTACTCCAGGCTGGCTTCAGATCCCATCACTCCACTGGAACAACTGTTGCTTGGGTCACCGGAGGCCTCCAAATTCAAAGGGCATGTTTCAGTCCCAGCTCACTGCCCCTGTCAGTTACACTGGCCCTGCTGGACATGCCTGCTTCTTGATACTCACTCTCTTCCTTTTGCTTTAGTGACATACCACTGCCTCACTCATAGACTTTTTAGCAATCTCTTCTCTGGATCCTTTACAAGTTTCTCCTTTTAAAATTGACTACTTAATGTTGGATTTCCTCCAGACTTGGTCCTAGGCTCCTTCATCCTCACACTCTAACCTCTCTCTCTTGGAGAGCTCATCAACCTTGTGGCTTTAGATTCCACCTATGCACAGATGAACCCTGGAATCCAACTTCGCCTTGGTCTCCAGTTCTTTCACTCCTTCATGCTATTTGTTCTGCCAGACTACCAGGTCTCTCCTTGAATAGTCTGGTCAGAGGTCCCACATCCATCATACCCCACAGCCTCATACAGATGTCTTGAGATCAGAATGGCTGGGAATTCCAAAACCAGTTCACCTAGCATCCAGCAGTTCTTCTGACCTCATGCTGCTGGAGAACATCCTGTAACAGAGCTCATTCACTTCAACCTCCCTCAGGGCCATGGTTTGAATGTGTCCCCAAAGTTCATGTGTTGGAACTTAATCCCAAACCTAACAGTGTTGAGAGGAAAGACTTTTAATAAGTGATTAGGTTACGAGGGCTCGGTCCTCATGAATGGAAATGTCATTACTGAGGGATTGGCTTCCTTATTGAATGAGTGTTTTTGTTATAAAGTGAGCTTGGCCCCTCTTGCTCTCTCATGCTCTCTTGTCCTTTCCACTTCTGCCATGGGATGATGCACAAGGAGGCCCTCGCTAGATGCCAGCACCCTGATCAAGGACTTCTCAGACTCCAGAAATGTAAGAAATAAATCTCCGTCCATTATAAATTACCCAGTCTGTGGTGTTCTGTAAAGCAGCATAAAATGAACCAAGACAACTGCTATGTTTCTCTGGTATGGCGAAGGATTAAGATGGACTTTGGTGTCCAGTAGACTCTAGTTAAAACTCTGGCTCTGCGAATTCCTTGTTGTATAACAACAAAAGGTTTCATTATTTAATGAGGTTATGTTATCTAACTTCTTTAAGCCTCAATTTCCTTATGAATAAAGTGAAGACAATAATGTCTAGGAAGTAAACTATATAAATTAGTAAGTACTAGGCACAGAACAGTGCCTACCATATAGGATACCATCATAATGGTAACATTATTATTGTTGTACTTTTATTTGATTTTGATGATTCCTTATTGCATTCTTCTCTGTGTTGACCCTAAGACATTTCTATTATTCCCAAGTCCTTTATGGGTAGACATTGACTTCTCTACATACTTTGTAAAGAAGATCAAGGTCATCCACCATGTGCTCCCTCAGTACCCTCCCCTGGACTTCAAGGGTTCCTCTACATGGAGCCTTGCAGTCCTCCCTCCTGCAAGCTCTGAAGGGTGTGCCTGTTTCCTTATAGGACCAGCCCTCTTCAGTGCATCCTGGCTGCCATAGCTCAGGCACTTCCCTCCATGAGTTATCCACTCTATCTTTCTTAATCAGACTCTCCTATTTCTCCCTGTATGCCAGGACAGAAATTTCATCTCTCCTAGCCCTAAACAAAACAAACATATTTTTAAAAACTTCTCTTCACTAACAAGCTTCTTGAATGGAGCCTACATCAGTTGCCCTTCCCATTCTCTTCTCAGCCACTTGCCGTACACCTTCTATCCTCTCAGTCTTCCCATCCTTTAGAGGACAGTGTCCCTACGGGGTCAATCACTGTCCACCTCTCAGGCCTTCCCTTTCAGAACTTTCTGCTCCATATGACAGAGTTGACCACTTCTTCCTTTTGAGCTGTCTCTTCCCCAGGAGGTTCTGGTTCTTGGCCTCCACATTTAGCTCTTCCAATTCAGTCTTTGTCATGGTCTCTTTTCATTAAGTATATTTGGTATAAATTTCTATCCATAGACTTAAGTGTTTAAGAAATGCTTTCTTTTAAAATGTTTTATTAATCAACTTGATTTCAACTCTGAGCTTCCATCTTGCTGGGTTGGTGAGAAATTCAGCCTGAGTGATTCACAGGGATTTCTCTTCCCTCTCCCCACAGGGAGTTGTGCCATGGTCCTAAGGTAGGACACAGGGCCCAGACATAGGGAGGTCCCTCTAATATTATTATAGAACATTGGTTCACCCTGGATTACCACTGAGAATCCCACTGCCTCAGCCCCTTCTCCTTCCTCACCAAGCTGATTGAAGGGAAGTTTTGGCAAGGCTGGCAGCCTAGGCACCTTGGGCCACCACTCTGAGGTCCTGCCAATGTTCAGAGTACTGCCAGAGACAGGGAACACGACCCTGCTGCTCTGCTCCAAAACCACAGTCCTTGACTAGGAAGTCTCTCTTCAATCACTGGAAAATCCTCCTTATCTCTACCATATTCATCTTCTTCAGACAGCCTTGACCTCATACATCCAGAGCCCTGTCTCTTGAGGCACATAAGCGCAGAGTTTGCAACCTGCCTGAATGAGGGAAGGAAAAACAGAAAGCAAAGATGAATCAGTATATCAAAAAAGTATCCTGCCACCCTGAACTTATGAGAGTGGTTGCCAGCAGGTGGGATGGGGGTGGGGGTTGTAATATTTTATTTCTTTTTTTTTTTTCAACTTAGCAGATTTGACCAAATATATTTATAATGATAAGAATATGAGATTACATTTTTTCTTTGCTTGCAACTGCATTTTTAATGTCTCAAAATGAATAACAAAATTTAAAATCTCAAATAAAAATTTATCTTCCAAATAGGCATTTTCCAATTTATGTCTGTATGCAATTTTCCTTGATGATTCACCTATTCTAATGGTTTCCAGTTTTCCCACAGCACAAGTGATTCTGAAATTGATCTTGCTGCCTCCAAGCCATCTCCTATATGTCAGAATGTCATATCCGAGTGATCCTGGACACCTATATTTGCATATCTGACAGGCAGCTCAAGCTCCACCTGCCACCCTTGACACAGAGCCCGCTGCAACCCCCCATCCAATCCATCATCAAACCCCATAAACTCGACCTCAGAACCTCTCAAATCAATCTTCACCCCATCTCTTCTTCCACCCCTAATCCAAGATACCTTTACCCCTCAACTGAAAAACTGCCACTGTTCTTGAGAATTTCTCTACCTACTCTCCAATCTGTGCTCTACACAGCAGCCTAAATGAGATTTTGATGCCCAACCCCCATGTCACATGAGGTCACTTCCTGCCTGAAGCTGCCTAATGGTTTCCTTTTAGAATAGGATCCAAACTCTGCAGGTTGGCCTTCAAGTCCTGACCTAGTCTAAATTCTGTTTCCAGGTTGCTCATTCTTTGTGCTTATTCTCCATACTTCAGCCAACACTCGCCTCTTTCAGCTCCCCCAACACACCAAGCTATTTCCCACCTTCAGGGCTTCTTTCAACCCCACCCCCCACCCCCCAATAAAAGTTCTTCCCACACTTCCACACTGCCTCTAAAATCCTCTCTTCACACAGCAATGCTTTGAACTGCTCAGCTGAGCATGGTGAGCCCTTGATTAACACTTCTTAATACTTCCCATTGCTCTTGGAGGGTGGTTCAAAAGGCTTAACATGGCCCACAAGCTTCTGCAGGATCCAGCCCATCTGGATTTCAGCCACACTGGCCTTCTTTCAACACCTCCAATGTGCCAAGTTCCTTCCTGCTTCCAGGACGTTGCTCATGCTGTTCCTCAGTATGACCCCCTACCCCTCACTCTTCACCCAGGCAACTTCTACTTATTTAGGTTTCAGCTGAAATCACATGTCCCAGAAAATATTCTCCTGACTTTCTACCTAAATCTTGAGACTTTCATCTTCCCAGGGCTCTTATTACAACTAGTGATGATGTTTTTATTTTGTGATTGTTGTCTATGTTCTCCACTCAATGAGTTTAGAGAACTCTGAACATCCCACCCTGCCTTGTTACCTGGTGGGCTAGTTGAATGTTAGGCATATAATAGGTGCTCAATGAATGTTGACTGACTGACTGACTGAATGAATGAATAGTGAATGCTTAGATTTAATGCCATCTTCTTTTCCCTCCTCCTCTCCCCAACCTGATCCACCCTTCTATTGTGCTTCTACTCTCAATCACTGGCACTTGAAACCACCCATCCTCAGGCTCAAAATGCTAGTATTACCTTTGACTCCTTGCTCCTCCTCATTCCTTCTACCAAATAGGTAGGCAACATATATCAAGTTGACCTCTAAATAGCTCAAACACACATCCTCTCTTTTTCTTCCCCATTAGTAAGCCCATGTTACCTCCCATTTGGATTATTAAAATTTCTTCCTAGCTGCCCTCTCTCCCACTGACTCCAATCTGTTCTCCCTGGAATCAGGATAGTTATTTTCATAAAGTTCAGATAGACCTCTTCCTCCAGATAGCCTACCATTTCACACAAATCAAATCTGAATGGAACATTATGCAGCAATTAGAAGCAACAGATTAGATTTAAGCATAGCAATATGAGTGAGTCTTAACAACATATTGTTTAGTGAGAAGAGTAAGAAAAGGAATGAGATTACTATAACACAATATCATTTACATACATTAAAAATACATGCAGCAAACAGTAAACATTTTGTAAATACATAGACAAGCAAAAAGATAGACATCAAAGGCAATAATGCAGTTTCCTATGGGGAGGAGGAAAATGGGAAAGTGGCATGGGAGATAAAAGAAAAAATAAATAGAAGAAGAGAAGAGCTTGGCATGCCCATCATTGGCTTGGCCCAGTGATAATAAATGGGCAATGAACTGAGAAGGAAGATAAACGCCACTCACTGCAGCCAAAATTCACAAAGAAAAAAGAATCAACAAAACAACTTGTATCTCAGACAATTAGTATTCAATTCATTTTTGCATAATTCTTTACAGCGCTTGGGACAATTTTTTGCACATTACTGGGGCAACAGTAGAGGTGGAAAAAGTGCATTTGTTTTAACCAGGCAAGCCCCATAACATGCCTCAGTGCTGAGAAAAACCATTCATGTCCTCATCTTACCCAGCTGGAGACACACTTCCAGGTACTGGCTTATCTACCTAATCACTTCTCCATAATCATCACTTCCTCCAAGCACAATAATTCTCTTAACAACTTGAGCTCACTACTTTTTAGAAATTCTGATAAACAATTGTGAGACTTTGAAGTACATATACTGGAAGTATATTAAAAACTGTATCCTCATTTTATCAGGTATAGTCTCCCATAATGTACAGATACATTTTTAAAAAGAATTAGAAATTATATTTTTATTTTTTTTGTATGCTGTGCTTAAGTTCCTACCTACCAGAAATTATGGAATCCAAAATGAAAGTGCAGTCTCAGAAACCACAAGGTCACTTGGAGATCAGCTTTGTGGGCAGAATTCAAGTTTGAAGGAGAAGTAATAAATATTATGGACTGATTGGCCTAGTAATCTCCATTTGTCTCCTTCCGTCCAGCACAGAATTGAAAAGGATAAATAGTTGATCGTGGATTCCTGATTCCATCTAGGACTGCAAGACACTAAGAACATCTCCTTTCCTTGGGACGAAGATGCAATGTTTTTGTAAACTTTTATTTAAAATTACAGACAAAATTGATCTTAGTGGGGAAGCCAAGCTTCTCTCAGCCCCTGAATCTAGCTAATGAAAGTGTTAATGGTTTCAATAGACATTGTAAAATAAATACTCATAAAAGTTTGCACAGCACACCGTTATATGGCCCCATAAAATCCACAAGGCAATTATGGAGTTACGAGCTCCCTGCCCACCTCTCCAAGCACCAAGGTTAGCACAAGTGGAGGTGACAGAGGACCCTGGCAATAGGGAGGGGAAACGTTGGAGGTGCACCATGTGCTAACCCAGGGGAGACCAGACATCTCCCCCAGCACTCAGCTTCCTTGTCTGTGAAATGAGTATTTGATCTTAAGTCCAAATTCCCTTTGCTACTCTTAATTTCTCTGTACTTCACACCAGAGGAGAATGTTGGCATGCAAAGTACAAGCATTAGCCCTTCTAGTCACACTCAATGCCAACATTTATTCAGTGTTCATGGTGGACCAGGCATGGTGCTAAGCACCTTATACTCAATATCCCATTTACTCCTCACATCATGCCTATGAACCATGCATTATCATTATCCGCATTTTACAGATGAAGAAACTGATTCCGGAGCCTGAGCGCTTAACCACTGCAACACACTGGCTCGTAGTATAGTGTTCAGGGTGGGGCACAAAGAAAGCATGAGCTCTCTGCCTTCATCTTTGCCATACAACATCCACATTGATTCACTAGAGGAAGGAATCAATATTTCATCGTTTTGCAGCCGTGGAGCACAAATGAGGGTAGAAAACGGAGACACAAAGTTATTAATTGTGATCTAGATGCTGAACACCGTATTCAGGGCCCTCGTCTCTCCAACATTCCTCGTTCTCCTCTGTTCCCTCTCAGTCCACCTGCTGTACCTGAGGATCCCTTGAAACATGACAGTCCAGTTCCTGGAATAGTGCCCATTTAGGTAGTTTCCTCATCAGCATGGCCTTCATCAACACCAAAACTTTAAGAATGCCCTTACATTGGTTCGGTGCTATGCAGGTTGCAAAACACCTGGGTGGCCTAACACCTTAAAAAAACTTAATAAAAATTATTAAAATGATGTTGAGGAAAACAAACCAGTTACTCTGTAGACTGAAGCTCAGTTTGGCTTCTTCTGATGTTTCCCTATGAGTAAATTCAGGTTGTGCATTTTTGCGGGAATTCCAGGAAGTGATGGTGTGTTCAGCTCACTGCATTCTATCAAGAGGCATCTGGTGTTGATTTGTTCCGTTACTCAGGATATTAAGTTTTATCACTGAGTTCAGGTGGTGCCTACCAGGTTTCTTCACTGTAAAGTTCCTCTTTCCCCCATACAATTGAAGGAATGTGTTTGGAGGCTATGTAAATATCTTATTTCTCGTCTTTCTTTCAGTCATTATTTTAACATCCATTGATGAATCTTATCTGAAACAATTACTACTAAAGTAAAGTGGATAGGTAGATAGATAAGCAAAAGACAGAGAATGATAAAGCAAGTGTGATAAAGTGTTAACATTTTGGAAATCTAAGTGAAAGGTTTATGGGAATTCTTTGTACTATTTTTGCAATATTTTATAAGTATGAAATTGTTCCCAGATAATGATTTTTTAAGGATGTTGATTATCACATGAATTGGTAGAAAGGCTATAGAGCCAGACTTGGGGCTACCCAGCTAAAAGCAATGTTCCAATTTTGGTCAAAATTGCCCTGCCAAACAGACCTCTGGGGCCCCTTACCTTCCCCAAACCAGAGATGCTGCCAGTATCCCTCCCCTACCCAGCACAGGGCACCAGGCCAGGCCACCAGCACCATGCTGCCAGAGCAGCTTCCTTGGGGCTCCCACTTACCTACCACCTATGGCACCAAACTGGGTGGATATGTGAGCAACGGGGTCTGTGTCACAGGCTCACCAGGCACAGGGCAGCTGGAAAAGTGACCTTCTGCCATTTTCAGCTTCTCCCACCTGGGCTCATAGGATGGGAAAGTCTTCAACATAAGTAGGAGGGCAGTTTGCTGGGCAGCCAAAGAAAAAAAAATAGAAAAGTCCAGGATACGCCAGAAAATATCTGTGCAATCTAACCTCTCTGAGGCCCTCTCTGTTACTTGGCAATCAGTCCATTTGTTCTCTACGTACCACATTCAGCTCAGTAGTTATATTTCAGATTTTTTTCCGCTTTCTACAAACCCTCCGCCATCTAATCACTGACCTCTCTTACTTGATCATATCCTCATTTCTTTATTTAAAGAGATTGGAGGCTCCCCATGGGAGAGCTCAGACTACTCCTATTGTCATAAGGGCAGACTGATGTGGGTTCAAGTCCTGACCCCATTACTTACTGATTGAGGACATTGAGCAAACTACTTACCTTCTCTGAGCCTCAGCTTCCTCTCCTGTAAAGTGCAGCTAATGATAATGACCTTGCAGGGTGTAGCCTGGAAGTAAAGGAATATATGTGAAGTAAAGCATACTGCCAGGTGCATAGTAGGTACTCGATGCCATTATTTTTCTTCCTTTCTCTTGACCTCTTATAACAGACACTGGTGTGTTGCTCAAATTGGGACTGAAAAACTTCATTCCCAGCTGATGAAAGTGTTTTTGGGGTTGCCAGCCCTCACTGGGAATCTTCCTTGACCAAAGAGAGAGAGTTGACTCACTCAGGGTTATGCCTTTTCCTGGGGCAGCCTCTACCCAGTGACCAGTTGATGCAAATGTATAAAGGTCCAGCTCCCTTATCCCAATTCAGGACAATTCTGAAGGGTCATCACAGCCCCAAAGCTCCCCATGGGGTTGGCTGAGGCCCTTGTCATGACTGCATCACAGCCCAACTCCACACTGTCTACTCTGGATGGCTTCCATTGTCCTTATATGGAACGATCCGGAGAGCACTCCCTCATAAATGTACTGCATGCCAATATCTGTCTGAGTCTGCTTCCTGAGCAACCCATCTGTGACAGCCCTTTTCCCTGTCTTGCCTTCAGGGAAAGCCATCCCTTTCTAGTCTCATACCCCATGGAACCTGATTCCATGTCCTACCATCTGAAAACAATCTCTCCTGCCATCTTGGATGTTACCTTCAATTACAGATGTGTGTTAACAGTGTCTTTCTATTTCCCACCCCTAGCCTTGTTGATGGGACCCGCTAAATCTTTCAAGACCCATCTTAGGTGGTGCCTTTTCCAGAAAGCCTTCTTTGGATTCCCCAGTGGAAAGCATCCACTCCCTCCCCTGATTATTTTGTCCCCCTCTCCTGACCTGGCACCATGTGCAGCCTCCTGAGTTAGTATACAAGTCATTTGCTAGTTTACCTGTATATCCACTCCTTGCCTCCCACTCCTCTGCTCTGTGGCTCAGAGGCCTGACACAACAAGTTGCATTTCCCAGCGACATGTGCCCACCAATTTCTGGTTAGGGCCAGCCAGTAGGAGGCATGGATGAGAGCTTGGTAGGAAGGAAGAGAAGAGAATCCAGGGAATTTCTTCCCCCTCTCTGCTTTGGGGAGAGACATCACTGGCAAGGTCTGTGCCCACCTTGGCTCCACCAGGTAGCCCCAGCTCCTGGGCTCCAGTCACTGTCTCTGCCTGTTGCCTGACCAGCTTTGAGGGGCAATGGTTTCTCTTGTTAATCTCTGGGTTGCCTCATGGTCCCTTGTGTTCAGTTATTCCAAACCTGCTATAACTATTCTCCCATAGCAAACTCCCTCAATTAAACTTGCTGGTTTGGGTTCTGTTTCCCTGATGGTTACAGATGTTATTTCTGTATTTGCCTTGCCCTCTTTCACAAGACTGGGAAGATCTCCTGGGCAGGAACAGAGACAAAGCCTGCAGCCAGTAAAAGCAAAATTGGCTCTTCTCCTTGCCGGTAAGTTCGTGGGTGAACACCCGCATTTGAAAAGCTTCAAATATGTTATTCTTTAAAACAAAGACTCCCACAATTAACTAAGGTTGCCTCCTCTTCCCACTTTCCATAGCAATTTAGAAGAATCCAGGAATCCTTGACCATTTTGTACAGAAAAAGCCTTCAGCAGCTTAACTAACCTTCTCGACTAGGAACATCCACACTCTGCAGTGTCTCCTGCTATGAAAGCTTACAAACTTTTTTTTTTTTTTTTTTTTTTTTTTTTTTTTTTTTATTGAGCAAAGTCCTGCTCTGTCACCCAGGGGGGAGTGATCTTGGCTCACTGCAACCACCACCTCCCGGGCTCAAGCAATCCTCCCGCCTCAGCCCCTCCGAGTGGCTGTGACTACAGGCATGCGCCACCATGCCAAGCTAATTTTTGTAATTTTTGTAGAGATGAGGTGTCACTACGTTGCCCAGCCTGGTCTCAAACTCCTGGGCTCAAGCAATTTGCCTGCCTGGGCCTCCCAAAGTGCTGAGATTATAGGAATGAGCCATCATGCCAGGCTGGTTTACAAACTTTTAATATTGAAACAAAATATGTTTTACCCAGCTGATGTCTCAAAGAATTATCTCCAGATCTTGCTTGTGGTTTTGAAGATAAATATTAATAGCAAAGCTGTTTGTAAATATCTGAAACAAATGTAAGCCTTTAATTATTTTTTGCATTAAACATTGACAACAATTGATATTCCCCACTCATGAGCTATAAACATTGTGTATGTGTACATGGGTATATATTCTGCTTAATAGCAATTATTGTTCCGTGATGACTGGGGAAATTGCTCTGAGGTTTAAAAGTGTATTTGCATCTATACCCAAGGGATTGTGGATAGTGATGCCTACTGTCTCATCCACCTTATTTAAAATTTGCAATAGGAAACACAATTCAATCTAGCACATTTCTAAAGCCCAGTGGAAAATAGATGGGGCAGCAGAGTCAGAAAATGCAAATCCAATGTTAAACTCCATCCCAAACCCATCTGCCCAGGTTTTATTTCCTTTTCTTCTTCCCCAAGGCCAGCGGTGCTGACTCAGTAGTGCATTAAACACAAATGTGTGAGTTCGGCCCTGACCAGCCATTAATCAATGTGCAGCCACAAAGCAGCATCCAAGGGTTAGCAATCTACTGCAAGGTGCTGAGCGCATGCAGGGAGAAATTAAACCAGGCTTTAGAGGTAGTTAGGGGCATACCCACTTCCTCTCCTTAAAGGACCTAGTTGGTTGAAATAAAAATTTAATGCCAAAACAGAATTATAAATATATGTTATATTTTAAAGGTGTGCATTTAACAAGTTGACTTGTTTAATGGTGGAGAAAGAAAGAAGAAAGGACAGAAGGAAGGAAAGAAGGAAGGAGGGAAGGGAGGAAGGGAGGGAGGAAGGAAGGAAGGAAAGAAGCAAGGCATTGATTGTACACTCAGCCTCACCGAAAATAAGAACAAAAAGTTTACACTTGAGACCTCTGGAGATAAGAGGCCTGAACAAAGGGCCTTCTGTCCCTGCTCCTGCCTCTCAGAGGCACTGGGGAAAACAGGGCAAGTTCAAGACCAGCCATCTCCAACCCAGCTTAAAGTGCAGATATGATCCACCAGAGAGCCTCGGACACTTTGGTTAATAGAAGTGGCTTTAACGTGGAGGAGCCTCATGAGGAGAGGGGCTGGCCTTGGCCTCTTCATCCTGATTTTTCACCTTAGATTAAGTGTCCAGTGCTGCTCAGCCTGGAAAGCAGGTACTTTCCCCTCATATGCTGCCTGTCCTTGGGCAAGGGCGGCCTCCTGCTGTCAGCACGGAACTCCTCCTGGGACCCTTGAAGAAGGCAGGATGCATGTTCAGTTCTCAGGGAGAATGCAGGGCGGAAGGGAAGACTCAGAGATGATTTCTCCTGGGGAGTCTCACACGACAGCAACTCCCTCCTTTTGTCCCCTCCCTATCTCTTGTCTCTTTAATCTCACTTGCAGGAACCACATGATGTGATTCACAGCTCCAGCCCTACCTGGGGAGGGGTGCAAAATGCCCCTGCTAGCGCTCGCTTTCTCTCTCTCTCTCCCCCTCTCTTTCTCCAACAGAAGAGACTCCAGAATATTGTCTTTATTAAAGGGAATCATAAGCCCCAAACTGCGGGTCCCCTGCTCCTAATGCCACAAGGTGGGAGGAGCACTTCAAGCATGGAGGTTGGAGGAACCTCGAGCAACAGTAACCTAGCAACAGTGTCTCAGGATTTGAATGTAATTATACCCCAAGCGTGATAAATACTCGGAAGGGCTCCTTATGTGCAGATCATACTAAACAAGTCTTTGAAATTACCCTTATCAAATATTGATAGAAGAAAACTTTTTTGAAAAGAAAAAAAAAAAACCCTAAAGTGCATGGACAACCTTTCCCACCAAGTGCCCTGGGCAGTGGGAGAACACCAGCCAGGGAAGTGCAGAAAGCCTCAAAACCTCTTTCGCAGGTGATGTGACAGGTCTGAAAGAGAAGCCGGACCTGGAAACCAGAGCTTCCTTGCAGATGCAGTGCAGCATTGGACACTGAGGTCTGCTGTCTGATCGCAAAGTCAGGAGAACTGACCTGGGATTTGGGCCTCAGTTTTCTCATCTCTAGAGAGAGTGTGTTGAGCAAGATGACCTCTCAGCTCTGCGTTAGCTGTGCCCTGAAGGAGTGGAAGTGAGAGGTATGAAGTAGGCAGTGCAGGCAGGAGCAGTCCAGACAGCAGGAACAACATGGATACAGGATCCAAATCTTTTGCATCCTCAATACCAAGGTTAGTTTGATAGCGTCCAAGACACTGGGGGCTCAGTGTGAGGGCCGAAGCTGAGGTGAATAGTCCCAGGTGCTGAACAGCCTTGCAAGCCTTGATGAAGAGCCTAGGCTTTATTCCGAGTGAAAACAGGAGTCACTTCAGGTGTAGATGCTGTGAAGTATGTATGTGAAGGGCAGTGATGGCACAGTCAGATGTACATGCTGGAATAGGTCTCTAACTACTCCGTGAGGATGGCTGCTGGGCCATCCTGCCCAGAGGCTGTTGGCAATAATTGACTTCACAGAAGGTGGAGGATTTAGGGCAATCATCAGGAGCAGCCCTGTGACATGGAGCTGGCCTTGAGGTGTCTTTATTCAGGTGCTTTGTTAAGACTCCTAGGACAAAGCCCAGAGCTGCCACCATCCACCTATGTGCTGCACCAGGTTAATGCAAAAGAAGCCCCTGAACACCCAGTGTGATAAGATCCCGGGATCAGTGTAAGGCTGACAAAGACAAGCCTGGAATGAGGAAGTTTGGAGACGGAGAATCTGCTCTGGAGAAAAGAACAGAGGATTTAACAGTAGAAGAGAGGATATCAGGTCTCTGTCTTAACATCAGATTATCAGTGGTACAGAGCTCCGAAGATGGAGACTAAAATCAGAGAATAGGACAAGAGAGAAATGTCTTACCCAGAAACTCAGCCTGTGTCATTATTATTTCGGTGTCCCTGCCCAGCCTGACCACTATCCTACTGTGGGATCTATGCCAAGCTCTTTCCCTTTGGGGCAAAGTGCTGACCAGGCTCTCCCATCAGGCTGCTGGCCTGGGCCTGGGTGACACACAGCAAGCCCAGTGCATCCAGATCTGCTTTCCCCTTGCTTCATCCCTGAATGCCCTCATCACAGGGGAGAGCTCTCTGCTCTGGTGTCTCTCTCTGGGACTGCTGCGCATGTGTTTCCTGCTTGTTCGAGGAAATCGTCTTCCCTTAGATGCCACATCTTTAAAGGGCCTCAGATCTCATCTGTGAGCTCTCTTCTCTGGGTTGAGCTCCCTTGATGGCACTGCAGGCACCTCCCAAGAAAGTAAGGATAGGGAAGGCAGGTGGACCCTGCTTGAAGGAAGCACTGTTTACAGAAATCCTCTTGAACAAATGAACAAACTAGCTAAATAAAGGCAGACTGTTTGATTTTCATGAGACTCTTCCTAGAGATTTCTGTAAACCCCCACAGCCCCAGAGCACCACCAATAAGTGCATTTAGAGAGCACTGTATGATGCGCTGAAAGGGCAAAGGGTAGAAAAATATGAATACCAAAATATTAAGGGCCACTTTCTTTTAAAATCAGTGGAAATGGAAGCATGGTTGACCCTAGACACATAATAGATAGTTACCGGGGGACCAGGGAAGGAGGAAAGACACCAGCATTAGGGCAAAACTTTCTAGGGGTCTCCACATGAACAGTTAGCAAGAAGAGGGTTGGAGAAAAGATCTGACTTGTTACTTGAGTTCAGTCTTTTGACTTCTGAAAACATTTCTGTCTTCTGTGTGTTCGTTTTCTGACATGAGAAAGGAATTACTGGGTATATACATTTACTAGATACTGCCAGATTGTTCTCTTAATTCTCCAGGATTAAGTTTCTCCCTTGGGTTTTGATTTGCATTTCTCTGATGGTCAGTGATGATGAGCATTTTTTCATGTGTCTGTTGGCCGCATAAATGTCTTCTATTGAGAAGTGTCTGTTCATATTCTTCGCCCACTTTTTGATGGGCTTGTTTGTTTTTTTCTTGTAAATTTGTTTGAGTTCTTTGTAGATTCTGGATATTAGCCCTTTGTCAGATGAGTAGATTGCAAAAATTTTCTCCCATTCCGTAGGTTGTCTGTTCACTCTGATGGTAGTTTCTTTTGCTGTGCAGAAGCTCTTTAGTTTAATTAGATCCCATTTGTCAATTTTGGCTTTTGTTGCCATTGCTTTTGGTGTTTTAGACATGAAGTCCTTGCTCATGCCTATGTCCTGAATGGTATTGCCTAGGTTTTCTTCAAGGGTTTTTATGGTTTTAGGTCTAACATTTAAGTCTTTAATCCATCTTGAATTAATTTTTGTATAAGGTGTAAGGAAGGGATCCAGTTTCAGCTTTCTACATATGGCTAGCTATAAAGACACATGCACACGTATGTTTATTGCGGCACTATTCACAATAGCAAAGACTTGGAACCAACACAGATGTCCAACAATGATAGACTGGATTAAGAAAATGTGGCACATATACACCATGGAATACTATGCAGCCATAAAAAATGATGAGTTCATGTCCCTCGTAGGGACATGGATGGAGCTGGAAACCATCATTCTCAGCAAACTATCGCAAGGACAAAAAACCAAACACCACATGTTCTCACTCATAGGTGGGAATTGAACAGTGAGAACACATGGACACAGGAAGGGGAACATCACACACTGGGGCCTGCTGTGGGGTTGGGGGAGTGGGGAGGGATGGCATTAGGAGATATACCTAATGTTAAATGATGAGTTAATAGATGAAGCACACCAACATGGCACATGTATACATATGTAACTAACCTGCACATTGTGCACATGTACCCTAAAACTTAAAGTATAATAAAAAAATAAAAATAAATAAATAAATAAATACCCCAAACCATAAAACTCTAGAGGAAAACCTAGGCAATACCATTCAGGATATAGGCATAAGCAAATATTTCATGACCAAAATGCTGAAAGCAATTGCAACAAAAGTCAAAATTGACAAATGGGATCTAATTAAATTAAAGAGCTTCTGCACAGCAAAAGAAACTATCATCAGAGTGAACAGGCAACCTACAGAATGGGAGAAAAATTTTGCAATCTACCCATCTGACAAAGGTCTCATATCCAGAAATGACACAGAACTTAAACAAATGTACAAGAAAAAAAACAAACAACCCCATCAAAAAGTGAGCAAAGGATATGAACATACACTTCTCAAAAGAAGACATTTAAGGTGATATTCTCTATCTATTTCTGATACTAATTCTTAAACAGCTACACTTTATTACTTTTATCTTCTTCCATTTTGTTGCTTGACTTTCACTATGCTTTGGTGTTTTTCATTGATACATATTTTAATTTTAATTTTAATATGGTAAGATTTAATAATTTTTTTGCCCTTTCTGTGTCTTGTTGAAAATAATTATTCTTAATGTCATAAGGTTAATTTATATATTTCTTCTAAAATGGGCGGCATTTTGCTTTTTTATATTTACGGCATGAATTGAGGAAATAATTTTAGTTTTAAATGGTTATACAATTGTACTATTTACTGAATAAGTTTATTTCAGGGCTAGATATTTTTATTCATTGACTGTCATATAGTTAATAGATGGGAGTTAAAGGATTCCATTTAAAATTAATATGCCAGATAATGAAAGGTTAGGTAAGAAAAAGAGGATTTAGTGTCATACAAAGTATTAATATAAAGGTAACTACTGGAATAAAAATATAAACCTCTATAAATACCAGAAAAAATTGTAAAAGGCCAAAAGAATATACCAAATACAGCAAGATAAACAATGAGTATGACAAAAATATAACATAGTATACACAGTAATCCTAATATAATATTACTGAATTGACAACAAACATAATACTTCTATCAGTCAATGTGAATGAGTTTAACTTCTCTATTAAAAGAGTTTTCAAGTAGGCTCATAAAGCAAAATTCAGCTCTATAAAAGAGATACACCTAAATCACAGTGATTCAAAAAAGCTAAAAAATAAAGGGATGGACAAATATTTGCCAAACAAATGGAAGTAATACAAAAAATAGGAATAGTGGTTGTGCTATCAGCTAAGTAGAATTCAATCCAAAAAGCATTATACAAAACAAAAAGACCACTTCACAAATGAAAAGCCGCATTCTACAATGAAGACATAACAGTTCTTTATATATACACATGAAATAACACAACAATTACCTTTATAAAACATAAATGACAAGAGAAATAGATAGAAATACAGTTTTTTTTTTTTTTTTGAGACAAAGTCTCACTCTGTTGCCCAGGCTGGAGTGCAGTGGCATAATCTCTGCTCACTGGGCTTAAAATATTTTCTGGTAAGAGGTTTATATTTTTATTCCAGTAGTTACCTTTATATTAATCTCTGCCTCTCAGGTTCAAGCAATTCTCCTGCCTCAGCCTCCCAAGTAGCTGGGATTACAGGCATGCACCACCATGCCTGGCTACTTTTTGTATTTTTAGTAGAGACAGGGTTTCACCATGTTGGCCAGGCTGGTCTGGAACTCCTGGCCTCTAGTGATCCACCAATCTCAGCTTTCCAAAGTGCTGGGATTACAGGCGTGAGCCACAGCACCTGGCCTACACTTTTAATAGAAGATTTTAATACAGCACTCTTAATACAAGGTAAGCCAAGTGCACAAAAGGTATAAAAGAATATAAAAGGTCTAGCAGTCTAATTAACAAGCTAACTCTTTAGGGTATATGTCTTAAACAACACATCCTGATAATGGAGAATACACCTTCTAAAGAGCACATGGAACATTTATAAAAATTAGACAATAATTCTGTTCCATTTGTTATTTGTCTATTCCTGAAACAAAACCACACTGTGTTGTCAATAAACCTTGACACCTGGTAAGGCAAATCTTTCCATCTTCTTGTTTCTCAAAATTGTCTAGATTCACAGATCCAAAGTAGTCAATGAAGCCTGAGCACAAGAAATGAAGAAAGTAACACCAAGGCAAACTAATCAAATCGTATAAAACCAGTGATAAAGAGAACAGCCTTAAAAATGGCTGGAGAAAAAAGACAGCACACACACAGAGCAATGATACGAATAACAGCAGATTTCTAGTTTGAAACAATGTAAGCCAGGTGACAACAAAGCAACATCCTAAAAGTATCAAAAGCAAAAATACCTGTCGACCTGGAATTACACACCTAGAAAAAAATACCTTTCAAAACCAAGGCAAAAAAAGACTTTTTCAGACATTCAGAAGCTGAAAAAGTCATCACCAGCAGAGCTGCACTATCAGAAATGTTAAAGGAAGTCCCTCGGGAAGAAGGAAACGACAGTAGATGGAAATCTGGATCCACACGAAGGAAGGAAGAGCAGCAAAATGGTAAAGATGTAAAGGCAGCAGGGGGAATGGTAGCCCCCAGAAAGATACGGGCATGTCCTAGTTCCCAGAACCTGGGAATGTTAGCTTATTTGGAAAAAAGGGTCTTTGTGATATAATTAAGTTAAGGATCTTGAGATGACATCATCCTGGATTATCTGGGTGGGCCCTAAATCCAATCACAATTGTCCTTATAAGTGTGAGGCAGGGGAAAGTAAGACAGAAGAGGAACAGAAGCAAACACACAGAGAAGAAGGTGATGTAAAGACAGAGGCAGGGATTGGAGAGCTGTGCTATAGGCCAAGGAGAGCCAAGGAGTGCCGGCAGCCAGCAGGAGCCAGGAGGGAGGCTTGGAGTGCATTCTCCTGGAGCCTCCAGAGAAAGTCTGATCCACCTGACACGTTGATTTAAGGCTCCAGGGCCCCAGAACTGTGAGAGAATAAATTTAATTTGCTGTATACCACCAAGTTTGTGAGAATTTGTTATGTCAGCCACAGGAAACTAATACAGTGGGTAAATCTAAAAGATTTTTTTCTTATTTTAAAAATTCTACTTCAGTGCGGGGTGGATCAAGCCTGTAATCCCAGCATTTTGGGAGGCCGAGGCAGGCAGATTACATGAGGTCAGCAGTTTGAGATCAGCCTGGCCAACATGGTGAAACCCATCTCTACTAAAAATGCAAAAATTAGCTGGGTGTGGTGTTGGACACCTGTAATCCCAGCTGCTTGGGAGGCTGAGGTGAAAGAATCGCTTGAACCCAAGAGGCAGAGGTTGTAGTGAGCTGAGATCATGCCACTGTTACCAGCCAGGGTAACAGAGCAAGACTGTGTCTCAAAAAAAAAAAATTATACTAGGAAGATAATAGACTGTCAAGCAGAAGTAATAATGCATTCTAAGGTTTACAACATATGCATAATTAAATATATAACAATTATGACACAAAGATCAGGAGAGGGTAAGTGGACAAATACTACTGTAAGGTTCTTACATGCAAGAAATGATATTATTATAATATTATTTTAAAATAACAAATATAAAAATGGAATTACACAAAATATTTAACATTCATAATTTATAATTAATTATATTTGAATAAAACAAAATTATTTAATCTTTCTAGCTACCCTAATTTAAAAAAAAAATTTAATGTTTACTTTATTTGACCCCTCCATGTAGTTTTCTATTATAATTAGTTGACTCTGTTTATCTGTAGAGCTGATTAGTTTCTGTGCTCTCCATTGTTTCTTTTATTCCATGCCTTCCTTCTTGATTCACTGTCCTTCCTTATACTGAGTCTTTCCCAAGATTTTTGTTTATGTTTGCTTGTTTTTTTACTTTTAGAGGCAAGTGATTGAAAAATTATCTTTTCTTTTCTGATATTTTAAAATGTCTTTTTTTGCCTCCTCTAAAGTGAAGTGTGCGTAGGTATACAGTTTGTCACTTCAACACTTCAAATGCATTACTTTATTTTATTCTAGCATCTATTGTTGCTGAGGAGAAGTCTGCTGTCAATCTGATTGCTTATTTCAAGCTCTGTCTTTGTTCTCTAGTAATGCCTGAAGGAGTCTTAGCTATTTTCTCTTTAACAACAACTTCTCTGCTGTGACTTCTATTTTCTCTTGAAGTCCCTATGAATATTTGTTGGATTGCCTTAAACTATTCTCCATATTTTCTTAACTTTCCTCTTAAAATTCATTATACCTCTTTCCCCTTCTGTTCTAAATTCTGGACACATTCCTCAGTGTCATCTTCTAATTTACACCATTTCTCTTCAAATATATCTAGTTTAGAATTTATATAATTCATTGGGTATTTCAGTGACTATAATTTTTATTTCTAATATTTGTTGATCTGATTTTTATTGTATGTATCTGTTCTTGTTTCATTTCACTGACTTTGCTTCCTAATTTTTATTTTTAACTGAAATTAGCTATTTAATTGTCTCAGATTTTAAACCTACTTTTCAAATCTTTCTTTCACTCTTAAATGCATTTTTGCTTGAGTAAATATTTATTCTGATAGATATTATTGGTCTTTCTTGGCTTTAGATTTCTTCAAGATGTTTAGAATTTGGGGTTTTAGGCTCACTTTAAGAGGGTCTAAATGGGTTGCTACACCTATTTTTTTTTTTTTCTCTCCATTCTCAGTACTCACTGACTCTGTCCAGCAATTGTATGGCTGCCTCTGTTCAGTACTCCCATTGGAGGTTCCCCAGTCTAGAAATTCTTGCCTTACACTGGCAGCTTAGAGTCCCTGCCCAGAAGGATGTCAGTTATAGAACTGATCCAGTCACAAGGCTGTGGAAGGCTTAATGCACGTCTTGCCACAGGCTGAGTCTGTGTCTTGACTCCTTGTCCCCCAGGTTCACAGGTTGCTGGGGCCATCACTGTGGCAGGCCATGGATCATTGGGGTTTTTCTTTAGGGTTTTTCATGAGCTAGGATGTCCTTTCCCAGGCCCTAGCATCAAGCATTAGGCTTTTTCTGGCCTCTCATCTTGCATGGAGCCCCTTAGTTCCATTATCCAACAGATGGCTTACTTCTGGACTTTCTGCCAGACACAGAGAGGAGCAGACACATGCCTTCAGCTTTGCTCATTTCCCTGCCTTTCTGTCTTATTTGAGGTATGCAGACATGTTTATATTGTGTTTGAGCCTGTTGGTATCCTTTTTGCTTTTAATTGTTTATCTATCATTGCTGATCATATGCAGCATTGGGGATATCAAATCAAACGTGTGAACATACTGATGGTCTTAATGGATGACCCAGAAGTGGCTTTTTAATGTACTAGTGTATGGTTGATCATTTGACCTTTTGAAACTAGGAAATAATTCTTAGTCTCTCACCTTTATGTCACTTAGGTTCAAGGATTTGGAGCCACCAGTCTTAGAACCACCGGCATAAGACATGGAATTTGAGAAATTTAGAACTGTCCTTCTTAAAATATCTTCCCCACAGCCTGGGGAAAAAAAAGCGCATCAATTTTAGTGTAAATTGAACACACAGTCAACCTGCTGACTGTGTGGGATGTGGAAGGATCTCACTTGAGACCCCAAAACTATCAACCCATTAGCATCTAACAGGAGAGTTTCACATTTGCCACTCTGACTTCCAGCACTGGGCAAACAGTGGCATCTGAGGGACAGGGAGATGTGGCAAGGTGGCTGAGTCAGCAAAGCTGTCAAACAGGATACACGAAGGGCCAGTTACAGATTCATGGTGACAGACTCCGGCACATCTGAGTCCTCTGGACATGGGGAACAACCAAAAAGCAGGTCACGGTGTGTATTTTCTGCATGTCAGGGGTATAGTCTCATATGTATTTCAGTGCACTTGTTCTCTCAATATGCAGCTGATGATTTGTGGTTTTTCAGCTAGATCAAGAAGTCCACCACACACATAAAATAATCATCTATTTCTTTCCAAAGATTAAGTTAATGGGTGCAATTTTTCAAAAAGTTGAAATTCTTTTTCCATCACATTTCCTTAAACTTTGGAGCTGGCAGCACCTCTCAACCACTGATCACTAGTTGAAGCTAAAGAGGCCAGGTCTCATCCAACATCAGCTTTGTGCAGCCTGCCAGCCTCATCTTGACAGTAGATTTGATCATTGGGCTCATGTTTATTATGTTTATTCTGCCAAAATGTGGTTTCTAAAAATGTGTTTTTGACAAAGGCAAGACCCACTTTAAAAGAGTATAGTTCTCTGTTTCCAAAATAATTTTCACAGAATGATAATCCTGTTAGCCATTTGTTGGAATTACCCAGAACTTTTCTGTTTTTCAAAAACTGGGGGGAAATGCTCGATTTCAAAAGGTTAAACTTTAAAATTTTTACTTTCGAAATGATCAACTTCTATGACACTCACATGTGTGGTATGATTCCTCGAGATAGGGATTGGGTGTTCCACTTTTCTAGACACATTTGATCATGGAAACCTTTTTCAGAGCACTTTCTGGAGCTTCTGTTCTGCAGAACCCTCTGTGGGAAATGCCATAAAGTCCTACAAAATGGTTGTGTGGTATTATTAAGAAGAATAATATTTCATGGTGTTCTGCAGAGAGTAAAGTACTGACTTCCAGGTGCCCTGCAATCCTAAATGTTTTGAGAACTAACTGTTAATTATTAAAATTCCCCTGGTGGCAGCGTGGAGTGTAGACTGCAGCAAAGCCACCTGGCAGGAGTTCCAGGAAGGTGGACGCTGCTGTAGGAAAATTATACAGTGTGAATTATGAAAGGCTGAAGTGCTCAAGAAGGGGGAATGGGTTTCAGAGAAGAATCAAGCAAAACCGTCTGATTGGATGTGAGCAGTTATGAGAGGGGGAACCAAGGATTGATTGATTGATTCACTCATTCATTCATTCATTCATTCAATAAATGTTTTTTGAGCACCTATCCTGTGCCAGGCATTATTGTTCTGGGTCCTGTGGGTATATCAGTAAACAAGAGATAAAAATTCTTGACCTCTTGGAATTTATATCTTTCTTGTGCTTTAGGGCGACTGGGTGGGGAGCTATTCATGGAGAGAGGACATCTGAGGAGAAGCAGCCTTGATGGGCAGTGTGGGGGAATCTGGCACTCTGGAGGATGCAGGGGCTTCAGACATCCAGGTGGAGATGTCGATGAGATGTAAGCCGGAGCTCAGAGAGAGCTCTGAGCTCAACATAGAATTCACATACACGGGTAGGAATGGAAGCCATGAGAACATTTACAGTGCCCAAGAGTGAGAGTCAGTGGAGTGAAACATGAAAAGAGTCAAAGAACTTGTTTTTAACAAGAGAGGAGTGAAGAAGGGGCCAGGAAGCACAAAGAAGTTTTTCAATAAAAATCTAGTGGATGAAAATAAATAAGTCTCAGCCTGAGAGACAGACAATAAACCAGGAGAGAGTCACGCTAGGAAGACAAAAATAGAAAAGAGTTTCACAAAAGAGAGTGAAGTCAGCCAAACACAACAGCATTAAATTAGGCCAAGGGCCATGGGAAAAAATAGGAACATGTCTTTTTATCCTGCTTTAACTACTGACTTCCCTTTAGTTCTCCTGGGGTGTCCTCCAGAACCCCCAGTTTATTATAAACGAATTTTCCTATAGCCTTAACCTCTTCATGGTCACTCTATTCATTTTCTGACTCATCTAAAATCTGGGTCTCTGCTTTCACCTCCAGTGTCTTGCAAGGATACTGTTTCTGGAGGTTTTCTCGAGGGGAGGCAGCTCGTTCTCCTACACCCCAGCTCTCCTTGGATCCAGAGGTGATCCAAGCACTTCTCCTTGTGCTGTCTACTGACCTGAAGGTTATTCAAATATTAAAATATTGGCACCTGACTTCCATTTTGAATTTTCACTTCAAGTTTACCTCACTGTGGACCTAAATGTCCCTGCTCATAAAACCTCTAGCCTCAAGGTTCCTTCTCCTTGATTATCACCTCTTTCACTCACACTCCACTCCTACAGGCTGCTCTGTGGCCCAGCCCTGGATTTTAAGATTGCTGAGCATTCTCCCATTTGTGATTTCGTGAACCCCCAGCCCTTAATTCAGTCTCCTGCTCTCACAGCCTCTTTTCCCCTCATGCTCCTACCTCACCATGAGGGTGCACCCCAGGGCAGGGGCTTATAGTCCCAGCTCTTGAGATTCAGCACACCCTGCTTGGAATCTGGGTCCTTGCTCTTTTCCCTAGTCTAGTTCCTCACCCTGTGATTCCTCTTACATACTGGTCTCTTCTAAAGCCCACTAAAATTATAATCTGATGATGACACTGCTTTGTTAAAATCTATTCAATGGTTCTCCATTCTCTATAGAGCAAAATGCAAACCTTGCAGCAGGACAAGCGCTTCCAGCAGGACATAGGAGATTCTTCATGACTTGATATCCACCCACTCCTCTGGCCTCACACTTTCCATGCCCTCCCTCCCTCTGTGTCCCCCAAAACACCTATACTATATGCCAGCCACACATCTATCCCATATCACCAGTACTGCCAGAAAAGCCTCTCCCACCCCCATCTACCATCCTTTCTTCTCAACCCTTCTGATACCTACACAACCCTCAAAGCCTAGTTCTGGCTTCACAGTCTCTGTACCTGAACCAAGAGCTATAATTCATTGACTATCTCAGTTTCCCCAGTGTATCCACTGTATCCCAGGCAGGCCTCAGTCACGGATCCTGTGGGGCTACAATGCATTCTGGTGTCTCTTTCTCTGTCTCTCACTAGATGTCAACCTTTTTTTGAGAACAAATCTGTGTTTACTTCATCCCTTATACCTCAGAACCTGGCCGGTGTAGTGGTCATCAATAAATATTTGATGAATGAATTAAGATTTATGTAAGTGAGAAATTACAAATTCTGATTAGGTGTGTTAGCTAATAAACTTGGAATCAAAAGGCTCAGATTCAAATTCCACTTCCACCATTTGCTATTTTGTGACCTGGGACAAGCCACTGGTAATAACAGTATCATTCACTGAGTCTTATCCCATGTTAGGCACTATCTCATTCCAGCCTGATGGTAATTCCGCTGTCATCCTCATTTTGTTGAGGATTAGACAATGGTACTTCATAGTGAGTATTACAGCTGTAATAGGGCAGAGCTGAGACTCACACATAAGCTAAAGTCCAAAAACCTATGGGTGTTACCATTCTGTCCTATGGCCTGGATAATTCTTTTTTTTTTTCTTTTTCTTTTTTTTTTTAAATTTTTTTTTATTATACTTTAAGTTCTAGGGTACCTGTGCACAACATGCATGTTTGTTTCATATGTATACATGTGCCATGTTGGTGTCCTGTACCCATTAACTTGTCATTTACATTAGGTATATCTCCTAATGCTATACCTCCCCCACCCCCCACCCCACAACAGGACCCAGTGTGTGATGTTCCCCTTCCTGTGTCCAAGTGTTCTCATTGTTCAATTCCCACCTCTGAGTGAGAACATGCGGTGTTTGGTTTTTTGTCCTTGCGATAGTTTGCTGAGAATGATGGTTTCCAGCTTCATCCATGCCCCTACAAAGGACATGAACTCATCCTTTTTTATGGCTGCATAGTATTCCATGGTGTATATGTGCCACATTTTCTTAATCCAGTCTATCATTGTTGGACATTTGGGTTAGTTCCAAGTCTTTGCTATTGTGAATAGTGCCGCAGTAAACATACGTATGCATGTGTCTTTATAGCAGCATGATTTATAATCCTTTGGGCATATACCCAGTAATGGGATGGCTGGGTCAAATGGTATTTCTAGTTCTAGATCCCTGAGGAATTGCCACACTGTCTTCCACAATGGTTGAACTAGTTTACAGTCCCACCAACAGTGTAAAAGTGTTCCTATTTCTCCACATCCTCTCCAGTACCTGTTGTTTCCTGACTTTTTTAAAGATCGCCATTCTAACTGGTGTGAGATGATATCTCATTGTTTTTTTGATTTGCATTTCTCTGATTACCAGTGATGATGAGCATTTTTTCATGTGTCTTTTGGCTGCATAAATGTCTTCTTTTGAGAAGTGTCTGTTCATATCCTTTGCCCACTTTTTGATGGGGTTTGTTTTTTTCTTGTAAATTTGTTTGACTTCTTTGTAGATCCTGGATATTAGCCCTTTGTCAGATGAGTAGATTGCAAAATTTTTCTCCCATTCTGTTGGTTGCCTGCTCACTCTGATGGTAGTTTCTTTTGCTGTGCAGAAGCTCTTTAGTTTAATTAGATCCCATTTGTCAATTTTGGCTTTTGTTGCCATTGCTTTTGGTGTTTTAGACATGAAGTCCTTGCCCATGCCTATGTTCTGAATGGTATTGCCTAGGTTTTCTTCTAGGGTTTTTATGGTTTTAGGTCTAATGTTTAAGTCTTTAATCCATCTTGAATTAATTTTTGTATAAGGTGTAAGGAAGGGATCCAGTTTCAGCTTTCTTCATATGGCTAGCCAGTTTTCCCAGCACCATTTGTTAAACAGGGAATCCTTTCCCCATTTCTTGTTTTTGTCAGGTTTGTCAAAGATCAGATAGTTGTAGATGTGTGGTATTATTTCTGAGGGCTCTGTTCTGTTCCATTGGTCCATATCTCTGTTTTGGTACCAGCACCATGCTGTTTTGGTTACTGTAGCCTTGTAGTATAGTTTAAATTCAGGTAGCATGATGCCTCCAGCTTTGTTCTTTTGGCTTAGGATTGACTTGGCAATGCGGGCTCTTTTTTGGTTCCATATGAACTTTGAAGTAGTTTTTTCCAATTCTGTGGAGAAGGTCTTTGGTAGCTTGATGGGGATGGCACTGAATCTATAAATTACCTTGGGCAGTATGGCCATTTTCACAATATTGATTCTTCCTATCCATGAGCATTGAATGTTCTTCCATTTGTTTGTGTCCTCTTTTATTTCGTTGAGCAGTGGTTTGTAGTTCTCCTTGAAGAGGTCCTTCACATCCCTTGTAAGTTAGATTTCTAAGTATTTTATTCTCTTTAAACAATTGTGAATGGGAGTTCACTCATGATTTGGCTCTCTGTTTGTCTGTTATTGGTGTATAAGAATACTTGTGATTTTTGCACATTGATTTTGTATCCTGAGACTTTGCTGAAGTTGCTTATCAGCTTAAAGAGATTTTGGGCTGAGACGATGGGGTTTTCTAGATATACAATCATGTCATCTGCAAACAGGGACAATTTGATCCTCTCTTCCTAATTGAATACCCTTTATTTCTTTCTCCTGCCCGATCGCCCTGGCCAGAACTTCCAACACTATGTTGAATAGGAGTAGTGAGAGAAGGCATCCCTCTCTTGTGCCAGTTTTCAAAGGGAATGCTTCCAGTTTTTGCCCATTCAGTATGATACTGGCTGTGGGTTTGTCATAAATAGCTCTTATTATTTTTGGATAGGTCCCATCAATACCTAATTTATTGAGAGTTTTTAGCATGAAGGGCTGTTGAATTTTGTCGAAGGCCTTTTCTGCATCTATTGAGACAATCATGTGGTTTTTGTTGTTGGTTCTGTTTATATGCTGGATTACGTTTATTGATTTGCATATGTTGAACCAGCCTTGCATCCCAGGGATGAAGCCCACTTGATCATGATGGATAAGCTTTTTGATGTGCTGCTGGATTCAGTTTGCCAGTATTTTATTGAGGATTTTTGCATCGATGTTCATCAGGGATGTTGGTCTAAAATTCTCTTTTTTTGTTGAGTCTCTGCCAGACTTTGGTATCAGGATGATGCTGGCCTCATAAAATGAGTTAGGGAGGATTCCCTCTTTTTCTGTTGATTGGAATAGTTTGAGAAGGAATGGTACCAGCTTCTCCTTGTACCTCTGGTAGAATTCGGCTGTGACTCTGTCTGGTCCTGGACTTTTTTTGTTTGGTAAGCTATTAATTATTGCCTCAATTTCCAAGCCTATTATTGGTCTATTAAGAGATTCAACTTCTTCCTGGTTTAGTATTGGGAGGGTGTATGTGTCGAAGAATTTATCCATTTCTTCTAGATTTTCTAGTTTATTTGCATAGAGGTGTTTATAGTATTCTCTCATGGTAGTTTGTATTTCTGTGGGATCAGTGGTGATATCACCTTTATCATTTTTTATTGCATTTATTTGATTCTTCTGTCTTTTCTTCTTTATTAGTCTTGCTAGTGGTCTATCAATTTTGCTGATCTTTTCAAAAAACCAGCTCCTGGATTCACTGATTTTTTTGAAGGTTTTCTTGTGTCTCTATCTCCTTCAGTTCTGCTCTGATCTTAGTTATTTCTTGCCTTCTGCTAGTTTTTGAATGTGTTTGCTCTTGCTTCTCTAGTTCTTTTAATTGTGATGTTAGGGTGTCAATTTTAGATCTTTCCTGCTTTCTCTTGTGGGCATTTAGTGCTATAAATTTCCCTCTACACGCCGCTTTAAATGTGTCCCACAGATTCTGATATATTGTGTCTTTGTTCTCGTTGGTTTCAAAGAACATCTTTATTTCTGCCTTCATTTCGTTATGTACCCATTAGTCATTCAGGAGCAGGTTGTTCATTTTCCATGTAGTTGAGCAGTTTTGAGTGAGTTTCTTAATCCTGAGCTCTAGTTTGATTGCACTGTGGTCTGAGAGACAGCTTGTTACAATTTCTATTCTTTTACATTTGCTGAGGAGAGCTTTACTTCCAAGTATGTGGTCAATTTTGGAATAAGTGCGATGTGGTGCTGAGAAGAATGTATATGCTGTTGATTTGGGATGGAGAGTTCTGTAGACGTCTATTAGGTCCACTTGGTGTAGAGCTGAATTTAATTCCTGGATATCCTTGTTAACTTTCTGTCTCGTTGATCTGTCTAATGTTGACAGTGGGGTGTTAAAGTCTCCCATTATTATTGTGTGGGAGTCTAAGTCTCTTTGTAGGTCTCTAAGGACTTCCTTTATGAATCTGGGTGCTCCTGTATTGGGTGCATGTATATTTAAGATAGTTAGCTCTTCTTGTTGAATTGATCCCTTTACAATTATGTAATGGTCTTCTTTGTCTCTTTTGATCTTTGTTGGTTTAAAATCTGTTTTATCAGAGACTAGGATTGCAACCCCTGCCTTTTTTTGTTTTCCATTTGCTTGGTAGATCTTCTTCCATCCCTTTATTTTGAGCCTATGTGTGCCTCTGCATGTGAGATGGGTTTCCTGAATACAGCACACTGATGGGTCTTGACTCTTTATCCAATTTGCCAGTCTGTGTCTTTTAATTGGAGCATTTAGCCCATTTACATTTAAGGTTAATATTGGTTTTTTTTTTCTGGTTAAATAAAAAGTTTTATTATAATAAATCTCACCTGTTTCTACTTTTCTTTTTTTTTATATATATATTATACTTTAAGTTTTAGGGTACATGTGCACATTGTGCAGGTTAGTTACATATGTATACATGTGCCATGTTGGTGTGCTGCACCCACTAACTCGTCATCTAGCATTAGGTATATCTCCCAATGCTATCCCTCCCCCCTCCCCCAACCCCACCACAGACCCCAGAGTGTGATATTCCCCTTCCTGTGTCCATGTGATCTCATTGTTCAATTCCCACCTATGAGTGAGAATATGCGGTGTTTGGTTTTTTGTTCTTGCGATAGTTTACTGAGAATGATGGTTTCCAGTTTCATCCATGTCCCTACAAAGGACATGAACTCATCATTTTTTATGGCTGCATAGTATTCCATGGTGTATATGTGGCACATTTTCTTAATCCAGTCTATCATTGTTGGACATTTGGGTTGGTTCCAAGTCTTTGCTATTGTGAATAATGCCGCAATAAACATACGTGTGCATGTGTCTTTATAGCAGCATGATTTATAGTCCTTTGGGTATATACCCAGTAATGGGATGGCTGGGTCAAATGGTATTTCTAGGTCTAGATCCCTGAGGAATCACCACACTGACTTCCACAATGGTTGAACTAGTTTACGGTCCCACCAACAGTGTAAAAGTGTTCCTATTTCTCCACATCCTCTCCAGCACCTGTTGTTTCCTGACTTTTTAATGATTGCCATTCTAACTGGTGTGAGATGATATCTCATAGTGGTTTTGATTTGCATTTCTCTGATGGCCAGTGATGATGAGCATTTTTTCATGTGTTTTTTGGCTGCATAAATGTCACAAGCATTCTTATACAGCAACAACAGACAAACAGAGAGCCAAATCATGAGTGAACTCCCATTCACAATTGCTTCAAAGAGAATAAAATACCTAGGAATCCAACTTACAAGGGATGTGAAGGACCTCTTCGAGGAGAACTACAAACCACTGCTCAAGGAAATAAAAGAGGATACAAACAAATGGAAGAACATTCCATGCTCATGGGTAGGAAGAATCAATATCGTGAAAATGGCCATACTGCCCAAGGTAATTTACAGATTCAATGCCATCCCCATCAAGCTACCAATGACTTTCTTCACAGAATTGGAAAAAACTACTTCAAAGTTCATATGGAACCAAAAAAGAGCCCCCATCGCCAAGTCAATCCTAAGCCAAAAGAACAAAGCTGGAGGCATCACACTACCTGACTTCAAACTATACTACAAGGCTACAGTAACCAAAACAGCATGGTACTGGTACCAAAACAGAGATATAGATCAATGGAACAGAACAGAGCCCTCAGAAATAACGCCGCATACCTACAACTATCTGATCTTTGACAAACCTGAGAAAAACAAGCAATGGGGAAAGGATTTCCTATTTAATAAATGGTGCTGGGAAAACTGGCTAGCCATATGTAGAAAGCTGAAACTTGATCCCTTCCTTACACCTTATACAAAAATCAATTCAAGATGGATTAAAGATTTAAACGTTAGACCTAAAACCATAAAAACCCTAGAAGAAAACCTAGGCATTACCATTCAGGACATAGGCATGGGCAAGGACTTCATGTCCAAAACACCAAAAGCAATGGCAACAAAAGCCAAAATTGACAAATGGGATCTCACTAAACTAAAGAGCTTCTGCACAGCAAAAGAAACTACCATCACAGTGAACAGGAAACCTACAATATGGGAGAAAATTTTCACAACCTACTCATCTGACAAAGGGCTAATATCCAGAATCTACAATGAACTCAAACAAATTTACAAGAAAAAAACAAACAACCCCATCAAAAAGTGGGCGAAGGACATGAACAGACACTTCTCAAAAGGTTAATATTGTTATGTGTGAATTTGATCCTGTCATTATGATGTTAGCTGGTTATTTTGCTCATTAGTAGATGCAGTTTCTTCCTAGCATCAATGGTCTTTACAATTTGGCATTTTTTTTTTTTTTGCAGTGGCTGATACCAGTTGTTCCTTTCCATGTTTAGTGCTTCCTTCAGGAGCTCTTGTAGGGCAGGCCTGGTGGTGACAAAATCTCTCAGCATTTGCTTGTCTGTAAAGTATTTTATTTCTCCTTCACTTATGAAGCTTAGTTTGGCTGGATATGAAATTCTGGGTTGAAAATTCTTTTCTTTAAGGATGTTGAATATTGGCCCCCACTCTCTTCTTGCTTGTAGAGTTTCTGCTGAGAGATCAGCTGTTAGTCTCATGGGCTTCCCTTTGTGGTAACCTGACCTTTCTCTCTGGCTGCCCTTAACATTTTTTCCTTCATTTCAACTTTGGTGAATCTGACAATTATGTGTGTTGGAGTTGCTCTTCTCGAGGAGTATCTTTGTGGCGTTCTCTGTATTTCCTGAATTTGAATGTTGGCTTCCCTTGCTAGATTGGGGAAGTTCTCCTGGATAATATCCTGCAGAGTGTTTTCCAACTTGGTTCCATTCTCCCCGTCACTTTCAGGTACACCAATCAGATGTAGATTTGGTCTTTTCACATAGTCCCATATTTCTTGGAGGCTTGTTCGTTTCATTTTATTCTTTTTTCTCTAAACTTCTCTTCTCACTTCATTTCATTCATTTAATCTTCAATCACTGATACCCATTCATCCAGTTGATCGAATCGGCTACTGAAACTTGTGCATTCGTCATATAGTTCTTGTGCCATGGTTTTCAGCTCCATCAGGTCCTCTGAGGACTTCTCTGCATTGGTTATTCTAGTTGGCCATTCGTCTAACCTTTTTTCAAGGTTTTTAACTTCTTTGTGATGGGTTTGAACTTCCTCCTTTAGCTCGGAGAATTTTGATTGTCTGAAGCCTTCTTCTCTCAACTCATCAAAGTCATTCTCCATCCAGGCTTTCTTCCGTGGCTGGTGAGGAGCTGCGTTCCTCAGTTGGAAATGCAGAAATCACCCATCTTCTACGTCGCTCACACTGGGAGCTGTAGACCAGAGCTGTTCCTATTCGGCCATCTTGGAACCGTCCCCTTGGCCTGGATAATTCTAATCTGACTCTAGCAACAGCTTCTGGTCTACTTTAGTGGGTTGTTGTGAGGATGAAAACAAGTTAATATGTATCACAGCATAGTGTTATGCAAATTTTACTTCTTCTTATATATTTTAAGTCATTAATTCACCAGCCCTACCTCTGATCCCTTAAGAAGTTAATTGTTTGACCACCTTAATAGCTTAAAAGTATCTGTTAAATAGAATTGAGATTCAACACAGGATTGAAGCAAATTACAGTTTCTGGTAAAGTTAAACTGTTCTAATTTATTATTATTATGAGTTTCATTGTTATTATTACCAAACAGAAGCCAAAAATTATTTCTGGCTCAGAAATAGAAAGAGCAAACTATTTCTCGAGCCCAAGACACAAAGACCATCCCTCCCCAAGGCTCAGAGGTGGCATAATAAAGAGCTCCTGGAGTAATCTTCCCTGCATTGCATTGTTAAAGCTCTCCTACCTCTCCTACGGGATGCCCATGGGCTGTAATTGCTCTAGTTTGACTTGGCCTGTCGAGCTACCTGAATTAAGTGAGTGAATTGAAATTTTTAGTGGAATCATCTGGGAAGTAACCTTTAACCCTCCCCAGTGCTCAGCCCAGCCCACTGCTCATTACAGTGGAGACCCCATCACCTCCACCCACCTCCTTTTAGGAGAGTGCACTCATCTCTTTCTCTGTGCTGGAACCTGGCACAGCTCTTACTGAATGATGGTGAAGAAATGCAGGCAGCCAATGGTACTCTCTGTGCCTGAGCACCAGGGCCTCAAAACCCAGCTTTTTAACATCAACCTGCTCAGGGATGGGGCCACACTTTGAATTAATCATCCTTGGACTCTAGGTTAGAAGCCCAGAGTTTAATTCCCCTTCTGCCACTTACTAGTTCTGTGGAATTTAGCAAATCATGTACACTCTTGGACCCCCAGTTTCTTCACTGTGTCTGAATTATTCATAGTAAAGAAGTCAACAGACAGGGGCAGGGGAGTAACAGTAAAGTGTAAGGCTGGCTCAGTTCCAATCTCATGCACAGCACCCCTTTCCTTCATCACTCAACAGACATGTATTACGTGCTGACTGTGTGCCAGGTACTGTGTTAGGTGGAGGGAAGATTAGGTTGAAGAAAACATTATTTCATCCCTTGATTCATATTTATACACTCATACATACACATCAAGAGGTATTATAATAATCTAGAATGAGAGGTGAACAAATGAATTATAACAGAATGTGGTTAGTACAGTGATAGAGATAAGAGTAGAACATACATGGGCCTAAGGAAGAGGAGCGTTTCCTAATTTAGACAGGGAGGGGGTTGGAGAGGCTTTCTGGAAGGGTGATGCCTGACTTAGGTTTTAAGAGCTGAATCAGAATTTGGGATGGGAGAAAGACAGTGTCTTTAAGCATGAGTGAGTAGCAAGAAAACTTGGCAAAGGTGCAAAAGGTGTGTGCAGTGTGCTGAGGACATGGAAAACTGTGTGCAGGTATAGGGACGTCACTACAAGGTTTGAAATTGGGATGTTCTGCAAAGAGCTCTAAACTTTTAAAACATTACACTTGAGACTGTAAAGTTAGGGGTGACCACACTTGGAGGCAAGGAGACAAGTCAAATAAGCTTTTGCATTGACTGAGGCAAGAGCTGATGAGAAAAGTGACAGTAGAAATGGAAGAGATAGGCTTCTTTTTAAATTAGCAGAATAAAAATAAGCAGCCAAAATAAAACATTAAGGACAGGAGCAACAGGGAGGAGAGGCACTAGCTATTTTGGTCTTTGGCCTCATAAGACTGGTCCTACTAGCAGCCTCTTGGAAAGTGTCTTCCTGTGGTCCCCTGCTCTCCAGTGGTTAACTTCTGGGCAACATATACACACACACACACACACATGCACACACATGCACACATACACATGGATGCATGTGTGTATATGTGACACATGTATCATGTGAATGTAGGCACTCACACATACACATACACATAAGAACATACATATATTGAGCAATCTACACACACATACATGAATACACACAAGCACCTGCACAAATGCATACATGCACAGGCACAAACCCATACGCGCACACATATACATCAATCCATTTAAAGAAAATATTCTTATTATTTCTACTTTCCAGATAAGAAAACAGAGGCACAGAGGTTAAGTGACTGCCCACAGTCACACAACTATTACACGACAGAGCCAGGATTTGAACACAAATAATCTTCTTTCTCCAAGCTCTCTGCATCTAACCTCCATATAAAATCACCTCCAGAAGCAAAACACAGGTCACCTACAAAATAAAAAAATCATACTAGTTGTATTAGTTCATTTTCATGCGGCTGATAAAGACAAACCTGAGACTGGGAAGAAATACAGGTTTAATTGGACTTACAGTTCCACATGACTGGGGAGGCCTCAGAATCATGGCAGGAGGCAAAAAGCACTTCTTACATGGTGGCGGCAAGAGAAAATGAGGAAGAAGCAAAAGCAGAAAACCCTGATAAACCCATCAGCTATTGTGAGACTTATTCACTATCACAAGAATAGCATGGGAAAGATCAGCCCCCATGATTCAATTACCTCCCCCTAGGTCCCTCCCACAATGTGTGGGAATTCTGGGAGATACAATTCAAGTTGGCATTTGAATGTGGACACAGTCAAACCATATCATTATGCCCCTGACCCCTCCAAATCTCATGTTCTCAGACTTCAAAACCAATCTTGCCTTCCCAACAGTCCTCCAAAGTCTTAACTCATTTCAGCATTAACCCAAATGTCCACAGTCCAAAGTCTCATCTGAGACAAGGCAAGTCCCTTCCACCTATGAGCCTGTAAAATCAAAAACAAACTAGCTACCTCATAGATACAATGGGGGTATAGGTATTGGATAAATACAGCCATTCCAAATGGGAGAAATTGGCCAAAAAAAGGGGGGTTACAGGGCCCGCGCAAGTCTGAAATCCAGTGGTGCAGTCAAATTTTAAAGCTCCAAAATGATCTCCTTTAACTCCAGGTCTCACATCCAGGTCACGCCGATGGAAGAAGTGGATTCCTATGGTCTTGGGCAGCTCTGTCCCTGTGGCTTTGCAGGGTACAGCCTCCCTCCTGGCTGCTTTCATGGGCTGGCATTGAGTACCTGTGGCTTTTCAAGGCACACAGTGCAAGCTGTTGGTGGATCTACCATTCTGGGGTCTGGAGGATGGTGGTTCTCTTCTCACAGCTCCACTAAGCAGTGCCCCAGTAGGGACTCTCTGTGGGGGTTCTGACCCCACATTTCCCTTCCACACTGCCCTAGCAGAGATTCTCCAAGAGGGCCTCAACCCTGCAGCAAACTTTTGCCTGGGCATCCAGGCATTTCCATACATTTTCTGAAATCTAGCTGGAGATTCCCAAACCTCAATTCTTGACTTCTGTGCACCCACAAGCTCAACCCCACGTGGAAGCTGCCAAGGCCTGGGGCTTCCATCCTCTGAAGCCACAGCCCGAGTTCTATGTTGGCCCCTTTCAGCCATGGCTGGAGCGGCTGGGACACAGGGCACCAAGTCCCTAGGCTGCACACAGCATGGGGACCTTGGGCCCAGCCCAAGAAACCACTTTTTCCTCCTGGTCCTCCAGGCCTGTGATGGGAGGGGCTGCTGTGAAGATCTCTGACATGGCCTGGAGACATTTTCCCCCTGGTCTTGGAGATTAACATTAGGGTCCTTGCTACTTATGCAAATTTCTGCAGCCAGCTTGATTTCTTCCCAGAAAATGGGTTTTTCTTTTCTATTACATTGTCAGGCTGCAAATTTTCTGAACTTTTATGCTCTGCTACCCTTATAAAACTGAATGCCTTTAACGGTACCCAAGTCACATCTTGAATGCTTTGCTGCTTAGAAATTTCTTTGCCAGATACTCTAAATCATCTCTCTCAAGTTCAAAATTCCACAAATCTCTAGGATGGGGTAAAATGCCACCATTCTCTTTACTAAAGTATAACAAGAGTCACCTTTGCTCCAGTTCCCAACAAGTTACTCATCTCCATCTGAGATCACTTCAGCCTGGATCTTATTGTCCATATCGCTATCAGCATTTTGGGCAAAGCCATTCAACAAGTCTTAGGAAGTTCCAAACTTTCCCACATTTTCCTCTCTTCTTCTGAGCCCTCCAAACTGTTCCAACCTCGGCCTGTTACCTAGTTCCTAAGTCGCTTCCACATTTTTGGGTATCTCTTCAGCAGTGCCCCACTCTACTGATATCAATTTACTGTATTCGTTTGTTTTCATACTGCTGATAAAGACATACCAAAGATTGGGAAGAAATACAGTTTAATTGGACTTACAGTTTCACATGGCTGAGGAGGCCTCAGAATCATGGCGGGAGGCAAAAAGCACTTCTTACATGGTGGCAGCAAGAGAAAATGAGGAGGAAGCAGAAGTGGAAACCCCTGATAAACCCATCAGATCTCATGAGACTTATTCACTATCATGAGAATAGCATGGGAAAGACTGGCCCCCATGATTCAACTACCTCTCCCTAGGTCCCTCCCACAACACATGGGAATTCTGGGAGATACAATTCAAGTTGAGATTTGAATGGAGACACAGCCAAACCATATCACCAGTCTCAATATCCCCTTTGTAATCCACACAATTTGGCGACCCCAAAATTAAAAAAAAAATTAATAATATCTAGAGTTTTGATAAAAAGATGTTTCCAATCCAATAATGTTACACATAACAAATTTGTCTTTCCAGTGTAAAAGCAAAAGAAAGTTATTCTAGTTATGCAAGTACCAATCCTGAAAGATTTAGTGGAAGCTATACTTTTACCAGCTAAAGGAAGAAGCAAATTAAGAGTCCAATAATTATAAAATCAAGATATGAGTGGACTGACGGCTAGTCCTGAAATGAATTATAATAGAGAAAAATCTAAATAATTGAGAATATATACAAAACTAAATACCAATTTCAAAAGCCATTATTATAAATGTTTTTTGATATGTTAGAAATGATAATTCTAACATATCAAATAACAATTCCATTATTTTAAAACCCCAGATTATATATATATATTCAAAAGATAATATTTTATCCTTAAAAATAGATTGAAGAGTACATAGAAAAACTTAATGTTAACTACCAAATGAAGAATTGAGTAAACACTTTTCCAACCTCAGGACAAGATAAAAGTAAAGACATCTTTGCCCTTATAGTAAAAAATCTAAAGCAAAGTAAAAACAAACAAAAAACCTAAGCCTAGCTAACCAAGAGCATTACAAAGAATGAGAAAAATTAAAGCATTATAGAACTAAATATAAATAGATAAAATTTCCTATTATGAGGAAAGAACACTAGAACTCTGGTAAATAAATAAATAAATAATATTTTTAATGTCATCCTGAAACAAGTGATACAAAAGGTTGAAAAGCAGAAAAATGGGCAAATATATGTAAGCAAGTGTAAATCTTAAATGTGTATTGCAATATTGATAGTTGAAAAACTAGAAATCAAGGCCAAAAAAGCACTGAAACATATGAATTTAACGTTAGGATAAAAATTTAAATCAACTGCTATGAAGAAAGATTTGAATTTGATATTAATAAACTGAAAATTTGCAGTGAAAAGATAATAGTCATCAATCGTTGTGTATTGAAAAATATTGCATCAAGATATGTAAGGTGCAAACTATTAGAAATAACTTGTAGAAGAATAAATTTACAAAAGCACAATGGTGGTGGGAAGTTTGAACATACCTTTGTAAATACTAGACATATTAAATAAGCTGCAAAGCAAGCATATTGATGATATAAATAATATATTACAAGAGAATATTAATATATTTTATACATATGTATTTATGCATATGTGTACATTTCTATATAATTTGAAATCGGTACTCCAAGAGCAAAGATTACACAATTCTTTTCAATGGCCCATGCTACACCTACAATATACTCATCATATATCATTTATAAGTCCACAAAAAAAGATGAGATAAAAATCGTACAAGCCACAGTGAATACACTTAAACTTAATTTCATAATTTATATTGAATGTCCCAAACACTTTGAAAGATTTTAAAATCCACTCTCCTAAATAATTCTTAGATCAAAGAAGAAATAACATTTTTCATTTGCATATAATTTTGAAAACAACAGTAATAATAAGAAGACTCCAGGTTAATACATATTGGATGCATCTAAAACTAATCTCAAGGAAAATCTAATGAATCTCAAATGCTTTCAACGTTAAACACAAATGAATGAAAACAACTGAATCCCCTAGTTTTAACTAAATAACTAAATCGAGAAATCATTAATAAATATAACGAAAAATGAAAAACTAGTAAAGTTAAGCATAAGTTACTAAATTATAAAATAAAATCTGTAGAACTGATAAAAAATAAATCTAACAGCAGATTATATGCCTAGTAAATAAAATAGCTAATCAGGAAATACATAAAATTAAGAGTTGAGAAAGGTGCATAATCAAAAATAGAGATTTTTTAAAAATCAGTTTTCAAAAGGCTGGAATTTTAGAAAATAATTTTCTAGAAGAATATAAATCATCCAACCTGACTCAAGATTGAAGAAGACCTAAACTGATAACCTGGCCAGGAGGAGTGGGGTGGTAAGTCGGAAATATTTTCAAAGAATTGAATACCTTCAATGACAGCATCAGACCCAGAGAGTTTTATAGGCAAAAGGAATTCAAACTTTTAAGAGACAGAAAACTTCTATATGTATTCACATAAGTCAATATATAATATATATGAAATCATTAGTATATATATGAAAGTTTTCTGATCCATTTTTTAAAAGCTAGAACAAGTACCTGCTTTCGAAAAACACATCCTGACAAAAGTAACCTTGAAAATAAAGTATAAACCAAGCTCCCTTTTTAATATAGAGGTAAAAGCAATTTTAAGTAAAATTGAAAGTACATTTTAGTAATTCAACTAAATTTATTTCAAGATTAGAATCTATCATATTATTTCATTAGAGGATAAAATTCACACTTGATGGAGGATTTTAAAAAGTGTTTTATAAAACTTAACTGGGCATAGGAGAATGTTATTTTAACATGAAAATGAGTGTATCTCTTCGGCAGGGCTTAAGCTGCTTGCTGAAAATGTAGAGACATGAGCCTCATCCTAACCTCTGCACCTGAAACATGAATTCTCAGATTCTGTATTGTTAACAAAAATACAATTAATTCTCATAAACGCCAAAGTTTGAGAACCACTAATCTCAATAAAACTAGCGAATGGCATAGTTAACATTGAAATAAGAGTAGCTTTCCCCCATTAAATTCAGGGAAAATATAAGGGTATATGCTCTCAGCCTAGTTAATTATCTCAACTCTGAAAATAAAAGATGTAAATATTTGAAAATAATATCTAACCACTATTATTTGAATTATTATCATTATCATTCTGGTAAGCTCCAATGAATTAAAGATCCTTCATAATGAATAAGAGCATTCAGTAAGTTGGACAAAAACTGAGTATATAAAAATGAATAACTTTCTTATATACTGGCAATAACTGGCTAGAAAAACAATGGGGAGAAAGTATTCAGTTTATAATAGAATAAAATAAATGTGTAAGAATAAACTTATCAAAAATTATTTAGGGCCTTTATAAAGAAGACCTTAAAACTTTACAAAGGCACATAAAAGCATATTTGAATAAATTGAGAGAAATAACATTTTCTTAGAAAGTAAGACTTAATATCGTAAAGGTATCAATTAAATAATAAATGATTTAAAATTTAACCGTCAAATTGTTTTAACACAAACACCACCATCTGAAACCATAACAAGGAAAATAAACACAAGAGAATAGCTAGGAAAATTATAACAAAACTAATGACAGGGGCTTACTCTACCTGATATTAAAATCTATCATAAACCTATAGGAATTAAAATAATTTATTACTGGTGCAGAGATAGTTGAGAAAAGCAGACGCCAAAGACAGTTTACATAAGGGCATGAAGACCACTCCACATTCTTGGTTCTTTTCTGTGCCCCCTTCACATCTGCAGTTTCTAGGAGTTGGGTGCTCTAGAATGTCATCTTGAAACTCTTTCCTGTCTGTTATACTCATATCTTGATGATCTTATTTCTTTTCAAGGCTTTAAATACCCTTTGCTGTGCTTTTGAACACGAAATGTTCATTTCTAGCACCTATCTCTCCTGGAACTGCAGATTCTCCTGCCCATTTGCCTGTTTGACCTCCCCCTTGTAAGTCCCTACAGCATCACAAATGTCACACATCCAAAACCATATTCTTAATATTCCCATCCAAATTCCTCTCGTAGGTCCCCAGTCTCAGGCACCATTGCCATCCTCATAGTTGCTCACATCAAAAGCCCCACAGAGACATTTTGATCTCTTTCTTTTTCCCAAACCCTATATCTAATTAATCAGGAAAGCCTGTGGACTTACTTACAAACTGTATCTTGAATACAGCCACTTTTCATCACTTTTCTGCCACCACCCTAGGCACTGTCATTCTTGCCTAGGTCACTGTAAGAGCCTTCTCACTGGTCTTCCTGCTTCCCTTCTGACCTCTTTTAATCCATTTTATATATGGCAGCCAAAATGATTCTTATAAACTAATAACTAGCCATTTTCTTCCTCTACTCAAAAACCACTAAGAGCTTCCAATCACACTTAGAATAAATAGCTGAAATCCTTGCTTGGTCTCCAAAAGCCCAGTATGTTCTGGTCTTGGCTTTAGTGCTGTGCTGGTTCAATAACCAGTTGTGAAAAAAATGTATGCCCATATATACATATGTGCGTTTATTATACATTTCACTGATATAAAGGATATGTTGCACACAATTTGCAAATGGCAATAAACTCTACAGTATTGTTCATTGTAAATTCCATATAGTCAATTAATTCTCACAGAATGCTTTCACTGTTTTTTGCCAGACTTGTGTATCCTTAGCAAACCTATAGCTACAACCGATGAGTGAGTATAATTCCAAAATGAATGTTGCTTGACATATTTCTTTATATTAATTCGTAAGAAGAAAGTGAAACAATGAAAACTTATGCTAGAACTTCACTTGCTCATCAGTGGTGCAAACAACGTTTTGCTGGATTGGATAATAATATGTAAATACTGGGAGATTATTTCCTCAATTTTTTGTGCTCTTCATAATGTAAATGCTACAGACACAACACATTTTTAAGCTTAGTCTACATTAACATTTTCTCTATCATTTGAAGTCTAGACAATCGACATAAGAATTTTTAAAAGCCCTGGATTTATAGAATTTGCTGATTTCCATGGTGTAGATATTTTCACCATGGCTGATTTCAAGCTACCAACATGTTGTCACTGAGCTCAGAATAGTGGAGGTACACACGGTAGCTCATGGTTGTACAGTGTTTACACCATGCAGATAAAATAGATGCAGTTAACCTCCAGAGCAGAGCTCATAGTCAATTGTAATAAGACAATTAAAAAGTGAAGAAATTTGAGTATTTTCTGCCTTCATTTTTGATACAATGTACTTCATTTTAAGTTTAGATAATTTAACTTTTGATCATGGCTATGTTTAACAACTGACTATCAAAATTCCTGAAAATTAGCCAAAGGGCTCTCCCGAACAGGAGAGAGCAGCCTTCAGCATGCTGGCCAGGCCTCCCAGCTCTCCAACTCTTCACTTTGCTCCTGCCACACTGGGTTCCTTACAGCCCTTCCGCATGCCAAGTGCCTTCCTACTGCAGGCTTTAGCAGTTGCTGTTCCTCCAGAGGGCCTCAGAGCTCAATCCCCTTTACACAAGTCTCTGCTCAGAAGGTGCCACCTGCCCTTGGCTGCCACAGTCCAAGCAGTCAGGCTGTCTCTGCTCTCTTGTGCTGCTTCACCTGGCTTCCTAGTGTTTGTCATTATCTGACATTTTACACACTTTATTTGTTGATTGTGTGATCCCACCACTCTTCACTAGAAATTAAACCCCATGAGGGAGGTCATTGTCTCTTTTGTCAATGCTTTATTGCCTAGAACAATGCCTGACATATAATAGGATCTAAATTATTTTTTGTTGAATAAATTTAGGAATGAACTTCATGCTATCAAAATTCGAATTTGGCATGTCAGAAAAATCTATAAAGCAACTATAGAAATGAACAAAGGAGTAACATCATGAATATATAGAAGCTCTTCCAAATCATCTGGTAAGTAAAAAATGAATAAGAATAGCAAAAACAAAGAATATAAATATGCATGACACAAAAGATGAGAAATATCCACCTGAAAAATGTTTTATTATCAAAAAAACACAAATTGAAGCAATACATTTCTGAATAGTTTTCTAGAAAATTATATATATGTGCTATATAGATATAAAACATATATTGTGTGTATACATGTTATACACACACACAAGGATAAGAGATAATAATCTAACATTGGCACAATGAACACTTACATACCGCAGGCAGAGATAGAAATTAATCTAGCCTCCCTGAAAGACAATATGGTGTTTTTAAAAAACATAGAAGTTTCATGCATGATGATATAGTTTGAATATAGGTCCCTGCCAAATCTCATTGTAATCCCCAATGTTGGAGGTGGGGCCTGGTGGGAGATGTTTGGGTCATGGGGGCGGATCCCTCATAGCTTGGTGCTGGCCTCAGGATAGGGAGCGAGTTCTCAGATCTGGTTGTTTCAGTGTTTAGCACTTCCCTCACTCATGCTCCCATTCTGCCATATGGGATAGCTGCTCCCATTTTGACTGTCACCTTGAGTAAAAGCTCCTCGAGGCCTCCCCATAAGCCAAGCAGATGCCAGTGCCATGCCTCTTGTACAACCTGCAGAACCGTGGGCCAATTAAACTTCTTTTTTTAATAAATTACCCAGCCTCAGGTATGTCTTTATAGCAATGCAAGAATAGCCTAACACACACAAGGATGAAGGATTTCTACTTCTAAGAATTTATGCTAATAATAATCAAGGATTTGTGCAAAAATGGGGCTTACTCTCTCCCAGTGCTGTTTATAATACTAAAACCAAACAAGAAAAAGAAGAAGAAAGAGAAAAAGGAGGAGGGAGAGAGAGAAGAAGATGAAAACCTTAATGTTAAACAGCCAGAAATTAGAAAACCAATTTATGTTACGGCTATGAAATGGCATCTGATATACTTATTTTAAAAGGAGTTACAGAGAAATATTTAGTAACATGAGAAAAATGTCCAGGGCATATTGTCAAGTGAAAATCACAAGATACAAAATAGTTTGTACAGTAATATAACATAGGTAAAAAATAAATATAAACATGGAAAAGCAACTAGAAGGAAATGCATTAAAACATTCACAATAATTACTGTCTCTTTGAATAGTGAGACTAGGGTGATTTTTCATTCTTTTTTTTGTTGTATTTTCTAATTCTCTGCAACAAACATTTATGTTTGTAAGTAGGAAATGTAAGGACAGTAGTTATAACACTTAAGGAAAGAATGAAAGCACCTCCTGGGAATTCCCAAGATGTTTGGGACTGTTCAAAATGGCCACACAGACAAAGCGCAGGAAGAAATGAGTGAGAAAAAGACAGGGGAGAGGAGTATAGATATCTCTTGAGTTCTTCTCCTTTACCTCTGAGGAAGAAACACAAGACCAGAGAAGATAGACAGCCAAATCGCTTACACTTGGGTATCCGTAGCAAGGTTCTCAACTTGAAAAAGTTGAGCCTTTCCTAAACTCTTGAACAGCATAGGAAGTGTTCAGCAGAGAACTACATAGACTCAAAAGCCTGGAGATGCTCTACTAAATAAGTTCCTTTGCAAAGAGGGACAGTCTTGGAGTAGCTCCTCCAGGACCAATGCCTGTACATTAGAAAAGGGCTCTGTTTGCAGGGCTGCACAGTAGGAATCGTGCAACCTGAGCCACAGGTGACTGCTGGCTGCCTGTGATGTTACGTCTGCATCTCTGGCTGATTCACCCTTGCCTCAGAGCCAGGCCAGCATTAGAAAATCCCTTTATCCTGCCTGTTCCCAGTTGGCAGGTCCAGCAGAAAAATTAATGCAGGATTCATTCAATTTTTTATCAAGATGCTTATATAGTGTACTAATAATTAAAAGGGTGGGCAATTCTTTTAAGTGTCAAGAACTTCAAAGAGAGAGTGGAAACGATGTCAGAATGTGAGAATCAGGCACAACCATGAGCCAGGAGCAATGAAAATGGCTCAAAGGCATAACTGGGCCCTCCACTGCACTGCTCTGCAGAGGGTTGGTGGCCCTGTGTTCCAGGAAGGGCTAAGAGAGGAAGAGTCTGATTGGACTGACACTGCCTCCTGAGGGAGGCCCAGAAACTTTGGGCAGACCCTTCACCAGAAAAAAAACACAGTCCCCCAAAGCAGAGGGAGGGCTTAGGGTGAATTATATGGAGGCTGTCAGAGGTCTGAGACCCAGGCATATTTTCTACAGTGAGAGTACCTCCCATTCAACAGGCAATTTAACCCCACAGGGGTTGTGAGACCTCTGAGAGTAAAAGGCATTGAAAGTTTGTCAAAGATGTCCCTGAATTGTGTGGAGAAAAGAAGTTCATTGAAATGAAGTATATTCAAAGAAAGATCCTCAGCAATTTTAGGAGTGAGATCCAGACCAACCTTGGAGTTGTGAGTGTGCAGAAGTTTCCATTGTGGTGACCAGCTTAGGGATGTACCCCCAAAACTCAGAGATCCACAGATAACAGGCTGGGAACCCCCACTATGAGATGACATTCATATTTATGTGGAGACAGCACAGAGAATGAGCATCTATCCCTGCAGATTTTCTGTTGAAGTCTGAAGAACAGTCTGGTGCCTAGGTCAAAATGGCAAACCCCACAGAACCCCTCAAAAATGGGAGGAGATGTGAATAGAATGGGTTCCTAAATAAAACAAGAAGTAACAATAATAAATTATTATTTAAGCACATGAATTTGCTTCCCTTCTTTCCAAATTCCCATTGGAATGGTCAAGAGAAAGGGAAAAACAGTAAGAAACAAAAATCTCCAAAGAAAATAGGGAAGATCTTTGAGGAAATTTCATAATTTTAATCAAAAATAGAACCAGATGGATGAATCAGGCACTAGTTTTTGTTCCAATACAAATTATGGAAAAGACTCCCTGGAAAGTGAAGTTAGGCAAAACCTTCAGCAGAATTTTTCATCTCCGGATCCTCTAAGCTCATAGAAATAGAGTCTAGAACTGAGGGTGAGCCATGAAGCAGAAGGAAGCCCTACCCTGCTGAATCACTTGAGGGCAGCCTCAGAGCTTACCCAGAGAAGGTCTTCCTGGAACTGCATGCAAAGTGCCCCTGGCACTGGTGCCTATGATGTTGTCCTGGGGCCCTGGGGCCAGGATCTGGTTCTAGGAGAGTGACCTGGTGAACAGATCACTTCCACTGGCCAAAGCAATATTTCTTTCATCGGAAGGCATGAAATTGAACCACCAAAATAGTGATGACATACTGATTTTGGGTGACTGTCACTCACATTGGACACAAAATGAGTTCAAGTCTCTTGGTCCACCACTGGCCCTTGGGTTTGGGCTACATGGGAGACTGTGGATTGGCACTCACTTAACCATATTCAGACTGCCTGCTGCCTCTGATCTTCAGCACCAGAGAGCAGTGAGAGGAAGGCCGTAGTCCTTTACCCTGTGTGTTCACCACCAGTGTCGTGGTGCCACCCCCTCTACAGGTTCTGTACCATGTGTCAGGCAGTCCTCTGGGGGTGATGAAGCTCTTCAGAGGGCTTTTGAGACCATTTTTCTACAATGCCAAAGTGCCCTTTCAACTGATGTCCTCTCTTGTCACCAATAGATATAACATTGTGCTCTCCTGGATCAGTCTTAAACTGTGCAGGAGGAGGGACAGACATTCTTTGGATGAATGAGACCACTCTTCTTGCTCTGCCTGCAGGCCCCTCACCTAGCCTTCCTGCTTGCAGCAAGGGTGCTGTCAACATCAAGAGAATGCATTCAAGCATGCAATGATTATAGCTTAAAGAGTTCCCAAGAAGACACAGTTGGAAGATGTGTTATTCTACATTTATGCCATAAAATTTCAAGGTATAAATTTAACATGACCAGAAAAATGAATTATCATGCACATTTTCCTTCCCTCTCTGAGAAGGACTTTCATTTGTGGGCAACAAAAACAAAGCACAGTAACAGCCTTTGAGAGTCCTTAGAAACCTGTATGCACAGGCAGCTTTGGTAATGCAGTGTCGTAAGTAACAATGTAACTAGCATTAAACAAAGGTATTAGAGAACTTCAGAGTCAAGAAAATCTATGTTGTTTCAATACAAACAAGTTTAGAAGAGGCGTAGCTTTGTGTCTAACAACATAACCACAACTTTTTCTCCTGGTGAGAGGTATAAAATTAGTAAGGCACTGTGAATTTGACAATAAAGAGAGCACTAATAAAAACTGGAAGAGACAGTTCCTTGACCTGAATAGGCACGAAGAGTGCCTAGACACTACATAGTCTTCACAAACATTGACTGGACAATGAACAAAGACAGAAGTACCTTTTCTCTACCCGTTAGTCTCAATCTTCAACTAAAAGACTCACTACACCTATGTCATTAACAACTCACTACACCTCAGATGGGCCCATGAAGTTTGTGATACAGATTTTAGTCGAAGTGTTATATTGACAGTATTTGCTCAGGACCCTGAACACCCTAGGGATAAGCCTGGTACTGTAGTTCTGAGATGGAGATTTGCATGCAGGTTGGTTTATTGGAAGGTGCTCTTGGAAACAATATTGGTAAGGAAATCAAGGAAAAAGGCATGAATAGAGGAAACAACTGAACTGAGACATAGCTGCAACAGAGGGCCTAGCCAATCCTATGTAAAACTTTGAAGCCAAGATGATTTTCACAGATGCCTTAACTGTGGCAAGAGGACCAAGACTTTATACCCCTATATCACAGGCTATTCCTGAGAAAAGAGCACACCCGTGGGTGAGGGCAATGCCTGGGGAGGTATTCAGCTGTGAGTTGTCAGTAGGCAAATCCCTTAGCAGCTGAAGGAAGGAACGCCTCAGATCTGAAGGAGTCAATCTGGACAGTGGACCATAGCAGCCACTATAAAAAGTATTAAATGGTGATGAGTAGATAAATCCAGTAAAACTTAGAATAGATGTCTAAACAAAGATAATGTAATTACAAAATTTAACGTGAATTTAACATCTAATTCTTAAAAGAGAAAATATATAATATATACAATTAAATAAAAGTAAATCTAAAAGGCCAGATTAGTCAATAAAAACATGAGGTATACAAGAATTTAGGGCTGGAGTGAGCTATAATCATACCACTGAACTAGGTGACAGAGTGAGACTCTGCCTCAAAAAACAAAAACAAACAAACAAAAAAACCTGAGGAACAGTGGAGGACAGGGAAGTAGTATAGATAAATAGAATACATTTCTTCCCTTATACAGAGAGTAAATATATTTAGAGAAACGTGCATTATTAAATTAAATGTCAGTAGAATAAAACATGTGTGAACTTCCAAAATACATTCCCAAAAAGACCAAGAAAGTCTGAAGCACTACTGCAAAATTTAGCCAAGGAAAAACAAGGAAGTATAAAAATAACAGAAGTATAACAGAATATATCAAATATACATTAAATCTGTCAAGGCTAACCTAGCCTATTAAGGCATCTCAAATATGTTAAGTGAAAAATGCAAATAATGCTACTTAACAAAAGACATACATGAAACAAAATGACATAAGAAGTTTAAGATAGTGGGATGATTGGACAACTGTTTCTATACTTATTTAAAACTAAATAGGTAAAGAAAAGCTCCTGGCACTTCATATTTAAACTGTAAGATATATATTTTTTAAAAAGCATTTAAATGCATGGCTGAAGAACATTTGTGCATTTGCAATCAAAATATACAAAGCACAAGAGGAAGAATGCTTCCAGGAGCAAAAGCAAAATAAAACAAAATATGCAGAAAAAACAAATTGCAGAATAATACCTGCCAAGATAGCAGATATTAAAATTACCAGAGACAGAATAGAAATATATTTTTAATATTTTATGGAAAAAATAAGATATTCAAAGCATTAGGAAGAAACGAAAAATCAATATGTTTGATTTGAAATAATACCAAATAGAACTTCTAGAAATAAAAACTATAATTGAAATTAGAGCTATATAAATATTAAGTTGAAAGTTAAATATAGTTTCAAAGGTCACTATGAACTAGGTAATACTCAAAAGTTATTTCTGAAAATATGGCCCAAAGATAAGGAAAACATAAAAGGTTAAAAGATGCAGGCTAACGAGTGAAAAATTCCAACATGTCTAATTGTAATATATGATAGAGCTTATAAAGTTAATGAAGGAAAAGACATTATTCAAATAATGAATGGTTGAGACTTTCCCCAGATTGATGAAAGATACCAATCCTCAGATGCAGGAAGTCCAACAACTTGCAACAGGATGAAGTAACAGATATCTAGAAAAATTTAGTATAGCTTCAGAACAAAGACAAGATCGTAAAAGCAGCCAGGCAGAAAAGATAGATTACCTGCAAGAGAATGACACACTAGGAAAAAATTAGTTTAGTATCAACTAAGTATCATTATACCCAGTAGAATTCTCTTTCAAGCACAAAGGTGAAATTCAGGCACTTTCCCAAGTACTAATGAAAATGGTTTACTACCAACAGACACTTGAGAGAAGCACATACTTCAGGGAGAAAGAACTTGTTTATTTGTTCTAATACAGTTTTTTTGGGTTTTTCTGTTTGTTTGTTTGTTTGTTTGTTTGTTTGTTTGCGGATTCCTTAAGAGTTTCTATAGTTTGAATAGAGACAGTTTTACTTCCGTCTAATATGGATCACTTTAATTTTGTTTATTTATTTATTTATTTATTTTTGCCCAATTGTCCTGGCTAGAATGTCCTGTACAATGTTAAATAGAAGTGATAAGGCTGGGCATGGTGGCTTACACCTGTATCCCAGCACTTTGGGAGGACAAGGTGGGTGGATCCCTTGAGCTCAGGAGCTCGAGACAAGCCTGGGAAACATGGTGAAACCCTGTCTCTACCAAAAACACAAAATTTAGCCAGGCATGGTGGCATGTGCCTGTAGTCCCAGCTACTCAGGGGTCTGACATGGGAGAGTCACTTGAGTCTGGGAGGTGGAGATTGCAGTGAGCAGAGATTGCAGTGAACACGGATCACACTATTGCACTCCAGCCCTGGGCCATAGGCGTGAAACCCTGTCTCAAAAAAAATGATGAGAGTGGACTTTTCTTGTCTTGTCCCTGGTCTTAGGGAGAAAGCATTCAGTCTTTCACCACTAAATATGATGTTAGCTGTGGGGTTTTTGTAGATACCATTTATTAGGTGGAGGAAGCTCCCTTCTATTTTTAGTTGAGTGTTGCTTTTTTTCAATCATAAAGTTTAATCATAAAATGATGTTAGAATTTGTCAAATGCTTTTTCTGCATGTAATGAGAGGATTGTGTGATTTTTGTTTTTTATGATTTGATGTGATATATTACATTAATTTATTTTCAGATGTTGAACTAGTCCTGCCTTCCCAGGATAAATCCTGCTTGGTCATAGTTTATGATTCTTTTTATATACAGTCAGGCATTGCTTAATGACAGGGATATGTTCTGCTAAATGCATTGCTACATCATTTTATTCATTGTGTGAACATCATAGAGTGTATTTACACAAACCTAGATGGTATAGCCTGCTACACACCTAAGCTGTATGGGATAGCATGTTGCTCCTAGACCACAAACCTGTACAGCATATTACTATACTGAATACTGTAGGCAATTGTAACAGAAATGGCATTTGTGTATCTGAACATTTCTAAACATAAAAAAGGCACAGTAAAAACAGTATAAAAGATAAACAATAGTACACCTCTATAGGGCACTTACCATGAATAGAACTTTCAAGACTCGAATTTGCTCTGGGTGAGTCAGTGAGTCAGTGGTGAGTGAATGTGAAGGTTTAGGACATTACCGTACAATACTCTAGACTTCATAAACACTACACTTAACCTACATTAAGTTTACTTTTAGAATTTTCTTTCTTCAATAATCAATTAAATTTTGCTTGCTGTAACATTTTTGCCTTCTAAAACTTTAAAAGAGTTTTAACTTTTTGATTATCTTATAACACTTAGCTTCAAACACAAACGCATTGTACAACTGCACAAAAAGATTTTCCTTATTTATATCCTCATTCTGTAAGCATTTTTCTGTTTTTAATTTCTTTTTTACCTTTAAATTTTTTTTCTGAGAAATGAAGACACAAAAACACACATTAGCTTAGGCCTACACAGAGTCAGAATCATCAATATCACTGCTTTCCACCTCCACATCTTGTCCCACTGGAAGGTCTTCAGGGACAATAACATGCATGGAGCTGTGATTTCCTACGAAATGACAGAGACAGAATAGAAATATATTTTTTAATATTTTATGAAAAAAATAAGATATTCAAAGCATGAGAAAGAAATGAAAAACCTCCTGAGGGACCTGCTGAGACTGTTTTATGGTTAACTTTATATATATACACACATATATATATACATGTATATATATATGTGTGTATATATATAAAGCCATAAATATATAGAAAGAATACAGTTTAAAATAATGATTAAAAAGTATGGTATAGTAAATACTGGGCGATAGGAATTTTTCAGCTCCATTATAATCTTAATACATGAGCAAATATTAATAAAATATAAAAGAAAAATGCAATAGATAATTTTGATAACTCAAAAACTGCTTTTGTAAAAGGCTAATAAAATTGACAAGCTTCTGGCAGGACTGATTTCTTCTTAATAGAGAATTTTTTAAAAGAAAAAGTTTTTACAACTCATCTCATGAGGTTAGTGAGAGATTGATAGTAAATCCCAATGGAGAGTCTGAGAAAAAAATCTTTGACTGATGCCACTCAAACTCAGATGCAAAACATATCCAAATAATATATTAATAACAGTCTTATAGAAATGCACAGAAAATATAATTGCATTATGACCAAGATGAAGTCCAGGAATGTGTGTTTGGTAAGAAAGTAGAGGAGAGAAAAGCCATATGGTCATTTCAGAAAATTCAACAAACTGTAATGGCCAAAAATAAATAAATAAATTGTTAGAAATAAGGAACAGAAGGAACATATTTTACTCCAGAAAAGGTATCTTCTAGTTATAACAATTAACATCGTACTTGCTAATGAGCTTTATTATTCATAACTGGTCTTCCCAAGGGAGATGTATGAACCAGTGATCTTATTGAGAAACTCAGGATCCCCTTAAGGAATTGTAGTAACCATTGATCTTTTTAAGTTTAATGTAATTTAATTTAATTTTAAGTTCTGGGATATATGTGCAGATTTGTTACATAGGTAAATATGTGCCGTGGTGGTTTGCTGCACCTAGCAACCCATCACTTAGGTATTCAGCCCTACATGCATTAGCTATTTATCCTGATGCTCTCCCTCCCCTGCACCCCATAACAGGCCTCAGTGTGCCTTGTTCCCCTCCCTGTGTTCATGTGTTCTCATTGTTCAGCTCCAACTTATAAGTGAGAACATGCGGTGTTTGGTTTTCTGTTCCATTGTTAGTTTGCTGAGGATAACGGCTTCCAGCTCCATCCATGTCCCTGCAAAGGACAGGATCTTGTTCTTTTTTATGGCCACGTAGTATTCCATGGTGTATATGTACAACATTTTCTTTATCCAGTCTATAATTGATGGGCATTTGGGTTGACACCACGTCTTTGCTATTGTGAATAGTGCTGCAGTGAACATATGCACGCATGTATCTTTATAAAAGAGTGATTTATATTCCTTTGGGTAGATACCCAGTAATGGGATTGCTGGATCAAATGTTATTTCTGTAACCATTGATCTTATTGAGAAAACCATTTCAGCTGTGTAGAAGAACACTCTGGGATGAGGTCTTTCAGTGGACCTTTTGCTTCACCTGCTGTGTAGGAAACTATGGCTCTAACCAGATCCCGGTAACATTCAAAAATATCACTGACTTGGTCCAGTGTCTGTGGTTGGTGGCCCTGTCCACAATGGGTATTCACCTCAGCAAGATACATTAAACCTTACATCTGGAACTCTCTGCACCCAATGGTCATTTGAGGGAACTGATCCTCAGTGTCTCTTCAGATATATACAAGTAGCATGCTTGTCAGCTTGTCGGCAGTGGTCATATTCAGCTTCCTAGGGAAGAGCTCTGGACTATTTTCCATGGGACCTAGACTACCTGGATCATGAGGCTCACCTCCATGCCCACCAAGAGAGCAACTTCTGCCATTGCTATCAGTTGCTCACAGGTGAGAGAAGAATGTTGGTTTATAGTGACAGCTGGACATGAATATTGTTATGATAGGAATAAGAATATAGCTTTCACTGTATCTGTAATCAGATTCAGTTTCTTTTTGATGATGAGAGAGAGTACTCTGTTTTTCTATCAATGAAAGAAGAGGTGAGGGCTGGGCCACCTCACAGGAGTCCTAAGTTTTGCAGTGAGGACTTAATAGAGGGAGGAATGAATGACTAGAATGTGGAATGTCTAACACTCATCAGCAAAGGATGTTTCAGTGAGTCGCTGTGGCTCCAAATAGATATTCCTCAGTAGATATTCATCAATGGATCTTGCCTGCAGCGATTATTAGTGTAGTGATTAGGTGATTTTCTATTTCTTTCTGAATTAAATTTATTTTTATTAAAGCAACCTTATTTTCCAAAAAAAAAAGGAGAGAAAGTGACTTGATTTTTATTTCTGACAATAGTCTGAAGTAGGAAACTTGAAAACTCTTTACAAATGCCAGCTAATGTATTACAACCATCCTATTACATGCATAGACATGGCCCAAGAAAATTAATTCCCAGATTTCAAAAACAAGGAGAAAAGGAAAAACCAAAGGGCCTGAACTAATCCTGTAGCAGCACTAGGGGAGTTTCATGGTCTCAGTAACTCAGGGATATTAGTTTTAATGACCTCATAGTGAAATGAAACAAGGTCTTGATCCTGCTTATGATGAGGAATAGAACTGAGACTTCTATATAAAAGCCAGATTTCCAGAAAGGGTTCACATTCTGTAAAAGGATAGTCTAGAAAACATCAAAACAAAAGCTTAGAGAAAACAAAAGGAAGTTTGCTTGTTCTCGTCTAGCCTCTCAGTGGGACAAAAAGGTGTCTCATGGGCCTATGCTTACACAATTATAGGTATGAAATTTAAGCTTTCTGCAGGACCTTCCTACATTACAAATATACATAAAAAACAATTCCAGGATGGTGATATTCTTGGAGCATCTGACAGATGCAAAATAAAAATCAATTTGTAAAGACATACCTTTAATCTAGGCTGTATACGTTTCCTACAGATAAAATTATTTAAACATGAGCTCACAATAAAAACTCACAAAATATGTGAAAAAGCTTTTTTTGCTTCGTGAGATCAGCAGGCACAATGAAAGGATTTGATGGTCAAGAACATCGGATATAAAACTGTAAGATAGAAATGACATGAATATTATTAAAATGATTAAAATGTAAAAAAAAGCAGAAAAAATAATGCACTATCTAAAAAGAATCAAATATCAACTAACAACAGAGCTCCAAATACGTGAAGCAAAAACTGACAGAACTGAAAAGACAAACAAACATTTCAAGAATAGTAGTTGGAGACTTCAATGACAGGCTTTCAATAATGGATTGAACAAGTAGGCAGAAGATCAACAAATAAATAGAAGATTTGAAAAATGCTATACATCAACTAGACCTAACAAACAATAGAACATTCCACCCAGTAAGAGCAGAATAGACATTCTTCTCAAGTACACATGGAGCACCCATGGGTTAGACCATAAAACAAGTTTTGATAAATTTAAAAGAACTGAAACCATGCAAAGTGTGTTCTTCATAATACAATGAAATTAAAAAAATAATTACATAAAGAAATTTGTTTTAAACACAAATATGTGGAAATCAAACAACACAGTCCTAAATAACCAAGAAGTGAGTGAAGAAATCACAAGGGAAATTATAAAATATCTTGAGATGAATTAAAGCAAATAAAAAGACCATACCAAAACTTTGAAGATTCTGCTAAAGTAATGTACATAAGGAAATTTATAATTGTAAATGCCTATATTAAAAAAGATGGAAGATATGAAATCAATAACCTAAATTCCACTATAAGAAACCACAAGAGGAGAAGTAAATTAAACACAAAGCAAACAGAGTGTGTCAGCCCATTCTTGCATTTCCATAAAGGAATGCCCAGGCTGGATAATTTATAAAGAAAAGAGTTTTAATTGGCTCATAGTTCTGCAGGCTGTACAAACAGCCAACAATATCTGCTCAGCTTCTGGTTAGAGCCTCAGAAAACTTACAATCATAGCAGAAGGTGAAGATGAGCAGGTGCATCACATGGCAAGAGTGGTAGCAAGAAAGGCAGGGAAGGTGTCATACATTTTTAAACAACCAGATCTCGTGTGAACTCACTCATCACTAAGGGGATGACACTAAGCCATTTATGAAGAATCTGCACCCATGCTCCAAACACCTTCCACCAGTCCACACTCCCAAACAGTGGGATTACATTTCAACATGAGACTTGAAGGGGACAAATATCCAACCATATCATTAGGAAAGAATTTAGAGTAGAAATTAATAAAATCAAGAATAGAAAAAATAGAGAAAATCAATGAAACCAAAAGTTAGTTCTTAGAAACAATCAACAATATTGACAAACCTTTAGCTAGACCAAGCTAGACCAAGAAAAATGAGAATAGACTCAATTACTCAAATCAAGAATGAAACAGAGGAAATGACAACCAACCATATAGAAATAAAAAAATTACATGATATTGCTAAGAACAACTCTATTCTAACATATTAGATAACTTAGATGAAATTGACAAATTACTAAAAAGGCATAAACTACTAAAACTGACGTAATAAGAAATAGATAATCTGAATAGACCTATAACAAGTGAAAAGAATGAATTAATAATTTAAAAGCCAGCCACAAGGAAAGCCCAGGCCCAGATGGCTTCAAAGATAAATTTAACCAAACACTTAATGAAAAATTAGTACCAATTCTTCACAAATGCTTCCGGAAAACAAAAGAATAGGGCACAATTCTCAGCTCATTCTACGAGACCAACACTACCCTGATACCAAAACCAGACAAATAAATCACATAAAGAAAACTACAGACCAATATCCTTTAGAAATATACAAGCAAGAAACCCTCAGCAAGCTGAATCTAGCCATATATACAAAGGATTACACACCATAAGCAAGTGGAAATTATCCTAGGAATGCAAGATTGGGTCAACTTATGAAAATCAATCAATATAAAATATCACATTAATAGAATAAAGAAAAAACACATCACCAACAAGCACATAAAAAGATGCTTCACATTATTAGTCATCAAGAAAATGCAAATCAAAACTACAATGAGACACAACTTCATATCCATTAAAATGGCTAGAATAAAAAAAGTCACATACTAATAAATGTTGGGGAGGATACATACAAATCAAAACCTTTAGGCATTTTAAGTGGGAATGCAAAATGGCGCAGCACTTGAGAAAACAGTTTGGCAGTTTTGCAAATTGTCAAACACAGACTTGCCATATGATTCAGCAATTTCAATCCTAGGTATTTGCCCAAGGGAAATGAAAACATATGCCCACACAAAAGTGTGTCTACAATGTTAATAGTGTTATTCATATTAACTGTAAGGTGAAGCAACCCACATGTTTAGCAACTGATAAATGGATACACATCATGTGACATATTCATGTAATGATGTAGTATTTAGCAATTAAAAAGAACAACTTGATGATGCATGCGCTTTGGATGAACCTTGAAAACATTATGCTAACTGAAGAAGTCAGATAGAAAAACCACATACTGTCTGATTCCATTTATACTAAAATATCAGAATAGGCAAATCTATAGAGACAGAAAGTAAATTAGTGGTTGCCTAGGATTTAGGAAGGGAGCAAAATGGAGAGTGACTGCTAATAGGTGGAGCATTTTGTTTTTTTAGTTTGTGGTGGTAATTGCACAACTGTGTGAGTATACTACAATCCACTGGATTGTATACCTTAAATGGGTTGATTTTATGGTATGTGAATTTGATATGGTTTGGATCTGTGTCCCCACCAAATCTCATGTTGAGTTGTAATCCCCAACATTGGAGGTGGGGCCTGGTACGCGGTGATGGGATCATAGGGGTGGATTTCTCATGAATGGATTAACACCATCCCCCTTGATACTCTCCTCATGATACTGAGTTCCCTTGAGATCTGGTCGCTTAAAAGTGTGTGACACCTCCCCCCTCACTCTGTCTTGCACCTGCTCCCACCATATGAGACACCTACTTCTTCTTCACCTTCTGCCATGATTGTAAGTTTCCTGAGACCTCCCCAGAAGCCAAGCAGATGCCAGCATCATGTCTCCTGTACAACCTGTGGAGCTATGAGCCAATTAAATTATAAATTATCCAGTCACAGCTATTTCTTTACAGCAATGCAAGAACAGGGTAATACAGAATTATATCTAAATAATTATGTTTTTAAAAACAACCAACTATAATGAGGCACTGAAAAATAAAGAAATGGTGCTACAGGCTGAATTGTGCCCTCTGTCCAAAGTCATATGTGGAAGTCCTAACACTAGTTCCACAGAATGTGTCTGTATTTGAAGGTGGGGTCTTTAAAAAGTCAATTAAAGTAAAATTAGGTCATATGGGTGGGCACTAATCCAATATGACTGGTGTCCTTAGAAGAAGAGAAGATTATTTTGAGTTACAACCATCATTCTCAGCAAACTATCGCAAGAACAAAAAACTGAACACCGCATGTTCTCACTCATAGGTGGGAATTGAACGATGAGAACACTTGGACACAGGAAGGGGAACATCACACACTGGGGCCTGTTGTGGGGTTGGGGAAGGGGGGAGGGATAGCATTAGGAGATATACCTAATGTAAATGACGAGTTAATGGGTGCGGCACATCAACATGGCACATGTATACATATGTAACAAACCCGCACGTTGTGCACATGTACCCTAGAACTTAAAGTATCGTTAAAAAAAAAAAAAGATTAAGACACAGACAACACACAGACTGAGAGGTAACCACGTGAGGACACAGCAAGAAGATAGCCATTTGCAAGCCATGGAAAGAAGCCACAGAAGAAGCCAAACCTGCCAATGCCTTGATCTTGAACTTCTAGTCTCCAGAACTGTAAGAAAATAAAATCCTGTTGTTTAAGCTACACCATCTGTGGTTTTGTTAACCCTAGCAAATTACTGCAGATGGAAAACATGAAAGAGAAATAGGAATATGGGGAATAGACCAAAGGGTCTAACATACATCTGAAAAGAGCTCCAGAAGAAGAAAATAGAAAGAGTAGAGAACAAGCAATACATGGATACAAAGAAATATCTGAATTGATCAAAGTAATAAACATTCAGATACAGAAACTGGACAAAGACATTCCAAAAAAGAGAAAATAAAAACTACAGATCAATATCTCTTATGTCAGTAAATGAAAAAAGGCATTTGGCAAAATTTGATATCCATTCCTGCTAAAAGTTCTCACCAAACTAGAAATATATAACTTCTTTAACCTGATAAAAGACAGCTATAAAAAGCATAAAGTTAACATCAGACTTAATGTTACATAAAGACTGAATGCTTTCTCTCTAACTTGGGAAAAAAGCAAAGATATACTGTCTCACCACCTCTACTTAACATTGTACAAAAAGTCCTACCCAGTGCAATGAGTTAAGAAAAAAATAAAATATATACCGGCTGGAAAAGAGGAAATAAAACAATTCCCATTTATAGGTTACTTCACTGGCTATCTAGAAAATTCCATAAATTTTGGATATTTGAATTTTGGAATAAATCTAAACAAAATGTGTAAGGCTTAACTGTGCCTATGTCATAAACCTAAAAATTTAAAAATAATGGCACATACAACAGAAGTTGAGAACTGAAGGGAAGAAGAGATGGAAAAAAAAGAAGGGCTATTAATTGCCTTGTTATATAGTCAAGAGTCAAGATGTTGTCTAAATAGAGAAATCAAGTAATAAAGATAGAGTTATATTGTTTAGAGAGGTATTATTCTCTGACACTTTTAAAAGTAGCAGATAGAACTAAACTTAGGACAAACAAAAAATGTAAATTGGAAGGGGATAAAAAGCAAGCAAAATTTCACATTACTGCTGGAGCGCCAGATAATCCAGGCCACAGGGGAGTTCCTTGACCCTACTAAGCCCTGAATCTGACTTGGGGAGCAGTTAGGAGACTGTGAGAAGGAACGGTAGTGGGAAGTGCTCCATGTATGAAGGAGGTCATTCCTGATCCTAACTCATAGTGGGATGTTGGGGAACCTGCAGCCAGCACAGGAGGCAGTCACTGGTTTGGAGATCCGATTTGCACTCTTGTTCCCAGAGGAGGAAGAGCCTTCATGGCCAGAATTGAGAAGCAAGTGTGATTTGGGCTCCAGCTGCTGGTGTAGGAGTTGGGTGCCACCCTTTTGCAGGACCAGACCAGGAGGAATTTGGCCTAGGAGCCATGGTTTGTCCTGGACAGGGAGTTTTGTGGCCTAGGGAGTTTCTCGGTCTGAAGACAAACTGCTTGTGACTTGGCTGGCTGCTCAAGCTTGCTGCCAGTGACAGGCCACAGGAGGGATACTCACCAGGTCAGGAGCATGAGAGTGAGGTGGATCCCACTACTACCTACTAGGCCATGGAGCCCAAGCCACCCAGCTTTCCCAGTGATAGCCATTTAGCATAGCAGCAATTGCTCTTCTTCTCCCTGGAGCATTGTTCCAGAAGCCTGAGAACTGCCTTCTGACCTCCACTGGGACTTGCACTTGTGCCCACTGATGGGGGGCCCACATGTAGGCTTTTCTGCCCCAGACCTCCCCAGCATTGCCTATACTCCCACCCCTGCCTGAGAGGCAGAGTATTGGACCAGGACTGCTGGGAGTTCCACAGCCCAGCACATTGCCTGGGACACTTGAGCACTTCTGGTTAAAAAAGGTCAAGCATAAACCCTACTACAATCTCCACAGCTGGCTCTCACCTGCAAGTGCTACCTACTAGCTGAAAGTTCAACCTGCACAGTTCATCTGCTGACACTACTGCACAGCACTCAAGAAAGAGACAAGCTTTGTGATACCTCTGTTCCATCATTGCCCACATCACTCTCACTTCTAAGGGGTCTTTGAGCCTGCTCACCCACCTGATACATTGCTACTACAATTGGAATTTGAGAAGGCTACCACATTAACGTTATTTATAGCCAAGGAAATCATACAGTGTCTACACCACTGAATGTACCCAGAAGCAAAGCCAAACAACCCTACTCAACATACATCATAGACACATCCTCAATAAAATGTCCCACCCCAAAGAAATTAAATTAATAAACAAGAAATGAATGTTAGCCCAGATGTGAAGAAATCAGTGTAATAATACTGGAAGTATGAAAAAAAAAACATGCTATCACACTCAAAAAAAAAAAAAAAAAAAAACACACACACACACAGTAGTTTTCTAGCAAGTAATCCTAACCAAAAAGAAATCTTGGAAATTCCAGAATAAAAAAAAATGCGAAATACTGATTTTAAAAAAGTTCAGTGAGATACAAGAGAAACCTGATAACCAATACAAATAAATCAGAGCAACTATTCAGCATAAGAATGAGAAATTTATCAATGAGATAGATATGTTTGTAAAACAAAACAAACAAACAGAACTTCTGGAAATAAAAAAAGGAGTTACAAAATACAATTCAAAGCTTCAACAATAGGCTATACCAAGCAGAAGAAAGAATCTCAGAACTTGGAAGATAGGTCTTTGAATTAATTCAGTCAGATGAAAATAAAGAAAAAAAGATTGAAACAGAATGAACAAAGCCTTTGAGAAGTATGGGATTACATAAAATGACAAAACTTATGACCCACAGGTATTCCTGAGGGAGAAGAAAAAGCAAAATATTTGTAAAACCTACTAAAGGAAATAATTGAGGAGAACAACCCTAGTCTAGCAACAGATATAGACATCCAGAAAGAAGTTCAGCAAACACAAGGAAAATACACTGCAAGAAGGATCTCACCATGACTTATAGTCATCAGACTCTCCAAAATCAACATTAAGAAAAAAAAAAAAAAACAATAAAATCAGCAAGAGAAAAGCATCTAGTCACCTATAAAGGAAACTCCATCAGATTAACAGTAGACTTCTTGGGAGAAATTTTACAAGCCAGAAGATATTGGAATTCTATTTTCAAAATGTTTAAATTAAACAAAAAACTGTCAATTACAAATTTTATATCCTTCTAGAATAAGCTTTATAAAGGAAGGAAATATAGCCTTTCCCAGATGAGCAAACACTGAGGAAACTGGGCACCTTCAGACTTGACTTACAAGAAATACTCAAAGCAGTTCTAAACATAGAAACAAATAGTTGATACTCACCATCATAAAAACACTCAAAAGTATAAAACTCAGAGATCTTATAAAGCAACCATGGAAAGGAAGAAGAGAAAAATATCAAATGGCAATATGACAGAATGTCACCAAACCGTAAAGACAAACAGATAAAGAAAAAAAAGCAAAGAATATGCAAGGAAACTAGAGTAGCTATATTTATATAAAACGAAACAGACTTTTAATCAATGACAGTAAAAAACAAAGACAAAGAAAGCCATTAGGTAATAATAAAGGGGTCAATTCAACAAAAATACATAACAATCTCTACATATAAGCATCAAACACCAGAGCACTTAGATTCATAAAACGAATATTACTAGATCTAAAGAAAGAATAGACAGCAATACAATAATAGTAGAGGACTTCAATACCATCTTACTTACAGCACTAAACAGATCATCAAGACAGAAAATCAACAAAGAAACACTGAACATAAATTGGCCTTTAGACCAAGTGGACCTAACAGGCATTTACAGAACATTCTACCCAACAACTGCAGAATATATATTCTTCTTATCAGCACATGGCACATTCTCCAATATAGACCATATGTTAGGCCACAAAACAAGTCTCAATAATTTTTTAAAATGAAAATTAAATGAATTATCTTCTCAGACTATAGCAGGATAAAACTAGAAATAAATTCCAGGAGGAACTCTTGAAACTATACAAATACACGGAAATTAAACAACATACTCCTGAGCAATCTTTGGGTCAACAATGAAATTAAGACCAAAATTTAAAATTTTTTTGAAATGAATGAAAATGGAAACACAACATACAAAAACCTCTGGGATACAGCAAAAGCAGTGCTAAAATGGAAGTTTATAATATTAAATGCCTACATCAAAAGTCTAGAAAGACCACAATTAACAACCTGATGTTGCACCTCAAGAACTAGAAAAACAAAAATAAACCAAGCACAAAGCTAGCAGAAGAAAAGAAAAACAAAGATCAGAGAAGAACTAAACAAAATTGAGAACAAAAGAACAATACAAAGAATCAACAAAATGAAAATTTTATTCTTTGAGAAGATAAACAAAATTGAGAGATCACTAGCTGAACTAACCAAGAAAAGAAGAGAGATGATGCAAACAAACATATTCAGAAGTGAAATAGGAGACATTACTGCTGATACGACAGAAATACAAAAGATCATCGAAGACTAATATAAATAACTATAAGCTCAGAAACTAGAACACCTAGAAGAAATGGATACATTCCTGGAAATATACAACCTTTCAAGATTGAACCAGGAAGAAAGAGAAATGCTGAACTGACCAATAACAAGTAGTGAGATTCAATCAGTAATAAAAAATCTCCTAATAAAAAAGCCCTGGACCAAATGAACTCACAGGTGACTTCTACCAAATGTACAAAGAAGAGCTAGTACCAATCCTTCTGAAGCTCTTCCAAAAAACAGAGCAGAAGGGAAACCCTTTAACACATTCTACAAATCCTGTATTACCTTGATAACAAAGTCAGACAAGGACACAAGAAAAGAAAACTGCAGACCAATATACCTGATGAATTTAGATGCAAAAATTATTAACAAAATACTAGCAAACCCAATCAAACAGCACATCAATTAAAAAAAAAACACAATCAAGTGGGTTTTATTCCAGGAGTATGAGGATGATTCAACATATACAAATCAATAAATGTGACTCACCACATAAACGGAATTAAAAACAAAACCATATAATTATCTCAACAGGTGCAGAACAAAAGAATTCAATAAAATTCAGCATCCCTTCATAATTTTAAAAAACAACCTTTAATAACCTAGGCATAGAAGGAACATACCTCAAAATAATAAAATCCATATATGACAAACCCACAGCCAACATCATACTAAACAGGAAAAAGTTGATAGCATTCACCCTAGGAACTGGAACAAGACAGGATGCCCATGTTCACCCCTACTATTCAACATAATACTGGAAGTCCTAGCCAGAGCAATCAGGCAAGGAATAGAAATTTAAAAAGAGAAAGTTAAATTATCTCTGTTCATTGGTGTTATAATCTTATGCCTAGAAGACCCTAAAAACTCCTTCAAAATATTCCTAGATTTGATAAATAAATTCAGCAAATTTTCAGGATACAAAATCAATGTACAAAAATTAGTAACATTTCTATAAACCAATAATGATCAAGCTGAGGACCAAATCAGGAAGTCAATCCCATTTACCATAGCTATTGTAAAGATACCTAGGAATGTATTTAACCAAGAAATTCAAAGATCTCTGCAAGGAAAACTACAAAACACAAATGAAAGAAACTGTAGAAAACACAAACAAATGGAAAAGCATCCCATGCTCATGGATCAGAAAAATCAATATTATTAAACTGACCATACAGTCCAAAGCAATCTACAAGGTCAATGTAATCCCCATCAAAATACCAACATCATTTTTCACAGAATTAGGAAAAACAATCCTGAAGTTTACACAGATCTCAAAAAGAGCCTGAATCACCAAAGCAATTCTAAGCAAAAAGAAAAAACTGGGAGCCATCACATTACCTGACTTAATTGTACTGCAAGGCTATACTAACCAAAATAGCATGGCACTAGTACTAACATAGACACATAAATCAATGGAAAAGAATAGAGAACCCAGAAATAAAACCACACACTTAAAGCCAACTGATCTTTGCAAAGTCAACAAAACATACACTGGGGAAGGGACAACCTAATCAATAAATGGAACTGGGAAATTTTTACTGCCATATGCAGAAGAATGGAACTGGACCCCTTATGTCCCATCATATACAAAAATTAACTCAAGATGGATTAAACACTTAAATGTAAGACTTGAAAATACAGGAATCCTAGAAGAAAACCTAGGAAAATTTTTTCTGGACTTTGCTAGGCAAAGAATTTATGACTAAGACCTCAGAAGCAAATATAACAAAAGCTAAAATAGACAGATGGGATTTAATTAAACTAAAAAGCAAAAGAAATAATCAACAGCATGAACAAACAACATGCAAAGTGGGAAAAATACTTGCAAACTATTCATATAACAAGGAACTAATCAGAACCTACAAGGTACTCAGTTCAACAACAGCAAAACACAAATAATTCCATTAAAAAGTGGGCAAAGAACATGAAAAGACATTTTTTAAAGAAGCCATACAAATGGCCAACAAGCATATGAAAAAATGCTCAACATCACTAATCATCAGAGAAATGCAAATTAAAACCACAATGAGATATTATCTTCTATCAGTCACAATGGCCATTATTAAAATGTCAAAAAATAACAGATGTTGGTGAGGATACAGAGAAAAGGGAACTCTTATACCCTGTTGATTGGGAATGGAAATTGGTACAACCTCTATGGAAAACAGTATGGAGAATTCTCAAATAACTAAAAATATAATTTTCATTCTATCCAGCAATTCCACTACTGGGTATATACCCAAAGGAAAAGAAATTATTATATCAAAAAGATACCTGCACTTAGATGTTTATCACAGCACTATTCACAATACAAAGATATGGAACCAACCTATGTCCATCAACACACGATCAGATGTGGTAGATACATACCATAGAATACTACTCAGCCATGAAAAAGAATGAAATTATGTCTTTTTCAGCTACATGCATGGAACAGGAGGTCATTATCTAAAGTGAAATAACTCAGAAACAGGAAGTCAAATACCTCATGTTCTCTCTTATAAGTGGGAGCTGAAAAATGTGCACACATAGGCATAGGGTATGGAATAATAGACATCGGAGACTCGAAATGGTGAGGGGGTGAAAGAAGAGTGAGGGATGCAAAATAACCTTAGGGGTACAATGTACACTATTTGGGTGATGGTTACACTACGAGCCCAGACTTCAGCACTATACAGTATATGCATGTAACAAAACTGCATTTGTACCCCTTACATTTATATCCAAAAAGTGAGTGAAATTTATTATTTTTCATAATGGGCAATTTTTTTTTATTATTATACTTTAAGTTTTAGGGTACATGTGCACAATGTGCAGCTTAGTTACATATGTATACATGTGCCATGCTGGTGCGCTGCACCCATTAACTCGTCATTTAGCATTATGTATATCTCCTAATGCTATCCCTCCCCCCTCCCCCCACCCCACAACAGTCCCCAGAGTGTGATGTTCCCCTTCCTGTGTCCATGTGTTCTCATTGTTCAATTCCCATCTATGAGTGAGAACATGCGGTGTTTGGTTTTTTGTCCTTGCGATAGTTTACTGAGAATGATGATTTCCAATTTCATCCATGTCCCTACAAAGGACATGAACTCATCATTTTTTATGGCTGCATAGTATTCCATGATAAAGGGGATATCACCACCAATCCCACAGAAATACAAACTACCATCAGAGAATAATATAAACACCTCTATGCCAATAAACTAGAAAATCTAGAAGAAATGGATAAATTCCTCGACACATACACTCTCCCAAGACTAAACCAGGAAGAAGTTGAATCTCTGAATAGACCAATAACAGGAGCTGAAATTGTGGCAATAATCAATAGCTTACCAACCAGTAAGAGTCCAGGACCAGATGGATTCACAGCCGAATTCTACCAGAGGTACAAGGAGGAACTGGTACCATTCCTTCTCAAACTATTCCAATCAATAGAAAAAGAGGGAATCCTCCCTAACTCATTTTATGAGGCCAGCATCATCCTGATACCAAAGCCTGGCAGAGACACAACAAAAAAAGAGAATTTTAGACCAATATCCCTGATGAACATCGATGCAAAAATCCTCAATAAAATACTGGCAAACCGAATCCAGCAGCACATCAAAAAGCTTATTCACCATGATCAAGTGGGCTTCATTCCTGGGATGCAAGGCTGGTTCAACATACGCAAATCAATAAATGTAATCCAGCATATAAACAGAACCAAAGACAAAAACCACATGATTGTCTCAATAGATGCAGAAAAGGCCTTTGACAAAATTCAACAACCCTTCATGCTAAAAACTCTCAATAAATTAGGTATTGATGGGACATATCTCAAAATAATAAGAGCTATCTATGACAAACTCACAGCCAATATCATACTGAAAGGGCAAAAACTGGAAGCATTCCTTTTGAAAACTGGCACAAGACAGGGATGCCCTCTCTCACCACTCCTATTCAACATAGTGTTGGAAGTTCTGGCCAGGGCAATTAGGCAGGAGAAGGAAATAAAGGGTATTCAATTAGGAAAAGAGGAAGTCAAATTGTCCCTGTTTGCAGACGACATGATTGAATGTTTAGAAAACCCCATTGTCTCAGCCCAAAATCTCCTTAAGCTGATAAGCAACTTTAGCAAAGTCTCAGGATACAAAATCAATGTACAAAAATCACAAGCATTCTTATACACCAATAATAGAAAAACAGAGAGCCAAATCATGGGTGAACTCCCATTCACAATTGCTTCAAAGAGAATAAAATACCTAGGAATCCAACTTACAAGGGATGTGAAGGACCTCCTCAAGGAGAACTACAAAATACTGCTCAATGAAATAAAAGAGGATACAAACAAATGGAAGAACATTCCATGCTCATGGGTAGGAAGAATCAATATTGTGAAAATGGCCATACTGCCCAAGGTAATTTATAGATTCAATGCCATCCGCATCAAGCTACCAATGCCTTTCTTCACAGAATTGGAAAAAACTACTTTAAAGTTCATATGGAACCAAAAAAGAGCCCGCATTGCCAAATCAATCCTAAGCCAAAAGAATAAAGCTGGAGGCATCACGCTACCTGACTTCAAACTATACTACAAGGCTACAGTAACCAAAACAGCATGGTACTGGTACCAAAACAGAGATATAGATCAATGGAACAGAACAGAGCCCTCAGAAATAACGCTGCGTATCTAGAACTATCTGATCTTTGACAAACCTGAGAAAAACAAGCAATGGGGAAAGGATTCCCTATTTAATAAATGGTGCTGGGAAAACTGGCTAGCCACGTGTAGAAAGCTGAAACTGGATCCCTTCCTTACACCTTATACAAAAATCAATTCAAGATGGATTAAAGACTTAAACATTAGACCTAAAACCATAAAAACCCTAGAAGAAAACCTAGGCATTACCATTGAGGACATAGGCATGGGCAAGGACTTCATGTCCAAAACACCAAAAGCAATGGCAACAAAAGACAAAATTGACAAATGGGATTTCATTAAACTAAAGAGCTTCTGCACAGCAAAAGAAACTACCATCAGAGTGAACAGGCAACCCAAAAAATGGGAGAAAATTTTCGCAACCTACTCATCTGACAAAGGGCTAATATCCAGAATCTACAATGAACTCAAACAAATTTACAAGAAAAAAACAAACAACCCCATCAAAAAGTGGGCAAAGGATATGAACAGACACTTCTCAAAAGAAGACATTTATGCAGTCAAAAGACACATGAAAAAATGCTCATCATCACTGGCCATCAGAGAAATGCAAATCAAAACCACAATGAGATACCATCTCACACCAGTTAGAATGGCAATCATTAAAAAGTCAGGAAACAACAGGTGCTGGAGAGGATGTGGAGAAATAGGAACACTTTTACACTGTTGGTGGGACTGTAAACTAGTTCAACCATTGTGGAAGTCAGTGTGGCGATTCCTCAGGGATCTAGAACTGGAAATACCATTTGACCCAGCCATCCCATTACTGGGTATATACCCAAAGGACTATAAATCATGCTGCTATAAAGACACATGCACGTGTATGTTTATTGAGGCACTATTCACAATAGCAAAGACTTGGAACCAACCCAAATGTCCAACAATGATAGACTTGATTAAGCAAATGTGCCACATATACACCATGGAATACTATGCAGCCATAAAAAATGATGAGTTCATGTCCTTTGTAGGGACATGGATGAAATTGGAAATCATCATTCTCAGTAAACTATCGCAAGGACAAAAAACCAAAGGAACGCAGTTCCTCACCAGCAACGGAACACAGCTGGACGGAGAATGACTTTGACGAATTGAGAGAAGAAGGCTTCAGATGATCAAACTACTCCGAGCTACTGGAGGAAACTCAAACCAAAGGCAAAGAAGTTGAAAACTTTGAAAAAAATTTAGACGACTGTATAACTAGAATAACCAATACAGAGAAGTGCTTAAAGGAGCTGACGGAGCTGAAAGCCAAGGCTGGAGAACTACGTGAAGAATGCAGAAGCCTCAGGAGCCGATGCGATCAACTGGAAGAAAGGGTATCAGTGATGGAAGATGGAATGAATGAAATGAAGTGAGAAGGGAAGTTTAGAGAAAAAAGAATAAAAAGAAACGAACAAAGCCTCCAAGAAATATGGGACTATGTGAAAAGACCAAATCTATGTCTGATTGATGTACCTGAAAGTGATGGGGAGAATGGAACCAAGTTGGAAAACACTCTGCAGGGTATTATCCAGGAGAACTTCCCCAACCTAGCAAGGCAGGCTAACATTCAGATTCAGGAAATACAGAGAACGCCACAAAGATACTCCTCGAGAAGAGCAACTCCAAGACACATAATTGTCAGATTCACCAAAGTTGAAATGAAGGAAAAAATGTTAAGGGCAGCCAGAGAGAAAGGTCGGGTTACCCACAAAGGGAAGCCCATCAGAGTAACAGCGGATCTCTCGGCAGAAACTCTACAAGCCAGAGGAGAGTGGGGGCCAGTATTCAACATTCTTAAAGAAAAGAATGGTCAGGGGTCAGGGACCCATTTGAGGAGGCAGTCTGCCCGTTCTCAGATCTCCAGCTGTGTGCTGGGAGAATCACTGCTCTCTTCAAAGCTGTCAGACAGGGACATTTAAGTCTGCAGAGGTTACTGCTGTCTTTTTGTTTGTCTGTGCCCTGCCCCCAGAGGTGGAGCCTACAGAGGCAGGCAGGCCTCCTTGAGCTGTGGTGGGTTCCACCAAGTTCCAGCTTCCCGGCTGCTTTGTTTACCTAAACGAGCCTGGGCAATGGCGGGCGCCCCTCCCCCAGCCTCGCTGCTGCCTTGCAGTTTGATTTCAGACTGCTGTGCTAGCAATCAGCGAGACTCCGTGGGCGTAGGACCCTCCGAGCCAGGTACAGGATACAATCTCCTGGTGCACTGTTTCCTAAGCCCCTCGGAAAAGCACAGTATTCGGGTAAGAGTGACCCGATTTTCCAGGTGCTGTCTGTCACCCCTTTCCTTGACCAGGAAAGGGAACTCCCTGACCCCTTGCGCTTCCCGAGTGAGGCAATGCCTCGCCCTGCTTTGGCTCATGCACGGTGCACTGCACCCACTGTCCTGCACCCACTGTCTGGCACTCCCTAGTGAGACGAACCTGGTACCTCAGATGGAAATGCAGAAATCACCCATCTTCTGCGTGGCTCAAGCTGGGAGCTGTAGACAGGAGCTGTTCCTATTCGGCCATCTTGGCTCCTCCCCCCCATCTTGGCTCCTCCCCAAATAGATGTAAAAATATTAGCATTATGAAATAAGAACTAAAAAAGTCTTTGAAATGTTACTAGCATTGAAGGTGGGGAAGAAAGCTTTTTTCATTTTATATCCTTTTATACTGTTTACATTTTTATTTCTTGGGTGTTTATTGCAATAAACATAAAAAATAGTGAAGTAAATACTAAATAAAGAGGTGGAAAGAGATTCTGTGGAAATATAAGCAAACCAAAAGCAGAAAGTAATACAGAATCCCAGGAAGAAAACAATTAGTAAAACAAAAGAGTACAGAAGATTCTACCCAAAGTGCTAATAATAGGTGATGGGATCATAGTATTTTTTACCTTTTCTTATCTGCATTTTCTAGTATTTATGCAGTAGTGACTGATTACCTATGTATTATTAGAAAAGAAAAAGAAATAAGAAAAAGTGAGAATAACATTATTTATTTCCACCAAGTTTCACAGTGAACACCCAGCATAGTAAATCTCTCTCCCCTAGGATATCCACCATGCTGACCACCTGGCCTCCTAGCCCTGCCAGGCCTGAAATTCCATCATTCTACAGCTCTGCACCTACCTGGGAATTATTCCCTCTGTCCTAGAGCTCACTCTACTGTTCCTACATTTCCTAATTCTGCCCCTTACATTTTTCTTCCCTATTTAACAGCATTAAAGACATAAACCTTCACAAGATCATAGGATTTCTTTTTTTTTTTTATAACTGGACTCATTTGGAGGGTGCTTACACACACACACACACACACACACACACACACAGCAGCAGCAGCAGCAGCAGGAAAATAATTAATGAAATCACAGCAAAGGAAATTTAAGATATGAGATGTGGTTGGAACCCAACACACACAAGTCCTGTACACTGTACTAAGATGAGCCAAAAATTGTGGATTTGAGCTTTCCAACACTCTCCCATCACCAGAAAAGGGGGAGAAATGCTCGATTAAAAGATTCAGAGAATCCATGAGTTAGGAAACAAACTTCATACTGATATGTGGCTGTTGGTGTTTAAGAGAACCACAGTCTTATCTGACAAGGCAAGCTGAAAGACGTTTCCTTTGGAAGCCCTGGGTCCAGGGTCGTTAAGAAGCAATGTGTTCCTTTGAGCTTGAGGCCCTTCTGTTCCTTCCCCCTGGACCTGAATGTCTCATTCCCTTAGGGCTCTCACTTCACAGTGCACTCCTGGTGCCAATTACAGTTTCATGACTGGCCTGGCCTAAAAAATATTCTATTAGGCTGGATGCGGTGGTTCATGTCTGCAATCCTACCACTTTGAGAGGCCAAGGTGGGAAGACTGTTTAAGCCCAAGAGTTCAAGACGAGCCTAGGCAATATAGAGAGACCCTGTCTCTAAAAAAATAAACATAAAAAATAAAAAACTTCTGCTAGTTTATCCTCCCCATCTGACAGACCAATCAGGAAATTGATACCCTAATAGCCTTCTAAGTTATTCCTACATAAACCCACCCTGCCCCTGAACAAGTGGCATTTGTAAAAGTTGAGTAGACATGAGGGAAATAAGAACAAAGAAATGTCAGAATGCTACCAAATTTATGCTTTTTAGCTGCACATTTAATTATGAAAACCTGCAAGTATTTTTAGAGAAGTACTGTATTTGGCAGACTTTTAAAGAAAATTTACAAAAGATTTATGTTTACCAAAAAAAGACAAATGATCACCTAAGTGCACCAGATATTTAAGCATTCAGTCTAGTCATCTTTAAGATATCAAGCACCTTTATGTCAACTTTAAAAAAGAAAAATCTTAATCAAGACAATAGAAACAATTCAATTGATTCCTAGAACATTTGCTCAAGGAATTATTTAAATACACCAAAAAGACTTCAAAAACCCGAAGAGTAATATATGTTTTCTGATAAATCCAGGCAACGTATGACAAAAGGAGCTTTTCCTGACAGTCCAGTACAACTGCAATTTCAGATCTAAAGGTTATGTCATCAAATCATCAAATACAATTTATTAACCGCCCCCAGGAGCAGGGCACACAGCAGCGCAGTGTCAACCAGTGACAGTGGTGCTCACGCTCATCAACACGAACGTGAACAACCTAATCTCTGCGTGTGGGAGAGAAACAATAAAATGGCAACAGTCTGCACAGAAATCGTTTAGCAAAATGGAAAAAAAAATGTCAATTCTTAGCCAAATAAAAAATTCAATTTAAGAAATTTAACCAGTTGCATTTAGAGAAATCTGCCTGCATGCTTGCCCCAACCCCTGAAAAATCATCCCTCTGTGTTCTATCTATTCAAGTATTTAGGTTACACATCTGTGATTTTCATATTTTTTTCTTTAAGAGTTGAGACTGATACCCTGTCATAGCTTGTCTAATTGCAGCTGTAACAATGTTGAAATCCTCAAAGGCATAAATGGTAAATATTTATCACTTAATTAATGGTAATATTTTAGGATGTTTATGACAACTCTCAAGATGATTGACAACATGATGGGGCTACTGCAAACCAGAATTTGGATTTCATGATATGGAGTAGTGGTAAGGATGAAGATCAGGTTGAAATTAATCCAGACCTTAAACTGAAGCTCAGTCTCACTTAGTTAACTCATCAGAAAATGCTGTCAATCAAGGCTTTTAGTAGGATATAATATGGCAGCCAACAGGCAAAGATGACCAATTTTAGGATATGCAATGTGGCAGCTTGTTTTTCCCAAGGATGGCCCCAATAGCTCCCATCCCACATGCTCTTGACCCTGCCATGCTGCATCAGGAGATGGAGTCTAATTGCCCTCTCCTTGAATTTGTGCTGTCTTGATGACCTACTTGTTAATGACTGAATAAAATGAAAGTGTTGCTGCTTGAGTTTCGAGACAAAGTCAGTAAAGGCCATGAAGCCTCTACCTGGTTCTCATGCAACATTCACTCCAGGGGAAGTCAACTGCCATGTAATAAGTTTAATAATTCTGAGACCACTATGGTAAAGAGGCCACAGATAATTGCTCCTTTAGGTAGTCCCAGCTGATCCCAGCTTTCATCCATCCTTCCAAGACATCAGACACGTCAGTGGTCTTGGACTCTTCAGAATAACTATCCAGCAGCTGAACCACAGAATGACCTCATCTCATGCTACAGGGAGCCAGAGAGTCACCCAGCCAAGCCCTGCCTGCCTATCAGACCCACCAAAGGAGATATAATAAAAACAGTTATTGTTTTAAGCCACTAAATTTTTGGTAGAGTTTTCCACAGCAGTAGATAACCAGGACATGGAGGCAAAATATTACCAGCCACAGCAGGAAGCATCTGGAGACCCATCCACAGCCATGGCCATGCTCTCTCTGCAAAATCTCCATGAGATTCCACACAGGCCAGGCTCTGGTCATGTGGGGCAACTTCACTCTCCGTGAAAGTGTTTATTTGAATGCCAAGAGACCCTAGTGCATTTAGGTACTTTTTTCACATCATTAACCATTTGACAGGGATGCTCAGAGTGCAGAGGATACTAACAGATTAAAAGCTTCTACCCACAGAGGAGGAATCAGAAATTAAAATAAGACATTTCTGAAATTGTCATGTGAGTTGGTGAGTAAACCCATCTTGTTCTACGTGAAACTTAAAAAATATTTTCACGGATTAAATGAGAAGAACTAAAAACAGTTGTTAACTCTATGTTCTCTGAATGCTGATTTATATTCAGAATATATTTCCCAAAATGTTCTAAGCATGAGTCCCAATAACGCTTATCTAATCTATAAGCCCCATAGGCCAGGGCTATGAGCTAAGGAAAGAGAAGGATTAAAAAAAAAAAATCTATCTCTTCTTTGGGAGCTGGGCCAGTGCTAGAAGAAATTTAAGAATATGTAGTTTTGGGCCGGGCGCGGTGGCTCACGCCTGTAATCCCAGCACTTTGGGAGGCCGAGGCGGGTGGATCATGAGGTCAGGAGATCAAGACCATCCTGGCTAACATGGTGAAACCCCATCTCTACTAAAAATACAAAAAATCAGCCGGGCGTGGTGGTGGGCGCCTGTAGTCCCAGCTACTCTGGAGGCTGAGGCAGCAGAATGGTGTGAACCCGGGAGGCAGAGCTTGCAGTGAGCCGAGATCGCGCCACTGCACTCCAGCCTGGGCGACAGAGCAAGACTCCATCTCAAAAAAAAAAAAAGAATATGTAGTTTTGTCTTTGGCCCTCTGGTACTTTCTCCTAGTTCCTGGAACCCTAAGGTCACTCCCTAGCAGTGGAATTACTTCAAGCCTACCCTCAACTCCAGCACCTTCCACCCCGGTAGGGCATGTTCTAAAATTACTTATCAAATTTCTTCCCCCAACCCCCAGGGAATAAATTCTTACTAAGATAAATGGTTGATTGCCTCCTTCTGCCTTTATTTACATTACTGGGATTTCCGGCTGCTTGGTGAAGTGAAGAGAAAATGATCAGGGGACCAGCCAGCAGACAGAACAGCTCTCCCATGAGCGTCTTCTGGTTTTTCACAGCGCCGTTTTCCCTCCCCTTCTGAACCTGTGGATTATTTCTAGCTCCATGGTGGTGACTACAATAAGGAAGTCAGTGATGGAGATAAGGGTTAGCCTAAGGGTAAACTCACCTAAGTTTGGGTAGTTTGCAAATGGAAAACTTCACATGTAATCTTCATCCAAAAGGTGAAGTCAACAGAGGATAGTTCCAAAACCATGCAATGTTTAACAACTGGTGCTCTGAAGAACAAGCCCTGAGTTGTTGCATTTGGCAATTTCCATGGTGTAAATGCTCCCACCACGACTGATTTTAAGATACCAATGTGCCATCACCAAAAAATGGACTTAGGTAACGATGTACATAATCACATCTCCTCAACCAGGAAGAGCCAGCTTCAGCCATCATAGCGGCATCTATGACAATCATGTCTTACTCCCAAGCCCAAGCAGATAAGATAAACTGGAGATGGGTTTCTACCAGGAAGCTATTTTTGAGAAGAAATTGTTCATCAAAGTCTAAAAGATACAGATCAACTTTTGTCCATGCACAGCACTGCTCACTTCCCTGCCCCTAAAGTCCTTCTCTTTTCACACCTGGAACCACTTGGTTTTAAACAGATTGCTTAAGTGCCAGTGTCCACAGGGGGCTCCTTTCTGGTAATCATGTTCCTGGTTTGCTTTGTGTGTCCAAGTCCCTGTCTCCACAACTTGTCCATCCTCCAAGTGACTCTTGGTCCCTCGCCTCTGTCCCTAGAGACTGGTGCCCTGACTCAAGCCATTCCCTACGGCCAGAGCCCTGCTCCTTGTTGACTGGTATCCCCAAGGCTGATCCAGGCTGTGCTGTTTGGAGAAGGAAAAGGACTTCAACAAGTCTTGAGTGCCATGTTGTTTCAGGCATCCAGCCAGTGTGGGAAATGGATTCTCTCTGCCTTATAGGTGAAGACCCTGAGGTCTACATGCACTCCCGACATTGTACAACTTTACAAGGGCAGAGCCAAATTTCAAACCAGATTGGTTGAAACCAAAGACCAGCTGTCTGATCTTAATACTCCCCCCAACCCCATTATACTGTTTGTATTTCCCAGGAACCTAGAGTCCAGAAGAGATGATCTAAGGATTCCACAAATATTGTATGCAACTTTTCTTTTAATATATTTTAATCATTTATGTAGAAATTTACAAATTAAAGCAATATGTAAAGTCGATGTATTTTATATCAAATATGGGTAACCCATGTTGACAGGTTAGCTCATGCGTCTGCTTCAAAATAAAGCTTCCTTATTATTTTATGAATATGTAGATTTTAAAATAAAGTTTCCTCATCTCATTGATGTATTTACACTTGTCATGTATAAAATTGTGCATACGAACAGAAGTGGGGCAAAATTATTACACCACGGCAAGTGCCAGGATTTTTTGTTTATTCATCTTACCAAAGTTGGATGTATGCTTCAGGAAGGCAGAGACTTTGTTCTGCTTATTGCTACATCCGAGGTGCCCAACTCAGTGCCTGGTATAGAAGGTGCTCAATGAATTTTTTCAAATGAATAGATGAGCAAATAAATGAATGAAAAGTGAAAATTAATTTGACTGTTTTGAAATTTTGAGTGGCTGTATGGCAGAGACAGGTACTAGAATATATGAGAGTTTTTAATGATATTGTTAAACATCTCATAATGTTACAACATAAATTTGGAAAGTGTTTTCTACCATACAGTTGTGATTTTAAACTAAAGAACCCATTCATCAATTTCCTCCAGCTTGTACACTTACCAGTTAAGGAATGCAGGCCATTCTGAGAGACTGAGAGTAACTCAACTCTGGAACAAAACTATCTTACCACTTCTCTTTCAAATCTCTGGAGTAGTTTAATGGAAGAGGATACTGAGCTCATGAGACAAGCTTTCGGGAATTAATATGTACAACTATCTAGCTGTGTGAATCGGGACTTTTTCAATATCATGCAGCCTAACAAAATGCAGGCATAAATAGAATACTGAGACTGAACTGAGACTGCCAATATTACCCAAAAAAAAACTGATCTCAAAGTCTGTATTCATCTAAACAGCCTCATTTTTCTTACTATCTGGTTACCAATGAGTGAATATCATACATTTAAACTTATAAAATCAATTCATTCCAATCAAACCTTACCTGTTTTACAAGCCAAGGTTCTTTTGTCATTTGAGAGAAATAAAGAATTTCACTGATAAAAAAATTTAAAATTGGAAAACAATGGCCCTACACCATAGTGTTTCCATTCTCCTGAACCGCAGCAATTGCCTGCTCTAGGATGCTCTTTCATGGTGTTTGGAGGTCAACCCCATCTGCTGAAACCACCCACAGCACCTCACTCATGTGCAGCTTCGTAGGTGAGATGAGTCCTCAGCCCTTTTCTGTGGACCCTAACCCATGGTGGTCAGGGCAGCCAGGAGAGCACAGGCTTGCAGCAAGGGCCTTGGGTTTACTCCATCTCCGCCACTTACCAGTTGTGGACAAGCAACTAACTTCTCAAACATCGGTTTCTTCACCTGGTGAAATAATCACGTTAACCACTTCATAGGGTTGTTGTCAGGATTAAACAGATAATTTGGGCAAAGCATTTGTAACAGAACAGATATTATCATGATGATTATTTCTATTTTTATTATCATTATATTTTAGCTCTTAGGCTTAATCCACATACATAAGGCACCTTGCTTTATGCCTGTTTGATAAATGTGTTCAGAAATATCTAGGAAAATATTAATTAATTATAGCTAAACAGAAAAGCATAAAGGATTATATAATGGATTGCAGTATTGCCGAGTTTTGTCATTTCACGTTTGATTAGTACAATGTTTCAGAAGGATGCTATCCAGCCTCAGTGTTCCAAGTGGCAAGAAAGGGCCCAATCATGCAAACCATTATCACTGATGTACATTTGATCTCCACCATCATTCCTCACTGCTTATCTGTGGATTGTTTCAAAGTAGTAAAGCAAAAAAAAAAAAAAACAACAAAAAATCCAAATGTTCCTAACTTTAAAATGTATTCATGCACATCCAGATCCTGAGACAGGAAGGAGCTTGAGAAGTCACAGTGTCCACAACCCTGCCCCTGGGAAGGGCACTCGAAAGGTTTTTATGAGCTTCCCAGGGAAGGGAAGCTACTGAGGGGAGCCCCTGAGCTAGAGGTAGGAGGAGGCTGAACCAGGTGGTGCCCTGTGGCAGCTTCCCAGGACATGGCACTCTATGATCCAGACCCAAGAAACTGGAAGTGGGGGACCTCCCTGCCAGAGCCAGGCTCACTCCTTCCTGCCACCTACTGCTGAGCTTGAACTGGGATGTGGCAGAATTGGATGCATCTACGCCACTTCCCCTGTGCAGCCCCTGCACCAAAGCACATGTGGTGAGCTGGGACAGGATACCACAGAAAGCCAAAGCCATTTCTTTTTTGTTTTTTTTAGACAGAGTTTTGCTCTTGTTGCTCAAGCTGGAGTGCCATGGCGTGATCTCAGCTCACTGCAACCTCCGCCTCACAGGTTCAAGCAATTCTCCTGCCTCAGCCTCCTGAGTAGCTGGGATTACAAGCATGTGCCACCACGCCTGGCTAATATTTTGTATTTTTAGTAGAAACGGGGTTTCACCATGTTAGCCAAGCTGGTCACGAACTCCTGACCTCAGGTGATCTGCCCCACTCGGCCTCCTAGCCATCCCTTTTAAAAGAACCTCTCTAGCTTCTTCAAGTCAGACTCCTACTCTGACCCTTCTCAGATCCCTACCATCTGCCAGTACCCTGACCCAACCTTGTTGCCAACAAAATCACTGCCTCACAGAGGAAAAGAAAGCTAAGAAAGGAGGCTGAGGGGCCTTTAAAAACCACTTGACCCCTCTCACTGGATAGTGACAGCCCCTGGGTCTGGGATACTCATTCACATGCCCAGCCATCACCTACTGAGTGCCTGCTATGCTCAGGTGCTGTGCTAGACATCAGGCATTTGAACGCGGAGAAAGCAGAGCACCTGAGTCAACTTGCTCATGGTATAGGGAGTGACACAGCGTGCAGAGTAAGAGGGAAACATGAGGGCTGTCAAGGGCACCTCACTCAGACCAGGAGTTTCACAAGCTGGGGCTCCTCGGAAAGCAGACTGATGTGGAGTCAGCAGGCAGGGTTTATTAAAGAGTGTCTTTGGGACTGACCTCTGTAGAAGGAAGGGGACAGAAGCAGGGTTGGGCAGAGGGAGGATTTGATCCATGATCAGACCCAACAAAAGTCTTGGGCAACAACATGGAGGCCTCTGAAGCTAAAACAGCCCAATGCAGTTTTAGGTCTTTCTACTGTTGCATCAACCCATCATTGAATTGAGCCATACTAATAACAGGCATGAGCTTGAGCAGGGTGGCTTTCTGCAGATGAGGCAATTCCTGAGGGGGCTGACAGCAGAGTGCTACTACTGACCACAAACCCCACAGCTGGGGCCACACATCCTTTGATAAAGGGGGGATCTGGATGGCATCAGGCAGTGTCCACCACAGGAGCCAAGAAAGGTCTAAGAGGAGGTGATTCCTGACATGAGTCTTAAAGGAGAAGCAGGAGTGAGCCAGGTGAGGAGCAGGGATGGAGGCTCCTGGAAAAGGACACCTGAAGGATAAAGCAGCAGGCTGTTTGGTCCCCACCATGTGTCATCAAAATGGGCGTGAGCTCAATGCCAGACACAAACTGGTTTAGAATTAGCTGTCCCCTTTAACTACAGCTAAACAAGCTACTTTTCCATTCCACCCACTCTTCCAAACACCATTTTATGAGCCATTCACAGTTCTACATGCTGAGAATAGTAGATGAACTTCTGGGCCTGCCTTGACCCCAAAGAAGAGGCTCCCAGGCTGGGATGGAACTTCAGATGGTGGGAAGACAGAGCCAGAGATGTGAGTAGGGCACAAGGGCAGCAAGACAGGGCTGGAGCTGCTTGGAAAAAGTGGCCCCAGAATCCCATTGTGTTGCTTATGGGACAGAGTCCCTTTTCTGGAGAGTGAATCTTGACAAAGGGCCAGCAGCCTTTTGGATCAAGCTCCCGTGGGGAAGTGTCAACCTGCCAGAAACCCTGTTTCTCAGGCCACACCAGCCTGAGTAGGAAGTGAGCCTCACAATTCTGCACTCAGGAGTGCCGCCACCACTTTTCCCCAATTCTAGTTCCTCCCATGTCTACCAAACATTCTCCAAATCTCTCTAGGAAGTCCTGGGGTGATGCATGGGTGCTGCACTCTAGACATCTTGAGACATGCCCTCCTCCTCCTCCTCCATCCTCTTCTCCTCTTCTTTGTTCTCCAATGCTTGTGCTGCTGTTCATAGATATCCCCTCTCAGTGTCTGCTGATGCCAGAACAGAGGAATCCGATGTTAGGTCACTCTCAGCGAAGGCCAGTGTCCACAGTGAAGGCTCTACACAGTCCCTCCTTGCTCAAAGTTGCTCACCCCCACGTCACTGAAGCTTCAGCTCTCAGGACCGTGTGCCATAGTGGGGAAACAGTCATATTTAAGAGACTGTAGGATCCAGTCAAAACCACCTCTCCCTATTGCCCTGGTTTTTTATGTTGACAACAAAATCACGTGCCTCCATGTTCTCTTGCTTTTCCTGGGAGATAGCTTGGTACCTTGTGAAAAAAGGTCCCTGAGGACAAATCCCTGGGGTAGCGCAGCTTCTCTCAAACTGGACCCAAGTTTTGTAAGGAAAAATAATAATAATTTTCCAGCCACTAGATAAGCTCCCACAGCCCAATATCCCAGGATGAGAAGCATTACCAAGTGTAAAATGAGGAAACCCGGGTCAGCATTGCCCCAAGGGTGTTCTGGTGATGGTAGAAAAATGGAGGTAAAATATTCGAAAAATATTTGAAAAATAAAAGATATGCCAAGTTAAACAGATTCATTTCCTATTGGACTTCTCAGAACCTTTGGCATTCCAACACACAGCGTGAATCTCCAGGAGGGGTATGTAGACACACCAGCACCCATGCTCCTGTGTATACAGGCTCCTTGGCTCTAGATCATCTCTGGGGCCCACTGCTCTGCAGAACACATTTTAGGTCTCCAGTCAAATGCCCCAATTGCAGAGATCATTCTGTGTCATTTCATGGATTGGAGAATGATGAGCAAGAAACAGGACAGCTGCCTGGGTGGGGCTGCCACTCAGGCCAAGGCACAAGTCATCCAAGGAAGCCAGGTGCCCCAGCTGAGGCCTTGGCTACCCAATAGCTGGGATCCCAGCTCTGCTCCCTACTCTTGCTCTGCTGCTGCCTCAGAGGCAGGGCTTCCCCAGGAACATTCCTGAACTAGCCAGGATTTTTTCAAGTGAAAAGGACAGAACCTCTACTCAAGCTGGTTCAACAAAAAAGTCAAGGTAAAGCTTTTATTGGCTCATGTAACTAAAAAGTCCAGAGATAAGCCTAGCCTCAAGAGAAGCTTGGTCCAGAGCTTTGCTCTCTTTCCATCCCTCAATTTGCTTTCCCCAGTGTTAGCTGCATTCTTATGCACACTTTTTCTTTGCAGTGGCTTTTAGAAGCTTCAGGCTTATATTCTGCTGTCTTAACAATTCCCATTAGTAAATATAAAGCTTCTACTGTCCCATATTTCCTGTGAAATGCTAGATTTGCACCTCAGTGACTTGGATGGTGTTACATACCCAACGTTGAGCCAATAGCTGTGGCCATGGACATGAATTGTCTAGGCCTTTGACATGTGCTGGAGAAGACATGCACTGGCCTGGCAGTGGGGAAAGAAATGGTTCCCCAAAGGAAAACCAAGGAACAGCTTCAGGATGGGAAAATGGATGCTGTACGTACAGCAACATCCCACTACAATACCATTTGCTGACACAGCTTATAGGGCCTGTGCTGGACTTTGCCCTCACTCTGTAGCCTAGAAGAAGTAGCAGCAGAGGCCCTACATGAGACACTTCCTCTCTCCTACAGGTCCAGCATGACTAGTTCCCCATGTCCTAGGTCTCCCACTGCCAAGATGGCCACTTGTCCTGCTGCACTGAAAAAATGCCCTAGGTGAAGATGAGCAGGAACTCTCTGCATAATAACCACATGGATCCTTCTAGCACCTGGATGAGCAATTTGCTCTCAAATATTCATGGAATGAATTTGAAATTTGGGAAATGGGAGGGAGCCTGGAGGAGGAAGATAAATAAATACAACTAAAACCTAAAACCCTGTGCTAGTCATCAATTTCAACTTCCTCTGCAATCAATCCTCTCTGACAAGGAGGAAATCCAGCTGACTGGTGTTTCACAGATTCAGATGATGCAGAGCTGAAAGGGGACCTCAGAAACTTCTAGCCCAACCTTCCACTAGGCACAAGGAATCCCTCATGTGAGCTCCCTGATGGGGGCTTGAATACCTCCAGTGACACCTCTGTCACCATCAAACAAAGCGACAGATTTCATAGCTAGGTAGCCTATCTTGAGCTAAAATCCACCTACCAGAAACTTTCAGCCACTGATCCTGGTTGTACCTCCAGGCACCATCAGCATGATCTGAGCCACCAGATCATGGCTTGTACTACTGCACCCCACCCAATTCCCATCTGAGGCAGGTGCCGCAAGTACAGATAGTGGCAGCCAAGCAGACACTTGTGAATGGCATCAGGCTTTATGGCCACAGCAATGGGCCCTCCTGAATGACTGATCATAGGCCAGAACCTGAAACAGACTTTTGGCTTTTCCTCACCTTCTATTCACTATTCACCGTTTGAATCTTAATTGGCCCCTTGGAATCTGATTTTACTCTGTCTCTCCAACTTAACATCAGCTGCTGTTGACCTCATTCTGGCATCACTGGACCTGATCCTGCCTTATTTTGCAGCTACAGAGGCTCTGGGCAGCTCATGATCTTTCTCTGCTGCAGTGCTCCAGTGCTGACTATCTGACTTCTCTGCTGTCTGACTGCAGGGCTATCCTTGGCCCATTGATGCTCTGTGTGAATCCAAAGTCTCCTGTTCTTCTGGACAGACACAACCATGCCAGAACATATGGCTCAGTGGGTGGAAAGTGAGCTCTACCTTAGTCCTCCCATGCCTTTTCCTTGGGCAGTGAACAACCTGCATAACTGTAAGCAGCAGCCCTGACTGCCATCTCCCTAATAGGTACTGACAATCCAGAGGCCTACTTGACACTAGCTTTCTCTGCAGGACCTCCTGGAATCCAAGGCTGGCCTCTCCACTGCCTTCTTTACTCCAATTTACTATCTGAGCTGCCCCAGACCATGGGGGTCCTGAGAGCTGGAATCATATTGTAATCCTCACTGTGCTCAACAGATGTTTACATGATGAACATGAGTGACAAAAAGGACAAAAGAAGCCAGCTTTCCACACCCTGGATGGCAGACCCTTGAATGAGTGAGGCTTTGCTTTATTGAATTCAGCCTGGCCTCTCTACCAAGCATTCCTTCACTCATGTGTTCCATCAAAACTCACTATTTATGGGCTCCCTGTCCAGCACTCTCTGCTCCTTCCTTGATGGACGTTCAATCAGTCAGGGCTGTGAGGGGAGAAGAGAAGCAGAAGAGGATGGAGAAGACACTCTCCTTTGCAGCTTTCCCCTTTCTCCTACTGACCAGAGGCAGCCTTATGGCCTTGACCCCAGCAGACACAGCTCCCAGCCTCTGCCAGGGTTACTCAAGTAAGAATGAATAGCCACTCTGCAGGGAACTGATGAGCGCCCACAGAGAGCCCTGAGAGGTGAGCAGGCATTGCAGCGCTGTGATGTGGGTCAGACACACCTCTCTGCCCACCCTGCTGACGGCCCCTCCTCCCGCCCTCTTCACCTCCTCTTGCCGGCAGGCCCATGGAGGCAGATTGTCTGTCCTGGCCTGAGAATGTACCTGGCAGGGCTGGCCGCGGAAGACCCAGTCATGCGGGGCTGGAGTCTGCTTTCCTGTGAACGTCACTGTCTGCGTGCAGAATTACACTGCTGAGGAGCAAGCAGAATGGATGATGGAGGCTGACAGGCCACGAGACCCCAGAGCAATTTCACCTGGTTTTGATTCATGGCTTGTCAGAGCGCTAACCAAATATTCCATTTTCATTTTCGCCCTCCACTCTCTCCCATTGACTGGCATCATAATTGAAAACTCCAGCATGAAGAGCTGGGACCACCTGTCTGCAGGGCCCTCAATTCCGTCTGCTCCGAATGTCTTGCTCCTCAAAGAGGAGGGCAGAGGGGAAAATCAGCAAACAGATGGTGTGAGGATTAGATTCATGTGGACCAGCCTCGGCTGACTCTCAGCTGTCTCATCTTGAGCAACCTTGGCCTCTCCCACCCTCCGCTCTGCCTTTTGAGCTTATTTCTATTTGTTTGCTCAACTATAAAAAAGGATGTAGGGCCAGAAAGATAAGCTGAGTTTGAAATCACTCTTTTCACTCTCTATTTGAAGGTCTGCTGAGAGTTGAAGCTGGCAAGAGGAGAGTTTTAGAAGATGGAGTCAATCAAACTTGGGAAATTTTTAAAATTTCTGTTTCTGAAATAAATCTCTCAAAGGCTGGCACCAATCATAATAACACCTAACACTTATTGAGCACCTACAACTTGCCAGGTGCTGCTCTAAGGATTTTAAATAAATTAGCTCATTGTATCTTGGCAAGAAAACTATATGCAAGGTTCTATTTTTATCCCCATTGCACAGATGGGGACACTGAGATCAAGAGATGCTGAAGAACTTGCTCAAAGTCAAACAGTGAAGAACTATTCAGGAGGGATTTCAAGTCTTAACGCCTATGCCATGCTTCCCAGCACTCAAAGGAGCAAGATCTAAAATAGACGGGCATATGACCTACAAATGATAGATAAATATTTATTTTAAATGGAAGTGAATACAGGAGTCTTAGTACAGAAAATGGCGCACGAATTTCAGCAGTCCCTGACTGTTGGAGGAAAAATGGTTCAGCTGCCCCAGTTCTGGGGTCCAGTTGGAAAGGGTAGGGAAGGAACAGAAAGAATTAAAAGGATCTGAGCCAGCATAGGTAGAAATGTGATGTATTTGTAGAAGCAGGAGCTGTCAATACCTCTGAGCTCCACTGGACATTGTGCTGTGACCTCAGCAGGTCAGCTGCCTGACAAGGGAATTAAGCTGAGGCTGGGAAGGCCTGGGATGGATAACTGAGCAGACTGGGTGCCTGTGGACCCACACCTGGTCAAGTCAGAATGCCATTCAATGGGGTGCTGTGGCTGGGGTGGGAGTGGATGACTGCCAGGAAGAATGAAAATTAGAGGCAGGGACTCAGCCATAGGGACCCATCCACATGGCTGGGAATAGGAGGGTACAAGATACCATACCTGGTGCAACAAAAGTTACTGAAGACCGTGCCGGTGATTGAGTTCCTCAAGTGCCTCAGGATGGGACCTCAAATCTATACTTTTATCAGGTACCCCAAATAATTCTGGTCATCAGCCAGGCATGGAAACTATATAGCAGTAGAAAAATGAAGGTCTGAAAGTGTCACATTTTCCCGTTTGCCCGTCCCCAGCTTGCCTGCCTGGGCCATGCTTCCTCCATTAGCCTATACAGGCTGCCTCCCACTCCCTGGGTTCAGGGCTGTTAGTAATTGTTTAGCCCTGAACCCTGAATCCAGCAAGTTTTAAATTTAAAACTTCACTAGCTTTCTGCCACAGTTCTACAACCTGACATCCAGTCTTCCCCAGCTCTTAGAGCCTCATGACACATGACTGAGCCCCACCTATTCCTGCTGCCTGCCCCTACCACCGCCTAGATGCTGCAAGCTGATACAGATGCGATGTCCTGCTGGCTCAAAGACAGAAAAGGAGGATTTCCTTCGCCTGTCATGTTGGCCTTGCCCCAGGTTGTACTAGTTCCCTATTGCAGTTCTAACAAATTCCCACAAACATCATGGCTTTGGAGGTCAGAAGTCTGAACCAGGTGGCACTGGATGAAAATCATGGTGTCGGCAGGGAGTTTTCCTTCAGCCTTTTCCAGCTTCTCAAGGCACCCGCATTCCTTGACTTGTGGCCCCGCATTGCTCTGGCCTCCACTTATGTTGTCATATCAGCTCTCACTCTGGCCCTCCTTCCTCCCTCTTATCATGACCCTTGAGATTACATTCAGCCTACCCAGATAATCCAGGATAATCTCCCCATCTCAAGATCCCTAATTTAATCACAGCTGCAAAGTCCCTGTTGCCATGTAAGATAACATATGCACAGATTCTGGAGATTAAGATGTGGATGTCTTTGGGGGAATATTATGTTGCCTACCACAAAGTTAATAATGCACATGCTCACTTTTGCTCCTGTGCTGGCAAGGGATGTAAAAGCAGGGAATGTGAGGACTGGGCACACAAACTCAGGCATTTGGAAGGTGGAGGAAAGGCCACCTTGCCCAACAGTGAAGATGACCAGGCTGCTCCTGGACTGAGTGAGGTGAGTGGAGACAACAGCAGAGGACCCTAGTGTGTTTGGGGGTGGGTGTCACTGTGTGTGCACGTGTGTATACATGTGTTGGGGAAGGGATTATGTGAGGTACTGAAAGCAATGCTGAAAACACCCCCTCACCCCCCAAGAGAGAACAAGAAGATGGTACCTGGCACCCTTCTTGTTTAAAATGGCATAATAAAAACATGCATCTCAGACTCCCAGACTTCATTGCTGAATTAATTTCTCCATGGAAGCCCAAGAATTCAGGAAATTCAGCCTTCCTCATTTCAGAAACAGAGGTCTGAAGAAAACAAATTGCTGTTTGTAGTCGCAGGCTTGACTGCTGTTAACTGCCTCTGAGAGGCTGGGCAGCGGTCGGCTGTCAGTCCCCCAGCAGCCTGACACAGGGCCTCTGAATATGGATTCACTGATGAGAATCGAAACGCTTGGAGCCTTTTGTAACAAGCTCTTCTGCTCCCTGTGTGAAAACACTCTTCCTTAACTCCTCCTCTTGAGCACACCGGGGTGGGAAAGCCCCTGCAGAGGCACTCTGGGCCTGGCTGCATCTGGCCGGCCCCCATAAATCACGGCTGCACAATAAAGATGCTCCATGGAGGCCATTAGAGGCCTGGGGAGCAACGGCGCAGGAATGGATGCCCGGCAAACAGGAGGGGAGCAGGAAGCCTCCCAGAGAAGGGAGCTGCCCTGTCAGCTCAGGAGGATCCCTGGGAAGGGGGACAGGGCCACCATGTGGCACAACTCCAAGAGGCACCACTGACATTGACAGGGCCCTGGAGGAGGAACGGGAGTGGTTTCTGCAAAGCCGACACAACACAGCTCTTCTTCCAGAGGTGTCCAGCCAGGCTCCAGAGCAGTCCTTGTGCCCAGACCACTCACTCTGGGAGGGGCGTCGCAGGCGTCTCTGGGTCCAGGAGGCTCTTGGTTAACCCCTGCACTTCTAGAGTAAGGATGAAGCCCCCTCCCAGGAATTTCAATAGTTCTTCAGATAAAACATCTGAATAATCCAGCTGAGGGCTCAAACTCATTTGCGAGCTTGCAAGATGGAGGGGTACATTTTTCATTCTCTTTTAAATGAAGTCAAATTTATATTTTATTTCTGAGGAGTTTTGTTTATTTTCCTAGCTATGACTTTAGATTTTTTTCCTCCATGTACCTCCTATTTTGCTATCAATTTTATTTCTTAAATATTCCTCCCCTGTCCTCTTCTTTTCCCTCCCTCATATTCCATAATTTCTTTTCAACTCTGGAAAATATCTCCTCTCCTGAGAGATTTCCTTTTCCTATTTCCAAACCATCCCCTAAATACATGTTTTAATAAGCTCCCAACACTGATCTCCTTACAAATCATTCTTTGCCAGTTTGCAATTGAACCAATGTCTTGGTTAAAATGAAAATTCCCCAGGGCACACAATAAATAATAAAAAAGAATAACATAATCGAGAGGGTTATTATTCTGAGCAGAAAAAAATAATGTGAAGCAGTTGGACTGTACTTTGTGAATCTTATGCTCAAAATGCAAACATGAGAGAAGGTGGTGGGCAGGAGCCTCGCTCTGCAAGCCCTCGCCCTTCTGGGAACTCTACGCAGCAGCATATGTTGAGGGGACTGATCTTGGGAAATGAAACATCTTTTCTCACAAAGACCTGCCTTTTGCAAGATGTTGGGAGTCACTCTTGGAGAAGGAAGCCACCAATATGAAATAAGACTCATGCAACGTTAACAAATATTTAGCACCAGGCACTGCACCACACACTGGGACTACAAGGAGGACAGACACAGCATTGTGGCACTTGCCGGTCTCATGGGTGAGAATTAAGGGGAAGCAGACTTTCATGGTGACACAGGCATGATTTAGAGTTAGAGACACAGGATTTCAGCCCTGGCTCTGTCTATGAGACTTTGAACAAATTGCCTATCCTTTCCATGTCTCAGTTTCCTCATCTGTAAAATGGGCATAGTAAGACGATCTACTATTGTTGTGAGGATGAAATGAAATCATTCCTATGAACACCTGAGTGTAGTCCATGTCACAGAGTGGGGACTCACCAAATGATAAACCCAATGTAAGTATCAATAGTCTAAATAACTAAAAACTGAAGCCCTCTGGACCCCAAGGACAAGACTCAGGGACTTCAGGCAGGGTTAAAGTGACGGAACACAGGACAATACATAGGGTCCCAGATGCCTGGCTAGAGCAGGACCAAAGAACCCCCAACATGAAGTCTAACCCAGGGCTCCATCCCTCTAGGCTAAAAGGCTTTTCTGCAGCATTGCAGAAAAAAGCCTCCCTTCTCCGCCTGCTCCCTCCCTCTCTTTCTCTCTCCTCTCTTTCTTCCAATGCTTTTGGATACCTTTAATGGACTTGCTTGTCCTCCATTTCCTCACAGGTTCTGCCATTCCAAATTGTCTTACTCCCATCTCTGTCATTCTTCATTGCCTACCTGGTCCCCAAGACATTTGAATTTGCAACCTTGGACAAGATTTCCTCCAGGGCCTTGCTACTCAACATGCGGTCCATGGACCAGCAGCACTCCAGACATCCGCCAGCATACACCAGAGTTTGTTAAAAATGCAGAATACCTGGTCTCACTCCAGATGTGTTGAAGTGGAAGCTGCATTTTAATAGATTTATGTGCACATTAAAGTTTGAGACATTTGGGCCAGTCCAGGAGAGCTTCTCTGAGATCCTTCACAACCCAAGCCCATGTTTCCTCTGCTCCTCAGGGCACATCATGCATCTGCCCCATCCATGCACCCTCCGAAATGGGATTATTCTGGGTACAGAGCATTGATGAGTTTCCACTGAAGTGTTAGAACACTTTCAGGAATTCTCCCTTATATGGATGTTCTTGCCTTAGCATGGTCTTCAGGAAGATCGCTTTTCAGATTTGGTGCCTCAAAGACGAGCAGTTAAGCTTCTACTGAAATCACAGGCTTGGTGCTCTCATGGAAAACTGGTGATGCTGGAGAGAAATGCAGACGTGGCAAATTTTAATGCTGCCGAAACATAATCAGCTTTTGCTTCTGCAGCAATTAGCATAATATTACCAATAATGTTTTACATGGCAATTTTGCTGTAAACATTTGTGCTAATTTGCCATGACCTAATTATTTTATGACATATAATTAGGAAGTATTTTTCAAGTCGAAATATTTTTGTTTTATGTTTCTATAATCCTTTTCCAGAAATAAAATTTAAAAATCAGCACTCCCACAAGTGGAAACACACAATTCTCTCTTAGCCGTTGTTTGTGACACTTTATTTCACTAAATAGGAGGAATTCCCTAGTGCTGGCACACTGATGATCATGCATTTCCTTGTGACTAATTTGAATTGGGCGTCATTGAATCCGCCCGCTCCATTATTACACCAGGAGATTGTCGAATCTATGCTGCCAGCCTCCTCCCAACACCCACTCATTCCCAAACATACAAACACTCTCAATCTGACAGGGGAGGTGGCTAATGCTTGCAATGAGAGAAAGAGGGTTGGGTATCATTTTTAATGAATGTGAAATCTTTGGCTAAGAGAAGAACATGAACATTGTATTATCCTCCCTTAGACAGATTGTTCCCAGTGTGCTCTTAACAGCCTCCTCCCATCCACAAGATGCTGAAGTGAACAGCCTCAACCATATCTTCCATCCCTACTCTCTCCCTAGTTAGAGGTCTGTAAGCTTTGTTGTGTGTATTCTCCTGGGGTGTCATAGGTGAGGAGGAGGGTGATGCCTTTCTTCTGCCCGGGTCCCCATGAAGACAGTCCTGTCATCAATCTGGCGTGGCGGTTCCTGCTGTTACCCACTCCAGGGCAGGTCTGCTTAGCAGTGGGTAATGAGATCACAGACCTTCAATGGTCAGCAACACCATCTGACCCCATGCGCCTGGAATAGACTCAGGAAGACAGCCAGTCTGTGGAAGGTTGACTATGCCAACTAGGGTCACCTTTTGAGGCAGGTTGAGGCAAGCCAGAGAATACCCTGAAACTCACACCCCAATTTCACATGGAGGAGGCAAGGTCTCAAAAATCTGGGCCACAGAAGTGAGGGCTAGAGGCCAGGGACCAGGGAGGGTGAGGGCAGCCAATGCCGTGAAAGCAGAAAACAGGAGGATGAGGTACATGAAAGCAGGAGGTGACCATGGCAGGCACTTCCAGAAAGAGGCACAGATATGTGTCCCCAGAGGAACTCCTCTAGGACAAACTTCACAACATGGGTTCATCCTATGCCCAAGTAGAGTGGAGAAGAGCCTAGACCTTGAAGCTGGAACGCCTCATTCCAAATCCTGGCTCCTCTACTTACTCAATGTGCAAACTGGGGCAAGTTCTAAACATCTATGTGCCTCCTTTATTGACTCTTCTGTAAAATGGGGATAACAGTAATATTAACTATCCTCCAGGGCCACTTTGAGGATTAAATTAATATTTATAAAGCCCTTAGAACAGACGTTATGTAAGTTTTTACGAAGTAAAATAAAATTTATTATTCTTATAGATTCCCACCAAGACAGGAACAGAACCTGCAAGGAACAGGCACCCACCAAACTCACAAAAGTGAGCAGCAACATATGTCAGGTTCTTTAATGATTACTGAGCTAATAATGTTTAAAATTTGTTGCAATAACTAGTTTTTTATTGAACGGATGGAACATTTACAGAGCATGTACTCTGAGTTAGGCCCTGGTCATGTCCTTGGGGAATACAAAGGTGAATAAACAGGAACTCACAGTGTAGCAGAAGTAGGCACACAAACCAATAGCTGCACATAAAAAGACAAAACTAATGTGCACAGAGAGATCACAAAAGAGGAACAAGATTAGCTCAAAAATCTACAACAGGTTCCAAGTTACTAGTTAACATTTTAAACTATAGATTTTAGCATACATGAAAGTTTGTATCAACTTTATTAAGGAAAAATGTATGATCCATAAAAATTCACAGATGTTAACTGCACAATACAATCACATTTTAACAAATGTATATGGTCACTTAAGCACCATCACAATGACAACGTAGAACATTTGCATCACCTCACTTAAATCACTTTTAATAATGCTTTGTTGATACTGTGTTAAGTGAAAGAAGCAAAGTACAAAACCGCATGTAAGTTATAGTTATAAATGTGTGTGAGTATGTGTGTGTGTGTGTAAATGGGCATGGGGGAAAACAGAAGGAAATAAAACAAATTGAATATAACAATTACAGCTGATTTATTATTTCTCTCTCTAGTTGCTAAGTCTCCAGTAACTTCCAGCTATCTGATGTTGTAGAGGTAAGAAACCATGTGACACACACACAAAAAATGTCACCTGAGCAAGGTCCAGAAGGATGTAGAGTTTTCTAGGTATGTGGCAAGAGGAGTGGGAGAAGGAAATGCCAGTTCGAATGAACAGTATGGACGAGCACAGTGGTGTGAAAGGGGACAGTGTTTTCAGGAAACCTGGTGATTCTGTGCAGCCAGAGCAATGTAAGAGGGAAAGAGGGAGTCTGGGGTCAGGTAATAAAGGATCCAGATTATGAAGTTCCCTACATGTGACTACAAGGACTTTGAGTTTTATCTTATCAGGTATTGAAGGACTATCAAAGTGCTTTTAACTGAGCAGTGAGCCCACCAGAATTACATCTTAGAATAATCACTTGGTGAGCAGTGAGGAGGAGAAGCTAGAAAGGTTGAGCTCTGAGGCACAGTGACCAGTTACAGGTTCTTGCAGAAATGTAGGTGCAAAATGAAAGGTGCGTGAATTCAGGAAGTGACCCTGGAGATGAAGACAGGTAGACAGACTCTACAGACCTTGCAAGTAGACTGGATATGGGGATAAAAGACCAAGTGGATATTTGTGCTATGCACTAAAATAAGACTGGGAGTAAGACAGGGGCAGGTTTAGGAGTCAGATATTCGAGAGTATTCAATATTACCTTGAGGTGCCTATTAGACACTCAAGGGCAGATGTCAAGGAGAGAACTGAGTTTTTGAATCTGGAGCTCAGGAGAGAAGTTTACGCTTAATACATACATGTGGGAGTCCTTTGCATAAAACTTTTATGTATATTCCCGAGACTGGATGGGCTCTGTTTTGCTTACCTAATACTGTGTAACAAACAACCCACAACTGAGTAGTGTAAAACAAAAGCTATTTTATATGGTTACATATTCTCAAAAATTATGTGGGACAGGAATTGAGGCATGACACAGCAGGAATGCTTACCTCTATTCTACAATGTCTGGTTCCCTAAATGCAAGGGATGTCTGAAAAGAGGTGAGTATATGGGAGACTATAACTGCACAGAGAGAGTTTCAGCAGGCACAGAGTAGGAGAGATGTGGAGTCTGATTAGTAGATGTACAAAATAGTTCAGGGATGAGACTATAGGAGATTATGGATGCCCAGGGATGATTTGATTTTTGCCAGTTAAACAGGGATGTATGGAATAGCGGAAATGATGGGACTGGTCCTAATAGTTCTTGGAGGAGGGTGGATAACAACAGTTATTGCTGTGGTCCTAAATGCATTCCTCAATGGTATAGAAACATATAGGATGGCAGGTCTCCAAGGCCTGGCCTGAATCACTGTGTATCTGGGAGGAAGAACTCTGTACGATTCCTTGAAGCTAATAATGCTCACAGGGAGAAATTAAATTAAATGGGATTCCTCAGCTATGCATAGGGTATAGGATAGGAATAGGCATAGAATGGAGAAGGAATAGGATGAGAGTGTCTGGTACTTGGGGTTTGGGAGAGAGTGGGGAAAAGTAGGATGGTTCCATGGAAATGGGAATGGAGGTAGACTCTATGGTAGTGAAGGTGAAGATGTAATACCTTTGTGTATGAATAGGTTCATTAGCAGCTGTGTTTCCTGTGGATGGGGATTGATTAACTGTCCTCAGAGGACTCAGTATGGAAGCTGAGGGATCGTGATCAAGTGCTATTTTGTGTACTGATGCTAGTTTATGTCAAAGTTTAGGGCCCACCAAAGAGAAGATACCCTGATAAGCAATGCATGTCTTCACTGAAGACCTCTAAAATGTTCTGCCTTAGGTTTAAAGGCAATTGAGAATAAATGAGCCCTCTAAAACAGGAAACCAAACTTTGAAACATTTTTAGCCACTATTAGGTAAAGGTGACCTTCCCCTAACTTAATTATTTCACAGAAGAGAAATTTTAATCCTCTGTGGAGGAAGATAATGTCGAACAGAACTTCTGTAATTTCTCATATACATTTTCCAGCATTCCATAAAATATAACCAGGCATGACAGGAGTCAGGATGAAATTTTCAAAACCCAAGAGGAAAAAAAGACAAAGAAACAAGCCTACAGGTTAACACTTAGAAACTATTAGATTCAGATTTTTAAATAATTAAATTAATAATTAGTAATTAAATTTAATATTTAAAATAATATTAAGATGTACAAGAAAATAGATATCAAATGGAGAATTATCAGAATCGATAAAATGAATCAAATGTAAATTTTTTTTTTTTTTTGAAACTGACAAAGACAATGACTGAAATTAAGAATTAAATGTATGAGTTTAAACAGTAGATTAGACACAGCAGAAGTATAGATTAATAAACTGGAAATATCAATACAATAAAAATAAACAACCTGAAACATAAAGCAACATGAATGGTAAACACAGAAAAAAGTAATGAGGTATATGGAACAATTTAGAAAAATTTAATATATATGTATTTGAGATCCCAAAAGAAAAAGAAGAGAGAGTGAGGCAGAAGCAATATTTGAAGAGAAAATGACCAAAACTGACAAAAGATACCGATACATAGATTCAAGGATCTTCGTAAGCCCCAAATAGATGAAATATAAGTAAAAGCATGCATGCAGAAAATAGGAAAACTACTTGCTATGGTTTGAATTTTTGTGTCTGTCTAAAATTCATGTGGAAAGTTAATCCTCAATGTGATAGTATTAAGAGGTGGGGCCTTTGGGAAGTGATCAAGTAGGAAGGGATTTGCCCTCATGAATGAGATTAATGCCCTTATAAAAAAGACTGCAGAGCTATCTGGCTCTTTTATCTCTTCTGTCATGCAAGGATACAGCCAGGATTCATCCCTTTTTGCCCCCTTATGTCATGTGTGGATGCAGCAAGAGGATATCATCTTGGAAGCAGAGAGCAGGCTTTACCAGAACCAAATGTACTGGCACCTTGATCTTGGACTTCCCAAACTCCAGAACTAAGAGAAAATTAATTTTTATTTTGAGTTACCTTGTCTCAGGCATGTAATTATAGCAGGACAAATGGACTAAGACCCTTCAATAAACCCAGGCAAAAAAAAAAAAAAAAAATCTAGAAATGCAACCAGAAGAAAAAAAAAAAAGACCTAATATGACTTACATGTTACTTTTAATGGAAATTATGGAAAAGGGAAGACTATAATGACATACTTGAAGTACGAAAGCAAATGAGTCTTAATTTAGAATTCTATACCCAAAAAATATAACCTTCAAAAATAAAACAAAATAAAGACATTTAAGACAGGCAAAAATTGAGAATATTTGTTATCAGGAGGCCCACACTAAAATAAATAAATACTAGAAGAAGTTCTCCAGCAAAAGGAAAATGACCTTATATAGAAACAGGTAAAATGGAAAAGAAAAAAGAAGATTCAAGAGAATAAATACATGGATAAAACAAAGTAAATATTGACTTTAAAATAATGTCTTGGATGAGTTTAATATATAAGTAGAACTAAAATGCATTTTTGTGGAAATTGACAGGCTGGATTTAAAATTTATATGAAAATACAAAGTGCCTGAAATGGCCAAGACAATAAAGTTAGGGTACTTTTACTACTAGATAGCAAGATTTTTATAAAGCTAACATATTTAAGACTGCAAAGAATGGTGCCAGTATACACAAATGAAGCACTGGCATTAAACAGAGAGTCTAGGAACAGATTTGTTCATATTTAGTCACCTGATTTATGACAAAGATGTGACTATGATTTCTGTAGGGGAATTACTGTCTTCAATTAATATTTCTGGGCCAACTGAATATTTTCATGGGGAATAAAAGAATCTTGACCCCAATCACATCACTTAGAAAAATCAATTCCAGATGAATCATGGACCTAAATATGAAAGGTAAAACAATAAATCTTCTAGAGGATATAACACAGGAGAATATATTTATAATCCTGAGCTAGGCAAATACGTCTTAAACAAGATAAAAAAAGTGCTAACCATAAAGATAAAGACTGATACATTTGAGAGAAGATATTTCCAATACACATATCTGACCAAGAACTCATGTGTATGTGTATGTGATGCCAGCATCATCCTGATACCAAAAACTGGCAGAGACACAACAAAAAAAGAAAATTTCAGGCCAATATGCCTGGTGAACATTGATGTGAAAATCCTCAATAAAATACTACCAAACTGAATCCAACAGCACTTCAAAAAGCTTATCCACCACGATCAAGTCGGCTTCATCCCTGGGATGCAAGACTGGTTCAACATACACAAATCAATAAATGTAATCCATCGCATAAAAAGAACCAACGACAAAAACCACATGATTATCTCAATAGATGCAGAAAAGGCCTTTGATAAAATTCAACACCCCTTCATGCTAAAAACTCTCAATAAACTAGATATTGATGGAATGCATCTCAAAATAATAAGAGCTATTTATGACAAACCCACAGCCAATATCATACTGAATGGGCAAAAGCTGGAAGCATTCCCTTTGAAAACCGGCACAAGACAAGCATGCCCTCTCTTACCACTCCTGTTCAACATAGTATTGGAAGTTCTGGCCAGGGCAATCAGGCAAGAGAAAGAAATAAAGGTATTCAAATAGGAAGAGAGGAAGTCAAATTGTCTCTGTTTGCAGATGACATGATTGTACATTTAGAAAACCCCATCGTCTCAGCCCAAAATCTCCCTAAGCTAATAAGCAACTTTAGCAAAGTCTCAGGATACAAAATCAATGTGCAAAAATTACAAGCATCCCTATACACCAATAATAGACAAACAGAGAGCCAAATCATGAGCGAACTCCCATTCACAATTGCTACAAAGAGAATAAAATACCTAGGAATACAACTTACAAGGAGTGTGAAGTACCTCTTCAAGGAGAACTACAAACCACTGCTCAAGGAAATAAGAGAGGACACAAACAAACGGAAAAACATTCCATGCTTATGGATAGGAAGAATCAATATTGTGAAAATGGCCATACTGCCCAAAGTAATTTATAGATTCAATGCTATCCCCAACAAGCTACCACTGACTTTCTTCACAGAACTAGAAAAAACTACTTTAAATTTCATGTGGAACCAAAAACAAGCCCTTATAGCCAAGACAATCCTAAGCAAAAAGAACAAAGCTGGAGGCATCATGTTACAAATTAATTTTTTTAAAAGACAGACAACCTAGGAAAAAGTAAACAACAAACTTGAACAGGATGGCCAGTAACCAGGTGGCCCACAAACACATGGAAAGTTGTTCACTATTAATGGTGGGTAGAAAACTGAAAATTAAAATCACAGTGAGGTACTACTTTGTATCCACCAGAATGGCTAAAATGACAAGGATTGACAATACCAAGTGTTGACAAGGATGCAGAGGAACTGGAACTCTCACAAACTCCTGTTGGAAAACTAAATTGATACAATCACTTTGCAAAATTGTTTGTCAGTATCTACTGAAGCTAAATATACACATGCCCTATAACCCAGCAATTTCACCTCTATTAATATTACAGAAATGAATGCATACATTCAATAAATGACTACGAAAGGGCATGATAGAAGCTTCTAGAATGCTGGTAATGTATATCTTTACCTTAGTAGAGGATATATCAGTGTGTTCACTTTGTAAAAATTGATCATCTATATTCTTATGCTTCTTCCTGTTGTACTTTTGTAAGTTACACTTCAATAAAAATTATTCAGAAAGGACTAGCAACCTAAACCTTATACCCATTAAAAACAACAAAATTACAAACCTTTGAAATTCAGATGGCTAGAAGCTAGAGAGATGGCACAAAATAGAGACACTAAACAGACATTCATATGTAATCACTTAACTGACAAAAGTGTAACTATTTCTATGAGGAAATACATGGTATTTTCCATTTAAATTGCAAGGCTGAGGTTTAAGAAAAAAATGAAATTTGGGGCCAGAGCTTTTCCCAGGTCTTGACTAACATTCAGATGCTATGAGTCTCTGAAATCTTAGCCTGTGACTCTCTAGTGGAACAAAAGACTAGGGTTATCAAGGGAAAGGACCATCTAACTTTATCTAATAGATTGTATGCATTGCCTAGCCCACTGTACTGAAAGGTTTGTCATTCCCTGCTGTCTTCTCCTGGTTCCTTGGCTGTAATTTCTTCACCAATCAGGTCCTTGGTTTAAACCTTCAGAACACTCATCATCTCTCCTTGCCAGTGGGACAGAACTGGCAGGCATGAGTTCTGTCCGGGATATGCCCCCTAAGACAGCACCACAACTTTTGGAGCAGAACAAAAGTAGTGCTATCTATATAAATGATGAAAGCATTATGTGACTTCCAAAGAGAAGATGCGGACCATGAACAGGCTTCACTGTCACTGAAGCGGCTGTAATCAGAAGACCTATATATATCTACTATACAGAGTCTTCATGAGAAGTTTCTCCTCTCCTAAAATTGACTCCTCCTAGCAATCACGGCAGTTTCCAGTTCCCAAAAAAGGGCCTCCTCAGCTGAACAGAGGCTGAACTTAAGCAAGTGTTTCTCTTTATAGCAGGAGCCTGGAGTATCATCATTGTGGGGCTACCTCCAGGGAAGCCAGGCCCAAAGAAGCAGAAGCCACTGTTGCTGTTGTGACAGAACAGCATACAAAGTGAAAGCATCGGACCATAATTTCTCATGTCTGGGTGAGAGTCTCCCTCAGTGGACGCACCTGGGAAGAGCCCTTCAAGATACAGAACATGCGAACTGTCAAACATGTGCTGTTGCTCTGTGGACACATCTGGGTAGTTTCCAGGCTAGTTGTGCAGGGATTTCACCAAATCTCCTAAGAAAGTAGGGATTCTCTGAACACTCACTCTCTTGCTTTCCCACATCTGAGTATTTCCTCCCATCATTTCTTCCTTCCAGAGCACCCCTCCCCTCTCCCTCACTAGCTGTAAAAATGCATACCCCACTCCTGGGCCCAACCGACATGGCACTTCATTCCAAAGCTTCCCTCAACCTCTGTCTGACCTAGTCATGTCACTACTTCAGTGCTCTTTGCTGCCTTCAGAATAGAACCTAAGCTCTCCTGAGCACCTATAGTGTTATTTGTTACCTGGCACAGTGCTAATTTTGACTACTTTACTCCATGAGGACAGAAGCCTTTCTGACTCCCTTCTCCTCTCCACTTGGCTTTGCATGGGGCTTGGCACATAGGAGCCAATATTAATTGACTAAATAAACAAACGGCAATACAAACTTAAATGTATCCAAACAGAAAACTGCAGAGGACACATGCATCCATCTCAAATTATTTCTGAGTGATAGTACCTGGAAACCAATATTAGCTTTCCCTAGAAGCATAACTCTACAAGATCTCCAAGTTAGAAAGAGGCCCCAAAGGTCACTGCCTCTAGGCTGACCCTCCAGCCTTCCTTAAGACTAAAATTCACACCTTCCTTGGGATATCCAGAGGACAAAACCATGACCAAGAAGATAGATCTTCAGGGTGGGGAGTGTAGAACAAGTCTCTTTCTCCTCAGGGTGGGTAGGTAGGGGCTTCATTTCTTAGCTCTCAGAAATGAATAAAAAAAGAGCATTCATTTATTCACCATTCTGAAGGATGGTGTGGCCTAGTGGGGAGATGGACATAGTCATACGTGCCAATAGCTTTGTTCATAACAAAATATAGAAATGAAATTTCATGGTGACAAAGAAGGGCTCTCCCAACATTGCCTAGCAAGTCTGGAAGGGGACATTGATGCAGGCACAAGTACAAGGTAATATGTTAGATGCTATAATCACAATTTGTGCAAAAAGTTATGGAAGTCTGGGGAGGGAGGCATGACCAACTTTACCTGGAAGAAGCAAAGGGAGGGAGTAGCTGAACTGAGTCTTGTGGGATCAGGAGGGTCAGGTGAAGGGAGCAACATTGCTAAAGCTAGAAAGAGTAAAAGGCATGGTTGAAGAAAAGTAAAGATTCAGTGAGGCTGAAGTATAGAGTACAGGATGAAATTTGTCAAAAATAAGGCAAGATAAGGAGATGGTTGCCAAGTAGGCTTTAAAAATCATGCCAACTTTGAACTTGGTCCTGAAGGCAGTGGGCAGTCTTTAAGCTGGACTAAGGTGATTTGTGGAAGATAACCAGACATCAGAATGGGAAATTGACTGAAATCAGATAGTCACAGAAGCAGGAAGGCTGGCCCGAGGCTTTGCTCTCAGTTCAGTGGAGGGTAGGAGGCCTGCGCGTGTCTGGGGCAGTAGGCTGTATTTGAGAAACATGAGTTTACAGAACTTGATAGAGATCCAGGACCTGTTGGTGAGAGGATAAGGGAAGAGAAAAGCAGGATGACTGACATTTTTGCCTTGAATAACAGTGAAATGGTGGTCTCATTCACAGAGACAGGGAAAACAAAAAGAATAAAAGACACAAGGGACACCATGAGTTTAGCATTGAACCCGATGAGCGTGAAGTGTTGTTCTGCATTTGACTGGGCATAGACTTAGGAGCCATGGGTAAGTAGTAGCTGGGCCCAGGCTCTCCATCTCCTCACCCACATCTCTGCCCCTTCCCGCCCCTCCTTTTCACTCCCACCCCACCTTTCTGATTTTGGCACTGAGGTGTCCTGTTAACTCATTTTTTATTGGATTCATCCTGGACACCTCGGCAACACATCACCCTTCCAGTCCCCTTCCTCGAACCTCTGCTCTGCTCAGTCACACTGTAGTGACAAAATAATAAACTCCAAATATGTCCATGTGCTAATCCCTGCACCTGTGAATATGTTAACCTCTGTAACAAGAGATTCTGTGATGTGATTAAAGATAAGAACCTTGAGATGTCAGAGGATCCTAGATTATGCAGGTGAGTCCAATCCAATCCCATGAGTCCTTAAAAAACAGGGAACCTTTCCAAGCTGCAGAAAACCAGAGTGATGGCAGCATGAAAAGTACTTAGCTCTCTGTTGCTAGCTTTGAAGATGGAGGAGCCAAAGAATCTAAGAAGCCTCTAAAAGCTGGAAAAGGCAAGGGCACAGATTCTCCCCTACAGCCTCCAGGAAAGAACACAGGCTATCAGATGCCTTGATTTTATTTAGTCCCATGAGACTCACATTAGCTTTCTGACCTACAGAACTGTAAGATAATAAATTTGTTTAAAGCCACCAAGCTTGTGATAATGTTACAGCACCAAAGGGTAATTCGTTGCAGCGGAAATACCCACCAATACCTACTCCCCTCATTTCATGGATACTCAGCAAATCTAATTCCGTACTGGAATCAATTGACAACTTCGCAAAAAAGTCTATAGGAAAGAGATGCTTAGGGTGCCCTTTTAATATCAGCAGTTCTGGAGTTCCTAGAGGGCCAAGGACTTCATAATAAAAGCAATTCCTGTCTTGGATCTGGATGAGATGACCTGGTGAGAGGGTAAGGATTGAGTTGGGAGAGAGCCCTGGGCAAGATGAAGACAGGCCAGTATATGAGGCAGGGGTGTAGGGAGAGGGAAAGGAAGGATAAAGATGACACAATGTCAGCAAACCCAGGAGAGGACAGCATTTAGTAGGTGTTGATCAGAGATGCTCAATGCTACAGAGAGGAGCAAATTGAATCTGACAACAAACAGGTCATTTGTGGTTTTCAAAGAAAGAATTTCAGTGAAGAGACACAGCAAAAGCCAAAATGTGGAGGGTTGGGGAGATACTGGAGGAAAAAGTAAGAAGTAAATAAGCCATAAAGAGTGAAAAGCTCTTTAGAAAAGATGGGATTATTCATCTTTATATCTGTAATACTCAGCACAATGCCAGAACACAGTGGGTGCTCATTATATGCTGAATCAAGAGAAGTACTGGAGTCAGTAGGCATAGACCAGCATTTCTCAAACTTACTGTGCATACAAATCACCTGGGGATTCTGATGTAGTAAGTCTGGCATGAGATCTGAGATCCTGCTTTTCTAATAAGCTCACAGATGATGCTGTGCTGCTGCTGGTCTTCAGACCTCACTTTAAGTATCAAGGAAGTAGACCACCACACCCAACCATGCTGTAATCATGGCTCCCTTTGGTTCCTGGGTAACATTATGATCCCAGAAGTCAGTATGACTTATATAGAACTATAGGATTTGCTGACCTCATGGTACACATCTGCACAGCGGAGCCAAACCAGGCACCAACTCAATCCCAGCTTCCGGGAGTAAACATTCATAAAAGGTTCCACTCCAAACACTTTCCACATTGCAGGATTTTTCACAATTCCCCCCAACCTCAACACCACTGCCAACTCCTCCTTCACCAACATAACAATTCATATCCCACCATTGATCATAGAAAGGCTGAGTCTTTGACATTAGGCTTGGGGAGGGGTGTTCTCATCCGGTGACCTCAGGGATTCCAAATGCATGGATTTTAAAATCACCATCTGAATCAGGACACTCCCAACACAGATATTGCTCAGAGTGGGAAATGGCTCCCGGTGCCTTGGCCTCTTCCCACAAGGGTATGGGGAGCACCAGTCTGCATATATAGGAGATATATATATATATATCTCCTAAAAGCAAGCCTGGAAAAGGTGAAGAATCTCAATCCTCTCTACCTATATCCCAATAAAAAAGAAAAGCTATTAAACATATTTCTATAAATGTTATGCAGGTTGTCACTCAATGGCACTCACAGTAGATATAGAAATGCAGAGTGTCAGAAGGCAGTGTTTACCTTTATCAGATATTATCAAGAAAACCAAAGGTAAGAGTAATTTGAGCAAAACTGGTGAGATAGGACTTTCCCCTAAGAGTGAGTGCCTGTCACAGTTCACCCTCAAACACATTTTCATAGCTCCATTTTTATGTTGTTCCAGCCCATACATTAGAGGAATTTGGTTCATGGGGAAAAGAAAATTGAATAGCAGCTAAAGGTCAGTGAGCCAGTCAGCTCTTTCAGTTGAAAGTTACAAAAACTTTATGCTCATTGGCTTAGGCAAGAGAGAAATTATTTGCTCACATAACTGAAACACCCCTGGATATGGCACAATCCAGGATATACACAACATCCCCTGAGTTCATCTCACAACTTAGCCGCCTCTGGGTTGGCTCCAAGTCCAGGATCTACACAGGGTCTTCCAGTAGTTTCAATCTTCACATATCATGATTAGCATGTCTAGGAGAGCCCACTTCCCTTAGAGAGCAGACCAAAGTCCTGGGTTGGGACTCACTGATACCACCTGACATGACTTGGGTTGAGTGTTCATCCCTAAACTATAGAGGGTGGGCTGGAGGTAAAGTGCCCCCCTCAGTTGATTTAGTCTGAGTCATGTGCTCCACCCTGGGGTTGCCTTCTTTGTCAGAGCCCTTGGCATAAATAGAGGAAAGAATTAATTCCTCTCAATCAAATCAAAGTCCTATTGTCACAGTAAGGGAGAGTGGTGCTAAGAGGAAAATGCAACAAATATCTACTACACCCAGATTTGTACACACATTTAGGTACAAGTCTGTTACAATGAAAAAAATTCCAAACTCCTGATGCTACCTCTGTGACTGACATAGTCCCTTGCAGATCTTTTCTGTCTCTATTATAACACACTGGATATATCTGGGCTCTGCAGCTCAGAGGGTCACACCGGCTTTTGATGACCCATTTAACCTCATGTTCTGGGGCCAGCCTCATCTTCTATCCTTATGCCCTGTGCTGAAGATGGATCCCACCATTGCTTCACTTAACACTTAGAACTGAACTAATTCCTTTTCTCCTGCTTACCTCCTCACTGTCAGAGCATTTGGTGGGGGGTGGAGTGGGGGGACCCATGCCAGGCTTAGAATAACAGAAACTGAATAGGCCAAACACCTGCCCTTCATAGCAGACTGGAGTCCTGCTTCTGAAAAATCAATGTCTCCATTGTTTTTCTTTTTTATGAATCGGAGTTCCAGATTTAGAGAACAGGATACTGTCAATTGCTAGTATGATGAAAGAGTGGCTTGAAGGTATTGTGTTTTGCAGGAGGGCCAGGAGAGGAGATTTCAGTAACTGTTGCTGTTGGGAATTTAATAGGTTTTTACTTTGCACTTTGCTCAGTATCTACAGAGTGCTTCCTGCTTCTCAATGATACTTGTGTTGACCTGTCCATTGACAATCCGAAGAAATGAATCAAGGCAATTTTCTATCTAAATCTATTAGCTCACCAAAAATCTAGGCTACATATGCAAAAAGTACTTAATACAGATGCTTCTTAAGGGCCTACCATGTGCCAGGTACTCAGCCAGGCTCCAGGCCACAGGGTTAAGATATAATAACAAAATATTAAAATGAGATGAGATATTAAAGGATATCTGCCCTATCTCCCTACTATATCGAAGATCAGGAGGAGGAGGACAGGACTTACTGGAAGTTGCAGGCCAGCACTGCAGAGCTGGGGTAGAACTCAGGCCCTTGATTCCCTCTTGGTCACAAAGTCAAGTTTCTGTGAAGATGGTTGTAAATGGCTAAGATAAGAAGGCACCTAAAAGATTTTTGTTTTTTAAACTATATATAGATTCCATTTAAGCTTAAATTCTTAAACCTGCCCCAGTCCTCAGTTACTGCCTGATAATACACACACTGCAGCTTGTCTTTACCAGCTCAAGATTGGTAGAAAGAGGGCCAGTGACTCCCTGCCCAGCTGCAAAGTGGTGTCCTGCAGCAGGTGGCTGATGTCCAGGTTCCCTCAGAGAAGGCAGGACAGATCATAATTGCTGACTAGGTAGGAAGTCAGGAAGGGAGGGGGCTTATGTCCCTGGCAACAGTTCCCATATGTAACAGTACAGAGATCTGTGGATGGTTGGTCTATCTTGTGTCTTACAAATGCCATCCAATCATCTAATCATAATTTTATCATGCTCACCCCCATCCCAATCCCTTGGCAAGGCCCTAAGTGCCCCAACTTAGATCCAGGACCACAGCCAATTCTTGATGCTGTCTTTCATTTGTTTTGGCTTCTGTCATTGAATGAGCCACCGTGCAAGTCAAATACAGGGGTTTTTAATTCCAATCCAGATGGGTGCCATCTCTCCAACAGAGGCCTGCCCAGGCACTGACATAGACGCTCTGGGAGTCAGGCTGAGACTATGACCAGGGTCAGACATTTTATACGCAATATGGAGCCCATTGTAGTCTGAGAAGTTTGGATCCCATCTCTTATGTCTCCCCAAGCCAAAATCAGGTTGCCAAGTAGCTGTGAGAGCAAAGATAGCCCAAATTCAGCCTTTAAATCAAATGTAGGTGAGGGGTTCAAACACCTGTAAAAGTGAGTCAAATCAATCTTCTTGCCAGAGACAGTCTCCCTCCTCCTTTGAAATTTTCCTTCCAGGCACATCTTGAACAGAGTTGAACCATTCATTCGATAACTATCCTTGTTTACTATATGTCAGGTCCTTTGCTAGGTAGAGCATCAGAAAAGTGCTCAAGAGAACATAGTCTCTACTCTCCCAAAGTTCACAGACTTGTGCAATATGAATGAACAGAAGTACAGGAGCCTACAACCGATCTAAACTCAGGGGTCAGGGAAGGTACCCTTGAAGAAGTGAGGTTTAAACTGAGACCAGACTGTGAGTAAGAACGAGCTGGTAAAAGAGTGGAGTGTGTCCCAGCAAAGGGAACAGCATGAGTGAAGCTCTGAGGTGGGGCATTATAAAATATTAATGAGGACAATGATAGTGGTGGTGTCTATCATTTATTTAGTGCTTACTACATGCTGGTTACTTTATATGGATTAACTGATTTGATCTTTACAAAACTGAGTGCCATTATTCCCATTTACAGAGGACAAATTACAACTTTGGAGTTGAGTGAAGTTATATAAACTTGCCCCAGCCCAATAGCCAATAATTGATTTTTTCCAGCTATATTGAGCTTTGAATGACAAATAAAAGTTATTTATATTTAAGGTGTACAGTGGGATGATTTGATATATGTATACACCGTTAAATGATTACTGTAATCAAGCTAATTAACATATCCATTACCTCACATAGTAACCCTTTTTTGTGTAAGAACACTTAAGATTTACTCTCTCAGCAAATTTCTAATATACAATACATTAACTATAGTCACATGCTGTACATTAGATCTATTCATATATATATGTATATACACACACACACAAACACATATACAAATACATGTATATACAAAAACACACATACCTCACAATTTCTTTCTTCATTCACTTGGCCTTTGTAAATAATGCTGCAATAAATGTAAGATTGTAGATATCTCTTCAAGATAATGATTTCATTTCCTTTGGGTATGTACCCAGAAGAGGGATTTCTGGATCACATGGTAGTTCTATTTTTAACTTTTTAGGAACCTCATCTTGTTTTTCATAATGGCTGTACCAATCTACACTCCTACCAAATGTGTACAAAGGTTCCTTTTTCTCCAAACCTTCACCAACATTTGTTATCTCTGGTCTTTTTCCTAATAGCCATCCCAACAGTTGTGAGGTAATACCTCATTGTGGTTTTGATTTGCATTTACCTGATGATTAATGATTTTGAGCACCTTTTCATATATCTGCTGGCCATTTTTGTGTCTTCTTTGGTAAAATGTCTATTCAGTTCCTGTATTAGGGTTCTCTAGAGGGACAGGACTAATAGGATAGATGTATATATGAAAGGGAGTTTATTAAGGAGTACTGATTCACACAATCACATGGTGAAGTCCCACAATAGGCCATCTGCAAGCTTAGGAGCAAGGAAGCCAGTCCGAGTCCGAAAATCCCCAAAGTTGGGAAGCCAAAAGTGCAGCCTTTAGTCTGTGGCTGAAGGCCCAAGACCCCTTGGCAAACCACTGGTGTAGGTCCAAGAGTCCAAAAGCTGAAGAATTTGGAGTCCGATGTATAAGGGCAGGAAGCATTCAGCATGGGAGAAAGATGAAGGCCATAAGATTCAGCCAGCCTACTCTTTCCATCTTCTGACTACTTTATTCTAGCCACGCTGGCAGCTGATTAGATGATGCCCACCCAGATTGAGGGTGGGTCTGCCTTTCCCAGCCCACCGACTCAAATGTATATATGACTCAAATCATGTCATCTCCCTTGGGAACAGCCTCACAGACACACCCAGGAACTTTGCATCCTTCAATCCAATCAAGTTGGCACTCAATATTAAACATTACAGATAGTTTGCCTATTTTTGAATCAGGTTATTTGTTTGTTTTTGCTTTTGCTTTTGTTGTTGTTAGTGGTGTTTTCGTGTTTTGTTTTGTGTTGTTTTTGCTATTTAGTTATATATAAGTTCCTTATATATTTTGGATATATGATTTGCAAATATTTTCTCTCATTATGTAGGCTGCCTTTTCATTTTGTTGATTGTTTTCTTTGCTGGGCAGAAACTTTTTAATTTGATTGTGACATTGTGAAATATATCTTTAGCCTTTGTTCCAGTCTCCTGACATATAGCTCCTAAAATCCTTGGAATCTCTAGAGTGATAAAAGTGTCTTCAGTGTACTGAGTTGACTGATGGCTGGGGGCTTCTGGGTACCCTGAGAGGGTCATGGGAACTCTGATTTACGGCCACTGTTCAGAAGGTCCAGAAGCCCAAACTTGCAATTGGCATCTGAAGTAGGGGATGAGCCCTTAACCTGCAGGTTCTGACAATATCTCCAGGTAGATAGTGTCAGAATTGAGCTGAATTGAATTAGAGGACACCCAGCTGGTGTCTACTGCAGAATCTGGAGAATTTGGTTGATTGCTTAGGGTGTGAGGAAATACCTCCACATACACATCTGGTGTCAGAAGTCTTGTGTGACTGTGTAAGAGTAGGGCGTAAAAGGAGAAACTGAGTTTGCTTTTCCCTATATCTTTACATAGATGTAGTCCCACTTGTTTATTTTTGCTTTTGTTGTCTGTGCTTTTGCTATCCTATCCAAAAAACTTATTGCCAAGACCAATGTCAACAAGATTTTTCCCCTAAAACTCTTTGAGGAGTTTTATGTTTGGGGTATTACATTTAAGTCTTTAATCCATCTTGAATTGATTTTTGTGTGTGGTAAAAGATAAAGGTCCAATTTTATTCTTTTGCATGTGGATATCCAGTTTTCCCAACACCATTTATTGAAGAAACTATCTTTTCCCCATTATGTATTCTTGGAGGCTTTGTGAAAAATTAGTTGAACGTATATATATGGGTTTATTTCTCAGCTCTTTATTCTGTTCCATTGGTCCATATGTCTGTATTTATGCCAGTACCAAATTGTTTTGATTACTGTCTATAGCTTTGTAATATAATTTCTGGAAATGTGATGCCCACAGGTTTGTTTTTCTTCAAGATTCCTCTAACAATTCAGGGTCATTTGTAGCTCCAAGCAAATTTTATGATTGTCTTTTCTATTTCTGTGAAAAATGCTTTTGGAATTTTAATAAGGATTGGTTTGAATCTTTAGACTGCTTTGAGTAGTATGGACATTTTAACAATATTTTTTCTTCCAATCCATGAACACAGAATAGCTTTCCATTTATTTATCTTCTTCTATTTCTTTCATCAATGTTTTATAAATTTCAGTACACAGATTTTTCACCTCCTTGATTAAATTTATTCCTAAGTATTTTATTCTTTTTATACTATTATAAATGGGATTCTCACCTTAATTTCTTTCTCAAATAGTTCATTGTTAATGTATAGAAATACTACTGATTTTTGTATATTGATTTTGTATTCTGCAACTTTAGTGCATTTGTTTATTAGTTCCAACAGGTTTTTGGTAGAGTCTTTAGGGTTTTTTATGTATAAGATTATGTCATCTGCAAACAGATACCATTTTACTTCTTCCTTTCTGATTTTTCATGCCTTCTATTTCTTTTCTTGGCCAATTTCTCTGACTAGTATTATGTTTGGTATTATGTTGAATGCAAGTGGTGATACTGGGTATCCTTGTATTGTTCCTGATTTTAGAGGAAGAGTTTTCAGCTTTTCACCCTTTGGTATTGGCTGCATGCTTATCATACGTGGCCTTTATTAAGTTGAGGTACATTTTTTTTCTATGCCTAATATTTGAGGGTTTTTATCATCAAAAATGTTAAATTTTGTCTAGTGCTTTTTTCCATATCTATTGAGACAATCATATGATTTTATCCTTCATTCTCTTAATGTGGTATATCACACTTATTGATTTGTATTTGTTAAACCATCCTTGCATCCCAGGAATACATCCCACTTAATCTGGATAAATGATGCTTTTAACATGCTATTGAATTCAGTTTGCTGGGATTTTGTTGAGATTATTGCACCTATGTTCATCCAGGATATTGGCCTGTAATCTTTTCTTGTAGTGTGCTTATCTGGTTTTTGTATCAAGATGATGCTGGCTTTGTGAAATGGGTTTGGATGTATTTTCTTTTCTTTGAATTTTTGGCAGAATTTGAGAAGGATTGGTATTAATTCTTCTTTAGATGACTGATGGAATTTACCAGTGAAGCCATATGGTCCTGGGCTTTTCTTTGCTGGGAGATATTTTTATAACTGATTCAATCCCTTATTCATTTTTAATCTTTTCAGATTTTCTTACCTCTTCATGATTCAGCCTTGGTAGGATGTATGTTTCTAGGAATTTATCCATTTCTTCCAGGTTGTCCAATTTGTTGGCCTGTAATTGTCCATAGTAGTTTCTTATGATCCTTTGTATTTCTGTGAGCTGTCTTAAAATAATTATTTTGAATTCTTTTCTAGGCAACTCATATGTCTTTATTTCCTTCAGGTTGGTTGCTAGAAAATTATTGTGTGCTTTTGGTTGTGTCATGCTTCCTTTTTTTTCCTGTTCCTTGAAGTCTTGTGTTGCTATCTTTACATTTGAAACAGCAGGCACTTCCTACAGTCTTTATTGACTGGCTTTGGGAAAGAAACACCTTCAGTAGCCATCAAGGGTGAGGATTCTGAGGTTTTCTCAGACTTTTTCTATGGATGGGCCTGCTCCACCTCTCTTGTTCCTTTTTTGGTGGAGAGAATTATTAAAATTGTGTGCCTTTTCTGCATCCTGCAAAGCTAGACTGTTTGCTGAGAATCTCCCATTTGTTTTCCTTAGGGCAATGCCCTAAAATGCTCAAGTTTGTGTGTCTCCTCCAAGTCCCACAGAGTCAAGCCAGTTGACCGCATATGACTGCAAGCCACCTGCAAAGGCTCACACTTATTGTATGGAGCACATGCATGGGGAGCCATTCAGCAGGGGTACTGGGAGAGGAGGTGAGGAGCATGGATCATTGAGGGCATCCGCGGGCCAGTTAAGGGGCTTTGCAAGGCATCTCAAGTGGCTCATGGGTAAGCCTCCTGAAGGAGACTGTGAAGTTGTTAGTAGAATACATGGTCATTTGTTGAATTTCAAGCCCTGTTGCTGTGAGTCCCCACCACTTTTCCCTGCTCCCAGCCTCTCACAGCCATATAGCCATGGTGATCCCCTCAGCATTCTGTGTGTGGTGCGGAAGAGCTGGGCCTCTTGTGTATCATTCCACACAGCTGGGAAATCCAGCTGCTCATTCACTACTCTTGCTTTCTTCCATGGAAGGACTCATGGGCCACAGGAGCCTCTTTTGGCAGTGAGATGTGATGCCTTGGGGAAGTGGTGACATGGGTAAAGTGAAATCTATTCAATGTATCTATTCTTGGATTTTTGGGTCTTTTGGTTGTTTAGTTTGTTTTGTTTTTGCTCCAATGGCATGCTAGAACTTCTCTACTGGACACCCAGGCTCCCACAATGGTACTCTCATTCACAGTGGTTGTCAAAATCAGTGAACTGTGGAGAGATGATAGTAGAAAACCCTTATTCTGCCATCTTGCTGACATCATTCCATCGTAGACAATTTTCAGTCACAGATAACAGTGTGCTGGAGCCAGCTCAGAGGGGCTTATGAGAGCAAATCGTGCACCATGATATTTTCCCAACTCCACAATCAGCAGCTTCTTGTTAGTGCTTTGAAATCAGGGCCGGGCACGGTGACCCACACCTGTAATCCTAGCACTTTGGGAGGCTGAGGCAGGCAGATCATGAGGTCAAGAGATTGAGACCATCCTGACCAACATGGTGAAACTCCATCTCTACTAAAAATACAAAAATTAGCTGGGCGTGGTGGCACATGCCTGTAGTCCCAGCTACTTGGGAGGCTGAGGCAGAAGAATTGCTTGAACCCAGGAGGCATAGGTTGCAGTGAGCCGAGATTGCACCACTGCACTCCAGCCTGGGCGACAGAACAAGACTCTGTCTCAAAAAAAAGAAAGAAAGAAAGAAAAAAAAGTCAGGTGTGGTGGGAATATTTACACTATAGAAATCAGAAAAGTTTTAAAAGAATGGGGACTTGTTTTGTTTTGTCTTGTGTTTTCTAGAGAGCCAGTTGTTAAACATTTAGCAGCCCATGGCAGTAAATGATGGGCTGATTCCTGGAACAAATGTCTCATCTTCTATGTCTTGCACTCCTTTCTCTCCAATGTTAGTGAAGAACAGGGCTTTCCACACTGTAGTGCTCCTAAGAACCACCTCCATTAATTGAATTTTAACCCAGGCAAGTTTGGCCCTGGAGCTTGATGGCCACCATTCAATCATTTATTGATTCATTTCTTCATTAGCTCATACTGAGTACCTGGCTAGCAGTTAGGGATATAAAGAAAAGATAAGTACCTGCCTCCAAAGATCTCACAATCTCTCAGGGAAAGCATTTGGGCAGGTTTTAAACCAAGCTCTTGTAACACATCCCCACCCCAAGCCTAGTCTACCCAGTAGACTAATATTACTGACTCCTAATATTAGCAGGACCCAGAACAAGGATACAGATAGAAGACTTCTACGTTAGTTTCCCAGGGATGTTATAACAAATTACTACAAAATTTGTGGCTTTAAAAGAAAAAGAATTATTATGTCACAGCTCTGGAGGCTAGAAATCTCAAGTCAAGGTGTCAGCAGCATGCCATCTGAGGGCTGTAGAGGAGAATTCTTCTTCACTTTGTTCGGCCTCCAGTGACTGCAGGTATTCTTGGCTTGGTCCTTACTCCTCCTTCACAGGCCCTTTTGTCCTGTGTCTCTGTGTCTTCACCTCTTCCCATAAGGATACTTGTCAGTGGACTTATGACCCACACGGTTAATCCAGAATGATCTTATCTTGAGATGCTTCACTTAATTACATCTGCAAAGACCCTTTTTTCAAAATGAGGGCACATTCTTAGGTAGCAGGGATTAGGATTTAGACACATCATTTTGGAGGCCACAATTCAACTTACTAAACCCACATACCATGTCTAAATATTTAAAATTTATAAATCAAACTGACAAATTGGCAGATAACTTACGTTTCACCTTAATATTTATACCATTATGATGACAAAATTTAAAAATATGTGCAAGCTATAGTTTCATATGGCCAAAAAGAAAATATCAAGATAGACTGAATTTAATCATTATTGTCTATGTGTAGGTGACCTATTGATAGTTGTATAATATTTGCATTAAGTAATAAATGCATACATAATTCATAAATTACTATATATGCATTCTGTGAACTTTATTTTTCTTTCCATCAGTTAAGTAAAATTACTAAGTATGTTCCTATAATCAAGAGTTTTATGTAATTTGTGTTCAGTTGACACAAATGAGGATAATAATGACATTCACTCTACAAGGAAATTGTATTTAAAGTGTACACAATTTGAATAAATTTTCATTTAAAATGTAAATTGACGCCAGGAGTGGTGGTTCACGCCTGTAATCCCAGCTCTTTGGGTGGATCATCTGAGGTGGGCAGATCATTTGAAGTCAGGAGTTCGAGACCAGCCTGGCCAACATGGTGAAACCCCATCTCTACAAAAAATAAAAAGAAATTAGCCAGGCACGGCAGCATGTGCCTGTAGTCCCAGCTACTCAGGAGGCTGAGGCAGGAGAATCGCTTGAACCTAGGAGGTGGAGGTTGCAGTGAGCCAAGATCACACCATTGCACTCCAGCCTGGGTGACAAGAGCGAAACTCGGTCTTAAAAAAAAATAAAATAAATTAAGCTACATGTAAATCGAGTACAAACATTTGTAAAATTAATTTCTTAAAGAATTATAAATCTATTTTTCTTACAAAATATTCAAACTTACTAAATTTAGAGGTAAAATATATATTGTAATCAATGAATATTGCATTTTTAAATAATTACTTAAATCATCTTTAATTTTTCATTCGATATTTTGAAAATTTAATTAAAGCTTAATAAATATGTCATAAAAATAAGATTATCTGCAATTTGAGAATTCAATGCCCATGCAATTGACCATGTTAGGAATCAGTGTCACTGTTGGTGGGAATGTAAATTAGTATAGGCACCATGGAGAATAATATGGAGGTGCCTCAAAAAACTAGAAATAGAACTACAACATGATCCAGCAATGCCACTGCTGTGTATATATCTAAAAGAAAATACATCAATATATGGAAGAGATATCTGCATTCCCATGTTTATTACATCACTAATCACCAAACCAAGATATGGAATCAACCTAAGTGTCCATCAATAAATAAATGGATAAAGAAAATATGGTACATAAATACAATGGAATATCATTTAGCCATAAAAAAGAATAAAACACTGCCATTTGCAACAACATGGATGGACCTAGAGGACATTATGTTAAGTGAAATAAGCCAGGCACAGCAGGACAAATTTTGCGTGTTCTCACTCATATGTGGGAGCCAAGAATTAAGCAAATTGAACTCATAAAGATAGAGAGTAGAATGATGGTTACCACAGGCTAGGAAGGGTGGCAGGGAGTGGGGGTAAAGTGGGGCTAGTGAATGGGTACAAAAATACAGTTAGATAGAATGAATAAGATCTAGTATTCAGTAGCACAATTGGGTGACTATAGTTAACAATAATTTATTGTATATTTTAAAATAACTAAAAGAGTGGAATTGCCATGTTTCTAACACAAAGAAATGATAAATGCTTGAGGTGATGATTACCCTAATTATCCTGATTTGATAATTACACATTGTATGCCTATATCAAAACATCACTTGTACCCCATAAATATATATGAGTATTATGTACCCATAATAATTATTTTTAAAAGACAAAAAAGAAGCAGTGTCAAACTTCACGCATGTTATATTCAGACCTAAACTATTCCTCATCTACCGTGAACAACTTTTGTGAATACCATATTAACTCTAAGCACTACCAAAACCCACAAATTGGAGTGTAAAAAGAAAGAAAAAAAAAAGAATATGTGACACTACTAAAAAATCTTATTTTATTATGCCAGAACCTATCGCATTCATGTACCTGAGAGGAAGGATTTGATACACTAATTTGTCCTTTCCCTTACCTAAGTGCTTCCACTGCTCAAGTTTCCCTTGTCTTTTTCTAATAACAACAGCAAACCCACATACCTGAATGAATTGATTTGTGTTGTGGAGCAAGAGATGTGAAGAAGCATTTCCCTGGGGCCTGAATGGTGATAGCATTGACAGTGAATGTTCCAGGTTATGATGTGCCAGCAATAACAGCTGGTTCTCAAGTGAGAGACACTAGTGTGTTTGTGTGTGTGTGTGATCATGATCGTGATATATATCGTCCTTTAAATTGCAAGGATTAGGACAGAGACCACTCTTGCCTTTGGTATATTCTGGAAAATACCTCCCAGAACTCTGTTATGTCTTTCTGCTGAGTGTAAATCCCACCTGGCTCTCCAGAATAGAGCCTGCCATCCAGTCCTCTGGCATCCAGAGGGAGAAGCCTTGAATACTCTGCCTTGGTGCTGTTGTTTAGATCTCTACTCCTGACCATTCCACTGCTAACCACCTTCCCATCTACCTTCTCTATCATCTTCCCACAGTCTCTGAGGCTATGTTTATCTTCCTCTGGAACCAGATGACCTGTGTGTCCCCAGACTCTCCTGGTATTCCGTTTGACATAACCCCCAGTTCTGTTGCTACAGACCAGCCTATCAATCACTGCACCCACTGCCTTTGCTGAAGTCTATTAGCACAGTCCATCTCTGGCTGTCTTTAGGAGTACCATCTAACTTGGGTCCCTGGATGATCTCTTTGCTTTCACAACCTCTGAATGGTATGCTTTTCCCCATCAAGAATTAGTTGAAATTCCAGGCTGGCCTTGCTAAGTAACAGCATCCCATCATAGAAAATGTCAGACAAATCCATGTCTCCCACCTCTGACTGGGTAAAGTGCTTTATTAAAAATAAGAGTTGCAAGTGATGGGCCGGGCGCGGTGGCTCACGCTTGTAATCCCAGCACTTTGGGAGGCCGAGGCGGGCGGATCACGAGGTCAGGAGATCGAGACCATCCTGGCTAACACGGTGAAACCCCGTCTCTACTAAAAATACAAAAAAATTAGCCGGGCTTGGTGGCGGGCGCCTGTAGTCTCAGCTACTCGGGAGGCTGAGGCAGGAGAATGGCGTGAACCTGGGAGGCGGAGCTTGCAGTGAGCCGAGATTGCGCCACTGCACTCCCACCTGGGCCACAGAGCGAGACTCCGTCTCAAAAAAAAAAAAAGAGTTGCAAGTGATGATCCAATAGAGAAGGCTAGCCTGCAAAAGTTTTGGGAGGAAGTGTAGTTTTTAAGTTTGATTCTGAATCTTTAAACAGAGTTTGGAAACTTTTCCCAGTTTTCGTATACCCAGCCCAATTCACACATTTACATTACTAGGCTAGCCCTATAGGTAAACAATAAAGCATTGTTTTTAGAGCCAGATGAAAGCGAATTTGAATCTCTGCTCCATTTCTTACCTGCTGTGTACTCTGAAACAAGTTACATACTCTTTCAGAGCTCAGTTTTCTCATCTCTCAAAAGGAATAGCAAAACACACCTAGCAGGTTAGTAATGATGACTAAAAGAAAATGTGCTTTAGCATAGTGTTTGCACACGCTAGATAATTGGTAGTTGTTGGTTCTGTTCCCCTCATTCAGCCTCCACAATTCTCTAGCCACACTCTCAAATCTGCTAATGGATACCTTATAACTTGGCTCTGAGTGGGGCCACTACTTCCTCCTTTTGGATGAGCAATTAAGGACTCAGGGGGCAGCCTGTAGCCAGGAACTTAACTAAGTCAACTAAATCCAATAAATGACTTCTTCTATTACATAGAAATCATGGGTGCTCGTAGATACAAATTGGCTGTCTTCTCTACTTTCCTTTACAGCATTTAAGTAGTTCCTTAACACAATTTTATTTTGGAGCTTCCTAATTATATTACTCCAGGTACCTACTGTCAATGAGCTTGCCCATGGGAAAAAAAAAAAGAAGAGTTATTTATGCATTTTTATATTCCACAAGCATTTATGGAGTAACTCTGGTGATCTCAGCACTGCAGAGCATGCCAAAGTATAAGACATGGTTCCTGCCCTTGAGGAACTTAAAGACTCACTGGTGATAAATAATAAATATGTGAGAAATTATTAAATCAGAAGTGTATAAAACAGATGATGAATATTTAAGGGGAATGATGTTGTGGAAGAGCCCAATAATAATATTATATCTGTAGTTTATTTTTTAACTATTTTTATATATAAAGAAATGAAGTAGCTAGAGAATGTACCGTGGGTCAGGGAAATAGCATGAACAGAGCCTTGACAACTTGACTGAGCCAGTAGGAGCCTGAGCCAGTTGGAGTGAAAGCCCCATATAGAAGAGTCATTTCATTTCCATAAACATGAGCAAGCTCTAAATGATAGCTACAATCCCACAAGTGTTTTTCCTGCCCCTGGCCTTTCTCCTACTTGGGACAATCTATCATACTCTAGTGTAACAAAACATTCTAAGTACCATGTGAAAAGTATCACTCTCCCATTCAAACACTTACAATGGCCCTCTACTACTGCTGAATCCCACTGCTCACTGAATCCAGACTCCTCTGTGGTATCCTTATGGATCAGATAGAGGCTCAAAGTTTGGATTGTAGCGCAGTTAAGTAAAGAGAGGATAGCAAACTAGCAAACTGGATTTGAATCCAGTTCAGCCATCACCTAGTTATGTAGACCCCTAAGGAATTCAACTTCCTTGTGCCTCAAATCCATAACTCATCAGTTGCTGAGGAGATTACAATAATTTAATACATGTAAAGGACTTAGAATACTATTTGTCACATAGAAAATACTCAAGGACTATTGCCTGTCGGTAGAGGAATGAACGTATTGATTAATGGAACAAGTGAACCTGGAGAAAAGTTTCTACTCCCAGCCCTGAAAGCTCAGTTTGTGAGCCAGTGAAGACATAGAAGATATACTTATTCCATTTGCGAAATGATATAAAGTGGATAGGAATAGCAAATATGTTGGATGACAAATAATGTTCCAACACTATGCTAACCACCAACTGAAAGGGACAGACCTAACAAGATACAAGGAACAGGAATAAACACAGCCCAGTACTTTATGTGCTGGTAAACCAGCTCTCTAGAAGATAAAAGCCCCTGATTCACAGTATTTGCTAAATCCTGTGGTATAAAGACTCCTACCACAGCTGATGTCAAGTTACCATGTGATGTCCTGAACTCAGAATTGGGAAGAGATGCTAGCTAACATTGGCTCTCGTGAACTGCTGTGGGCTTGTTCTAGTACACCACTGAAAACAGAAAGTCCTAAACGAAGTTTAAAACAAAACTCTGTGTTTAGTATGATATAAAATGTGGCATAGTGCCTGGCCCTAAAGAGTTTCCACGAACTGAGCGACTGTAAATTCAACATGCGAGAGAAGCAGGGAAGTGAAATGGCCTGAGAGCTCTGGTCCTGCAGCCAGACATTTATGGATTCAAATTTCACCTTCCTTGCTTGCTAGGTGCATGATCTTTGAATAATCACTAAACCTCTAATCCTAGCTCCCTCATCTCTAAAATGGAAATGATGATAATAATGATAATAATGTCTGCCTCGTAAACTTACAGAGTTGAATGAGAAATGTCATGTTAAGAAAGAGTTTAGCAGACTGGGCACGGTGGTCCATGCCTGTAATCCCAGCACTTTGGGAAGCCAAGGCAGGCAGATCCCTTGAGCCCAGCAGTTCAAGATCAGGCTGGGCAACATGCTGAAACCCCATCTCTACAAAAAATATAAAAATTAGCTGGGTGTGGTGGCATGCACCTGTAGTCTCAGCTACTCAGTAGGCTGAGTTGGGAGGATCATTTGAGCCTGGTGGAGGTTCGAGGCTATAGGGAGCCAAGATCACACCACTGCACTCCAGCCTGGGTGACAAAGTGAGGCCCTGTTTCAAAAAAAAAAAAAAAAAAAACCCAGAAGAAATAAAGAAAGAGTTTAGCAATAAAAAAAAGACAAGCAACCAAAAGGGGAAAAAATGGGCAAAATAATGTGAATGAGCTATAGCTGCCATAACACACCACCCAGGGCTACTGGCTTAAAACAACAAATATCTATGTGCTCTGATTTCTGTGGGTTGACAGTTTGGGCTGAGCTCAGAAAAAAATGGCTCATTTTATCCTCAAGAAATTAGCTGGGCTCAGTCTCATGTTTGCAGTCAGCTGGCAGTCAATGGCCTCACTCATGTGTTTGGCAGTTTGCTGGACTAATGAAGGTCACCAGGCCACGTGTCCCTCATCATTCAGCAGACTAGCCCAGGCTTTTTCACATGGTGGTGGTTTCAGAGAAGCAAGAAACAGCACCAATGCACAAGCACTTTCCAAGTCTCTTGGGCCTCTTCAAGTCTCACATTTTCTTATCTCCTTAGCCAAAGGAAATCACATGTCTACGCCCAGAATCTGTATGATGGGAATTACCCAAGGATATCGATTCAGGGAAGGAAATTATTGTGGCCATTTTTGCAAACTAGCACAATGTAAGAATAGGAAATCGATAAAAGAAAAAATCCAAATGGCAAAAAAAAAATGCGTGAAAAGACGTCCAACCTTATTAGTAAAAGGAAAATGCAAATTAAAATGAGATATCATTTCATATTTACTGGCTTGGTAAATAAAAAGCCTTATAAAACTGAGGAATGGTTGAAAATGGGGAAATGAGAAATCCTGTACACAGCTACTGGAGCATAGACAAATTATGACACACTCATAGAATTCAGTAACTAAAATTAGGTTCCTAGGAATCAATATTGAAAACATAATTGTGAGTTACAGAATATCAGACAAATAAGATTTGATACTTTATATATGATATTTTATAAGTATATATGTAATAAAATTATAAAACATGGGTGGGAGGAACATACATCAACTTCAGAATAATATTTATTTATTGTGATGAAAGAATGAAAAGCAAAGAATGAAAAATAAAGGAGGCTTTGATTTTATCTGTATATTTTATTTATCCAAAAATTTGAAGTAATCATGGTAAAATAGCAGCGTACTGGAGGGCAAGGAGGGGAGGTGGGGATGGTTAGTAGATACAGAAACAGTAAAAAGAATGAGTAAGACCTACTATTTGATAGCACAACAGGGTGACTAAAGTCAATAATAACTTACTTGTACATTTTTAAATAATTTGAAGAGTGTAACTGGATTGTTTGTGACTCAGAGGATAAATGCTTGAGGGGATGAATACCCCATTCTCCATAATGTGCTTTTTTCATATTGCATGCCTGCATCAAAACATTTCATGTACACCCAAAATATATATACCTACTATGTACCAACAAAAATTAAAAATTAAAAGCATAAATAAATAAAAAGGAAAAGAAAAATATATGAAAATTAAAATTATGAAAAAAGCAAAAAAAAAAAAAAGAATATGTGTTAAATTCCAGAGGCAGGTCCATGAGGACTTGCTATGTTCAGAATATTTTAAATATAATATGTTTGAAATATTTCATCATTAAAGTGACATTTAAAGAAATAATAGCTGACATCTTCTTTAAGAAGAAAAGGTTGGAGGAACAAGTTTTATAACTGTTTAATTGGCTGCCCAAAAAATCTGCTCTTAGATTACATTTATGGAAGTATAGAATGTAGAAAGAAGGTGTGTACAATCCTGCTCTACTCCGTAGTGTCAGACCATGCCATGCTGGAGCACACTTTAGAAAGGACATACACAAATGTGAGAGTGGCCATTCATTCTGCCAACCACACTGCTTGAGTCTCTACTTGTGCTGTCAGTATAACAGGCCCTGAGGATACCACAGAGGACACAACATCTTGTGTCCCTGCTCTCAGAGGGGTTTGGATCATAAACCTGAAAGACACAATTCCAAACACCATCATCCCAAATACTGAAATCCCTAGAGATCAAAATTCCTAAACAGAAGATGGGAAAGTTTAACAGGAAATGTTCATGTTGTTGCATATCGAATCACAGAAGAATATCAAAAAGAGCAGCACTACATAGAAAATGAATATGAAAATATTCTCTGAGGAAAGCCATGTCCTAATAGAAAAAAGCAGCTATTCATCGTGATGCAAGACTTCAAAATATAGTCAATGATAGTGAAGGTTAGCCAGCCTTATGGACAACCTCTGTGCAATTGCCATTATCTATCCACTTAATATACTTTTCATGTCTAATGTTTTTCTTTTCTTTTTGTTAGTCTTTTTCATTATTTTAAATTGTTAATGTTGTATTTTACAATTTGCTAGGCTATGTATTTCATCTTTACATCATTTTCAATATTGAAGATATAAATTGCATAGAGACTTTTGGAGAGTTCTAATTGGTTTTACACATTTTTTTGCAGATTTGACTCCAGAAAATGCATTATCATAACGTTGACTTTGTGTGTAAGCATTGTGCATGTAAGTAAAAATGTTGAAATTTCCTCAATAAATGAAGAGATGTTCTTTTGCTACATCTGCTTTTGTGAGAAATGTCTCAAGATCTCGGCTCTTTGGGAGACTGCATATGTGATGGTGACCCAACATGGTTTTGTTTTTTTATTGATCTCTTTAAAATACTGTTAGGTTGCTCATAACAGTATTTCATATGACTGCAGTTATAAGGCTGCGTACACAACCATAGTGATATGTGTTTATATATTTCCCTTTTTCACCTATTTCTTTATGAATACAGTTCATCTGCTCATAATTGTTATATCCATGTGGCTGTCATTAGTATATCTGAATTTTTATGCCTCCAAAAATGTGTATGTTATTGACTCTTTTATTGTATAAAGTGGCCTGTGAAGTGTTCTGTTGCATTTTTGTTTCTCAAATAAATTCCCTTTTAAATATCTTTAAAATACTTTTTTATTGTTTTTCTCAGAGTTATATTTTTGGGATTGTGATCTTTCAGGATTTCCACATTCAGGATGGTGGCACTCTGGATTGTGTCTTTCAGGATTATGATCAGCTCTCCTCTTGGAGGCTTACCTTGCCTCCCAGTCAACATATACAGCAAATTTAAGAGCATATAGGATATAGTGGGTGAGGCAGTGGAGAGTTGATAACATAGCAAGGAGATGAAAAACTGCCCAAGCCAAGTTGTGAGGGGAAGAATGACAAGGCTGCCCGCCCCCACCTCTCTCCCACACTGACTCTTAGTCTACAGGGAATGCTGGGCTTTAGATGGAGCACTCTGAGTACCTTCCTGCACAGATACACTCAGCATAACCAGGGAGAAATCTGATATGTGTCCAGGGATCTCACTGGAGCTTTCCATGAAGCCCAGCCTTAGTGTCCCCATGAGAACTTCGCCCTCAAGCAAAGCAGAGGATCAGCGCAGTGTGCTCCATCCATCAGCTACTCGGCAGCCTTTATCCCTTCAAGGCTGAACTGCAAAAACAGTTATTTTTGCTGTACTGTATTTTTATTTCTCTTCAACTCCCTATTTCCTATTCAGTAATTATTGCCAAGAAATATTCACAGAAAACATGCTAGGTTTCTGACAGTCTGTCATGTGGGAGCTCTTCCTGTGCACTGCCTGGAGACTGGAGGCTGGCTGGGTGAGGTGCAGGGAGAATGGTTCTGGCCACCATAAGGAAAAAGTCTAAGGCTGCTGGGTTCAGACTAGCAGCAGGTAGCCTCTTTGGAGGTCTGCCAAGAGAAGACACAGGAACACTGAAGAGCAAGTGGCTGGTTGGCCTTAAGAATTCTATAAAATGTCTTCATTGAATTTTTCTGATTCTAGAATAATTATAAAACCATTAAAAATTAAAGAAATGTTTAAGACAGTGTGGCTCCATAATTTTATCTTGTAGGGAAAACCACTATTCACACTTTGATCTGTATCTTTTCAGACATTTTTCATTGCATATGCAAACTTTCAGATATGAAAGGGGGATCATGATATATATAGATTGCCTTGCAACTTGCTTTTCTCTCCCGCCATAATGTTATATTTTGGAAGCCTTCCCCATATTGGATCTGCATGACTATTCATTCTTTTTATGGGTTGCAATATTTATTCCTTCACAAATACCTACCAAACGTGAGCACCCACTTAATGTCAGGCACTCTTCTAGGCACGAGGGAACACAATGATAAGCAAGAGTTTTGTCCTCATAAAACTTTACATTCTAGTAAAGAGAAAGAAATACACAAACAAAAAGATATCAAAGAATGTCCAAGAAATACATGCTATGAAATAAAATAAAGCAGGTTAAGGGGTCACTGTGCAACAAAGAATACTGTTTTAAATTGCATAGTCATAGAACACTTCTCCCAGGGATTCTGTATCAGTGGTCTATCGCTGTGTTTCAAATTACCCCAAGACTTAGTGTTTAAAACAACAGTATTCATGACTCACAGTTTCTGTCTAATGGGAATCCAGCAGAGGCTTAGCTGCACCCGCTGCTTCAGGATCTCTCTCAGGCTTCAGTTGAGTTGCCAGCCAGACCTGCAGTCATCTGAAGGTTGTTAGCAGGAATTAGTTTCCTACAGGCTGTTCTCTGGGAGCATCAGTTCCTCATTGGCTGTTGGCTGAAGGTATCCCTCAGTTCCTTGCCATGTGGACTTCTCCATAGGGCAGCTCACAGCATGGCAGCCTGCTTACTCACAAGCAAGAATGACAGGGAGAGGAAGACAGAGGGAGAGAGAAAGAGCATGCAAGATGAAGTCATGGTATTCTGTTATAAGATCTCAGAAGTGAAATCCCCCCTTTTAAAATATTCTATTCATTATTAGTAAGTCACTAGGTCCAGCTCACACTAGAAGGGAGGGAATCCATACCAGGAGGGCAGGTCGTTAAGGGTCATTTTCGAAGCTGTTCACCACATGTTGATATTTGAACAGAGGTATAAATAGAGTGAGGAGACAGTCGTATTAATATCTGGGGGAGAAAACCTTCCAAGAAGGAGAAACTGCAGGAGCAAAGGCCCTAAGGGTGGAACTGCCTTGGTCTGTGGAACAGCTATAGCCTCTAGGAACTGGAGCAGGAGGAGAGAAAGAGCAGTGGAAAATTAGGGTGAGAACGGGGAAGGGACCAAATCATCCCAGGCCTTATAGGCCATGGGAAAGGGCTTGGGGTTTTATTTTAAGAGTAATACGAAGCCACAGTATTCCCTAGTTTGTATTATCATAATTTATTTGCTTAACCTACTGATGAAGATCATTTTTAATTTTCTGTTTGTAAAAATGCCAACCCTAAATATATGTATGTGTGCATTTATCCTGCAGGTATATGTGTATCCTCAGGGGACTTTTTCTGGACCAAAAAGTATGTGCATTTAAAATGTAGATACACACATATTGCCAAACTGCACTCACAAACACTTTCCCAATTGACTCGCCCATCAAAATTGTGCAAAAGGAAAGTCCTGGCCAACACTAAGTAGTATTAAGCTTTCGAGTATTCGTTAATCCGATGCAGGAAAGTGGCATTTCATTGTGATTTGTATTTGTTTCCTCTCTTAAGAGGACAAATCTCTTTGCATCCTTCTGTTTCATCCTCTGCAGGGTCTGGTGGGGTCTAAGGGTCCTCTACTCTGACTGTCTCTAATGGCTGCTGGCCCCACAGCCCAGGAGCTGGCCGGCTGTCCAGCATTGCTTCCCTTTTCTTCCTGTGGTCTCAGGGGCCACTCTGGCCTTCCTACTGCGGAGCCTTTGCCTGATCTCCTTTCCCCACACACATCTCTTTCCACTTGTCAGACTCAGGTGTCTCCTCAGTGTCTAGCATCCAGCTGCCTCTGCCATGCTCTCCATCAGATTACAGGTGCTCAGAAGCCCCTCCACAGGATGCCAGGTGGCCCAGTGAAGCAATAGTCAGAGAGGTGTACACCAGGCTTCTATCCAGCTCCAGCTCCTATAACTCTCTGATCTTGGGGAAAGTGCCGAAACAGCATGTGTCTCCATGCTTTCTCTAAATGGAGGTCAGAAATAATAGTCACTTCTTAGGTATGCTGTCATAGGATTAAATGCGAAAGTTAAAACAAAATACTAGGAATAGTACCAACCACTTAGTAGGTAGTCAGTAAATATGAACTCTTACCATCATCGTACCTACCTGAGTGCATTTGAGATGCAGTGAGGGCATCTGAGTTCCTAGAAGGCAGAAACAGTACCTTATTCATTTTTGCAATTCTAGAGGTACTTCATACAGTTCCCTGTACAAGACAGCATTCAATAATTATTTGTATAATTATTTGTGTATGTGTCAAATCAAGGAATTCACACCTGAATGAATGAATGAATGAATTGAATGTGCAGCCCTAACATGGAGGGATTTAACTGTCAACTGTTATCTTGGGTACAGTTGGGAATCCTTGAAGGATCTCATGAAGATTAAATAACATAAAATAATGTTTTAAGAAGGAATTTAAGGAATAAGTAAATTTACAAATAAGATTTTTTTAAACCTGCAGATTTCGCCAGTTCTCATAAACGAAAGCGGCCAAAACACATTTGGAAACATGTTTTAAGCTGTCTGCTCTTCAGACCATGCATGCATAGGCTCCCCAGCCCTCCCCCAATTTCTGTAGCCCACCCTGCCTCCCAGTGGCCCATTACCAGGCAGAGGCCCCTCTAGAGATGAGCACACAAATGTGCTCACTGTTTTTGCCTCAGGTGCTCTCTCCAGCATGCACGGTGGTTTAAAACAGAGGCAAACAACCACAGCCTGAAGGCCACATTCAGCTCGCAGATATATTTTGCTTCATGCACACAGTATTTTCTAAAAATTAAATTAAAACTCAGGAGATTTACATTTTTTAAAGTACAGATACCTTGCAAAACCTGAGGTCTGGCCACAGGGACCAGCACTTCCTCATGGAAGCACCAGTCTTTTTCATGAACCCCTATAGCAGCAGTCCCCTTAGGACAGGCCTATACTTTATTTTCAGGTCCCCAGGACCCTACATTCTTATCTCATTGTTTATGTTGAACGGATGCCGAGCCACATGAGTTTTCAACCCTTGTTTTACAAGTATCATTCCAAGTAGACATTGGCCTTGCCTTTCACTAATGAAATACTCACTAATGAGTATTTCAGCCCCAAATAATTCCTCAAACATATAAAGCAACAGTTCCTTAACCCCGACATGATTTTTGAGAAAACTTCTCTATAATCGGATATACTCAAGCATTGTCTACAATTCTAACCTCTTAGATACTGAGTACTCGTTTGGCTACCACTTTTTTCAAGGTGTACCTCCATAAACATCCCATGGAAGACATTTTGGGGAACACAGCCTGGGAAGGTCCAGAGACCCTCAATACCTAAAGAGAAAACTCTACACTCACAGATACACTCACAGAGACAATCTCTTAGAAATAGGGGCAACACTGCCCATCTTCAGCCCCTTACCAAGGGAGGTGATACAAGAGAGATGACACAAGCCATCCCCTGGATAAGTCAACTGCAGAGGAAGCTGGGGAAGAGGAAGACCCATTGCCTTTGCTCAGGATTCTAGAAACAGACTCTGAGATGGAGATGTATGTGCAGGAGTTTTGTCGGAGCAGGCACTAGGGAATGCAGAAGCCTCAGATAATCCTGCAGGAAGCTTGGGAGTTATGGACTGCGGAGTATTCAGAGTTCTCTTCCAAATTGAGGCAAAGGGGCCAGGCCTTTGTAACCCCTGTATCAACCAGTCATTGAAGGAGAGAGTATTACCCTGGGAAAGGCAGCTCTCACCAGCCAGATGCAGTTCCCAGACAGGGATTTGGCTATGGCCATCAGTAGCCAACACTCTCAGCATGAGCAGATAAGTGTGTCAGTCCTGAAAGGGAATCTGACTGGAATTCACAGGTCCACTACATCCACCTTCCTCCTTCAGGGTAAAATAGAATAATCTTCCCAGCCACTGGCACCAACAAATGCCATGTGAAAGCCAGAAGGTAAGACCTGGAGGCAAGGCTCTGGCGTATTGCTTCTAACATTTAACACTGGGAACGGCAGTACTCTTTCTGAAGCACAGTTCTGGATACAATGCTACAATATTTAAAAATCCTCAGGGGCTCCCAATTTTCTCCAAAATGATGTACAAACTCCTTAGCCTGGAATTCCAGGCCCTTTATCTTCTGTCCCAGACTACCTTTTCAGCTTAACTCTCATTATCTCCTGCAAAACTCAATACTGAACAGTAGTCTCCAAGCAGTCTCCATAGTTTACCTCCTTCATGTCTTTATTGTTGGTTATTCCCTCTTCCTAGAAAAACCATATCTCCCATCTCCATACATCTAAATCTTATCCAACTTTCTTGATTCAGCCTAAATGCTTCCCCGGTTCTATCTAACTGGAAGTAATCTTTCTCTGATCTTGTAATAACATTGCTTTGCTGTGAATTATATTCGATTTCTCCCATATACTTAACCATAAACTCTTTGAAGGCAGGACTTAGGTCTCATTAAGTGTCTTTTGTATCATAAATATTCATTTAATTTTTAATGTATTAATAGATGGATTGACAGATATATGGACATATGGGTGGACAGGAATATAGATGGAAGAATGACAGGCTCAGGATAGATTCCTGCTATTGAGATGATGTCTTCACTGTCTTGTCTTCATTCTGTTCCTTAGCTCTGTGTATCCTATTTAATTTATGAATAAGAGGCAGATTGGTCTAAAAAGAACTAGGTTATATTTTCCATATTGAAATATTCAAATTGCTTACTGAGCACTGGAGGCAGTGGGGAATCACTGAGCCCCCTTTTCAAGCTTGTTACCACATTTGTGCATAAGAGGGAAATAGCATCTAAGTCCCATTTGAGCCTACCACAAAACAGCCCCTGAGCCAGCTGTTATATTTCAAGTGGTACCACTTGGAAGACTTCTTGAACTTCAGATGGTTATTAACAAAACAATATGCTGATCAGTTCCAAGACACTAAATCAGAGGCAATGAGTTTTGGCAGCTGCTTGGCTCATGAAAGGTGACACCCAATTAGAGAATACGGTCAACCCCAGTGTGTGCTTCCGACTTCCCACAGTATTTATAGATGCAGTCATGGATCTGACAGCCAAGGATCCCACTTGGAGACACAAACTCTTCCAGAAGCCATACTAATAACCACTTACTGTTGCGTGATGCTGCACTTCATCTGAGTCCTCACAATGACTCCAAGAGGTAGGGATGGAATGTATTCTCATCTTCTCTTGAAGCCTCAGAGAGAAAAGACTATCCCAGAATGGCATGTCAGTAAAGTTGGTGTAGCAGCAAGGCCACAAGTAAAACCCAGGCTTTGACTCCTTCTCAGCAGCAATCTCCTTGCTATGTGATCTCATCCATACCTTTGCCTCCAGGTCTACAAAGAAAAATTATCAAATATATAATAATTTATTAATAATTTATGCAAGTGACATCATAGCCATTTTTAGAATTTTAGCACAATGCCTCGTAATTATTCATAAAGCCTGATCTAGATTATTTCTGCAAAGTTTAATTTCAATCTCTTTTGTCCTATCCTCATCTATTTAATATCTTTTGGGAAGAGGGCAGGTTTTAATTTTCAAAAGAGTAAGATGGTCCCTAGAAACTCCTTGAGAAGATTGTGTAACAGAAGAAATGTGAACCCTTATTGGGAAGAACATGTTTCCTGGGACCAACTGTGACTCACTAAGAGCAATCCCCATTAGACATGCCTGTTGGTGAGATGACCACAATAGAGAATTAAAAAGATGCAGTAGATACTGTGCTTATTGATTTTAGCAATGTCTTTGATGGAGTTTCCTATAATATTGTTGTTAACAAATTACAGAGATATGGACCTCATGATAATACAATTCAGTGGATTTATAACTGGTTGAATAAATTTGGAGATGACGATTAATGGGTGATATGACGCTATAGGATGCCCTGAACTGTGATATAATGAAGAATTTTGACCTCTGCCTCATTCAGTCCAAAATTTTTATCAAGTATTATTAAATATTTGTCCCCTTGAGCCTGCATACCCCATCTACATGAGGCTGAGAGAAGAGGCTGTGGAGGGGGATGGCAGAATCAGCATGCCAAAAGCAGTAGTTCAAACCTGACCCAACATTTCAGAGTCATATTCAAATAATCAAGTGCACACATAAAGGATGAGGAGACAGACCTTGATAGCAACTCATGAGAAGAAGACCTCAGAATTGAGTCTACTGTCTCAGTTTCACTCAATAGTAAGGGGGCAGTTGCCAAGGAAGCTAATAGGAACACAGGACTACATTTTCCAGTGGTAACTAACTGCTGTCTGCTTCTTCCAGAGGTTCTGAGATCTGTAGTTCAGGGTATTCACTGACCAGATGGAGAAAGGTCACAGGCAGGAAAAGAAAATGGGAAAAGAACTGAAAACTATATTAATTAAAAGACCTTGGAGATGTTTAGCCAGTTGATGATTCTCTTTAAATGTCTGAAAGACTGTCCCAAGAAAAAGGAAATTTTCTTTTTTTTTGAGACGGAGTCTTGCTCTGTCACCCAGGTTGGAGTGCAGTGGTGCCATCTCGGCTCACTGCAAGCTCCACCTCCCAGGTTCATGCCATTCTCCTGCCTCAGTCTCCCAAGTAGCTGGGACTACAGGCGCCCGCCACCACACCTGGCTAATTTTTGTATTTTTAGTAGAAACAGGGTTTCACCGCATTAGCCAGGATGGTCTCGATCTCCTGACCTCATGATCCGCCCGCCTCAGCCTCCCAAAGTGCTGGGATTACAGGCATAAGCCACCATGCCTGGCCGGAATTTTCTTTCTGTGTGAATCCTTGGTGCAGGGCTGGAGCCAGTGAGTAAAAGTTAAAAGAAAGCACATTTTCGTTCAGCTGTATAAGAAAATGCTAAAATATCAGTTTACCATGAAAGTCTACATGCCAGGAAGAAACTGAATGAACGTTAAACAGACTCACAATTAAGAGAAGCTATGATGTGGGCCTAGCTTACGGTATGTGAGTTCTCTGGGCCAGGACAGACAGCTTGAGTACCAGGCAGGTACCCTGAGGATGTGCCATCACCACAGTGACCACAGACCTGAACTGGCTCTCTGCGGCTTTGTGGTCTGTATTTACGGCCCATCCATGCATCCTTGTGCCTTCCTGTCCCTAACTGGTGCCTGCACTGAACACTTGGGTCTTGTATTGTGCTTAAATCCTTCACACCAGGCCTGAGGGTTCGGCCTAAGTAGTTTCAGCCTCTCAAGGGTCTTCTTAACTAAACTTTTCTGCTTCTCTGTGGCCTTCTGATCGACCCTCCCCAACCCTGCATGTCCCACAAGCTGTGGAGTTCCCCACTGCACATAGTACTTTATTAAAGGCTAGAAAATTAGGGATGTGAATGACAATAGGATGGGCAACCAAGAGTGCTCATCAAGTCTCCTCCCTGAAGTTATTTAGAAACAAGAGCCTTCTTTGTTAAGATTTTTCAGAGGACAACTAACTAAGTGAGCCACATGGCATCTGGAAGGGGAGGGGAATGGAGTTGGCACTGGTTGAACCCCTACTCAGTGACTGTCATTGTGTTAGGGTTTTTGACACACATTACCACATGAAATACTCACAATACTCCCTTGGTTAGGTCTAAATCTCTTTTAAGTGAGAGGTGACAGAGATTCCTAGGGTTAAGTAACCTGCCCAAAGTCATAATGCTGGCAAGTTGCAGAGCCAGGATTTGAATTCAGCACGACCCTCCAGCCTATTTCATCCCTGCTGCAGGCCTTTTCTAGCTTGGAAAGTCTAAATCTACCAGGTTTTCATGCGATGCAATTATTGAATTACTTGTAGAATTTCATTCTTTTGAATGGTCTGTTTTGCAGCAACACACAGGAAAAAATTGTCACTCCACACAGCTTTGATTAGCAATATTAACACTCTTTTAGAAAACATAGATTACAGCAATGCAGGAAGCTGGCCCTGAAATTAAATTCAGGATGATAACTCAAGAATTTTAGATATAAGGGCAGAAAGAGGATGGAGGTCAGCTGGTCCTGGCTCCTGAAGAACCATCTCCACTCCCTGTTTTACATTTTGTCTGAACAGCTACCTCCCAACTGAAGCACTTGTTTCTGCAGTAATACACCAAAGAGTCATTTTCTGCACTCTTGCCTAAAAGCTGACTTTTACAGAAGAATCATAGGTATAATACAATATAGGTTTCCATTTGATATAACCAATCTTCCCTAAAGAAATTCTGCACTAAATTAAAATAGTGAGCACTATAACATAATATAAGCGCATAGTCTCTGGAGCTTAGTTACTAAGGTTCAAACCCAGATTCCATCACCACTTCCTAACCGTAACTTTCCTTAGCCTCAGTTTTATTCTTCGGAGAGTTTTAAGGATTTAACCAGTTAATACATATAATACAGAGTAAATGATGTATTGTGATTTTGTTTAGTTTTGTTTTTCAAGGACAAGTGGAAACAAGATCATTGTGCAATATGTTCCCAACCCAAGTGTTGGGTGCATAACATTCCCAAAGGACAGTTTTGAGCTTAGATTCTGCATTTCCTGTGTAATCCAGAACATCTCTATAACTTGCCACATCTGACTCACTCTCAACTACTGAAACTTCTCAATGATCAGAGCTGAGCACTTGTGAAAATATGTGATAATAAGAATCTAGCAATTCATTTTCTGGACATTTTGTTTTTTGTTAATTTGACAAAGCCCCTTATTAACACTAGTTTACTATGTTCATTTCTACCTAGCAATTCTACTGGGGGTGATTCCCCTTGATTGGAGTAGTCTGGGAAAGGAAAAAAGAACTTTCCCAACATCCTAGAGGTATCCTATATTCATTTATTAACTGGTTCACCCATTCATTCAATGAATTATTTCTTGAGAAACCACTGATGCCCAGCTCTGAGCTGAGTTCTAAGGATTCAGTAGCAAGCCAAGCAGACATAGTCTCTGCCCTTATGGTGCCTATGGTAAGATATATGACAAACAAGTAAACAAAGAATTAAACAATTATAAAAAGCACTACAAAGGAAACAGAAAGGGCTTATGACAGAGAATAATGAGAGGGAGCGAAACTACTTAGACAAGATGTTCAGAAAAGGCCTCTTTGAGAAGAAAATGCACTCTCATTTCCTGAACCCAAAAAAATAGAAGCCAGCTATGGCAGACACCACCATTTGCCTAATACATTTCACTTCTTCCTTATTTTGCTTATGTGCACAGCACAGTGTACCTAACTAAAACACGCATATCCCAGCTTTGGCCATTGAGGTATAAGCTATAATTTCGGAGAAGGTGTTGCTTCCCTAATATAAGGACTGCCCTTTCTTGCTTCTCTTCAGCAACTTCTTTTATCTGAAATATGGATAAGATGGCTGGTGCTATGGGAGTCATCTTGCAAACAAAAGGGAAAAGCAAAGACAGGGATCTTTTCTCTCATATTTTTGAGCCAATGACCAAGGCAACCTCTTTAAACTTCTAATTGAATGAAAAAGAAAAAAACCCTGTATATATGGAAGTACTGTCATCAGAATGTTCTGTTATTCATAGTCAAATGAAATCCCTCACTATTATACCAGCAACCACAGCACAGAAAGGGCATTTTGGGAGAAGAAATAACATGCCTGAAAACCTTAAAGCAGGAAAAAGCTTGGCATGTTTAAGGGTAGAAAGGCCAGTGTGGCTAGAGTACAGCAGGCATGGAGGAAAGTGAGAAGAGCTAAGGTTGGACATATAAGGGAAGGGTCAATTAAGCCTGCAGGCCAGGGTTAGGAGTTTGAATTTTATTAGAGGAGTGAATGACAGCCACTGGATGGCTGATTTACACTCTACAAAGATCCTCTGCCTGCCTTGTGGTGAAGGACTTGGAGGCGGGCAGGAGGAGAAGTGGCGAGACAAGCCAGGGCCATTGCAGTTGTCCTGGGGAAAGAAGACATTGACGTAGGCAGGGACAAAGGCATTGGTGGTGGAGAAAACTACACTGAAATGGCAGTGTGGCAGCCAGTTTGAGAGTAATTTGGCAAAAAAAAAAAAAAAAAAATCAATACAATATGTGAAGAATTTAAGCATTGCTTGTTAATCAAGAGGATCAAACTACTTATTGCCACAGGCCAGGCAGGTGAAATAATATTAAATATAGCAGCTAACATTTATTTATGTGTTATGGTTGACAGACACTGTATCATTAATCCTTGTAATGGCATTATAAGGTAGACATTATGATTATCCCCATATTACAAATGAGCAACTGAGTCATAATCAAGTAACTTGCTTGAAGTCAAAATTTTTAATAACCTGGTGGAGGTGGGTTTCAAACCCAAGGCTATCTGATTCCTTGATTCAAGACACAAGGGGCTTAGAAATTGCTCTTAGATGATTTTCTTTTCTTTGTATATGCTTACTATCACACATCAAAAGTCTCCACATCCTCCATTCATGGACTAGAATCCTTATCCTTGAGGGTGATGGAGGGAGGAAAGTCTACATGTTCTGGAGAATAAAACCTGGGCACATTTATTGAGACTTTATTACATGCCAGGTCCTCTACGTTTATTATATCCACTTTACAAGTTGGGAAACTAAACTGCAGAGAGGTAATGTAACTTACCCAAAGTCACAAACCTAGTAAGATTCAACCCAGGCTGTCGGACAGGTTTAACCATTGCACATAACTGTCTCCTTCAGAGGAGTTTCTTCTCAGATTCAAAGTCTGAATCTTGCTCATTCTGCACAAAAGGTAACCTGAATGGTGTAAGGGCCCAAAGAGCTGCTGTTCCACTAAGCCAGAAACATCAAGCCAGTACTCACCTTGGGATCAGTGGTGGTGAACACATTGGGGCTGACAGATTGTTTCAGCTAAATGCAAATTCACTGAACTAAAAGCCCAACTAGGACCAAACCAAGCACAAAGATGGCCGCAAGACCGTGAATTAACTCTGCCTACTTCTAGTTCTCCTTAGTTATAGCTCAAATGTCACATCCTCAGAGATGCTATCCCTGCTGAGCTTAGCTAAAGTAATGCTCCCTTGCTCAGGTCACTAGCTACCCCACACCTTACTTATCCTTCCTCTTAGTGTTTTTAACTCTAGAAAAATATCACTTTATCATTTATGTGTTTATTGTCTGTCTCCACCCATGAGAATGTAAGCTCCATTTTTCCCATGCCTAGAATGTCTGGCACATGGTAGGCATTCAATAAATATTTGATGAATGAATGATTGAATAAATTTGTTAATTTGCATTGGCATCTGGGGAAAACACTTCAAGCTCTAGACAAATACACAGGTTTCTCTTCAACTTAAGCACCTGGGACAGTAGAAAGAGGGACAAATAGCTAAACTGATAGGATGGCATTAGAAAATGGCATCAGAAAATGGCATCAGGATTAATGCAGGTGGTCACTTTTTAAAAGCTCCTTCTTAGAAATGGTAGCCTTCTTCTATTCCCATGGGAGGTGGCACGACCCACTACAGGGCATTTAAGTATGCCAGTAGAAGCTCAATTTAGTAGTTCCCTAAATTGTAGTAGGTCGAAGCTACAAGGGAGAGAGACAGTGGTGGGAGGGCGCCCTGGGAGAGCGCACTAAGGAGGAGGTGCAGTCCAGGGATGGTCCCCGTGACGCCCAGCAGTGACAGCAGGCAGAGCCCTAGGACCACAGTAGAGTGGCTGCTTGTGGCCCTCACCTGTTGGTTTATTATTCTCATCAGCAGTAATGGAGGTTCCCCCAAGAGCCACACTCTCTAGCCTGCCTTTCAGTGTGGGCAGAGGCAGGAGAAATAGTATGCATGGCTAGTGCTTTTTTGGATGTCTGCACCCCACTGGGAATCATTTCCATTTTGCTTCAAAATTTAAATAAATAAAAACACAAATAAACAAAACAGAAGCTCTCTGATGCGGATGAGAGAGTCATCCCTTGCTCATTTTTGTATTCCTAGAAAGAACATAAACCATACACGATCTTTTCCTGTTTTTTGGTACAGTTATTGCAGGCTGGCTTTTCTCATTCTCTTTTGAATACCTCGAGCAGAACACCCCTCGTGTTGTTAATGACTTCAAAGATACCGGGTCCACTGTGCGGCAAGTGATAAAAATGTACACAGCATGTGTTGGATAAATTAATAAACTCTCCAGAGCCTCAGAGTCCTCTGGCCCAGCAGCACCGTAATGAAATGTTATTCTGAAGTGGAGGAGGTGGGAAGGAGAAGGGGAGCAGTATTTAATATATGCAAATTAACTAGTATGCAAATTGCCACTAAGTTAAAAATAACGGACTGCGAGAGAAACCTATTTTTTAAGCAGCTTGTTTATTCATTAGCCTAATTTCCATTATCAATCCTTCTGTTTTCTTTTTTATTAAGTACTCACATTTGGGGAAGTTTGCTTCCTACAATTTGTTTTGCTCCAAAATCCATAACACTGGTAAGAACAATCACCATACATTAGCTTTTCTTGGTCTCATTCTTGATTTTGCTCCTAGCTTTCAATCCCTTTTTCTCTTTCTTTCTTCCTGCCCCTTTCCTTTTGCCGTTTTCTCCTATCACTTTCACTTGCCTTGTTTCTCTGGCACCTTTTGTTTCACTGCTGAATGCGACTCCATGAAGCATCAGGCAGGGGCGAAGAGAAGCCTCCTGTCCTATGAGGTCTGACTCCAGGGACCTGTTCTTCCAGCCACTCGCCCTCATAGGTGGACTCGGATGCAAAAGGCACCAAAATCCAGCTCCCCTGCACCTCAGGGCGTGTGCTACCATTATCCCTCTCCCAGCAACAGAAAAGCCAGAACAATGCACGCCCTGATTCGGGTCTGTATATGGCCTGCTCTGTGTAGAGACAGACCTTACACAATGTTAAAGACAAATTGGCAGCCAAAATCCCCGTCTTTTGTCTCAAGAAGCATCTACCTTGCTATGAGAGAGCTCTGGTGCCCCCGAGAGGCCGAGAACGGTACCGATTGCTGGGCCGGTTATGGGGAAGGCAGGAGGCTGGAGTACAGCGTACACAAAGCCCTGGGCAGCAGCGTGTCCAGAGGGGAGATCCTGAAAGAAGGGGTGCCCTTGAGCAGCTGGGGAGGGGACTCAAGAGAACATGCTTTGCCAAAGCTGCACATAGCTTGCAAGGCTAGTTTTTGTTTTAACCGTTGTCATTTTTCACAGGGTTTGTAATCACATAGTTATTACGAAGCATCAAAATTATTTTTTAACAAGAGGTTCTTGGTACATGGTGCTTAGCTGTAGCTGTGCAAAGCTGTTTGTGCCATTCCAGCTCCTAAGGGATGTGCATCTTAGACACACAAGCACATACTCTGAGGGGCGGTATCTCCTGGTGTCCTAGAGAAGCTGTGGCTGAGACCCACGGTGGAGAATCTCAAGGCTCGCCCTGTCAGGAGCCCTGCTCCACAGCAGGCTGTGCTGCAAGTCAGCTGCAAGGGATTCAACATGAACACAAATTCCCAGAGCAAATAACTCTTAACTCCCTCTCCCTCCTGAGTTCCCTCAGTTGCTATTGCTTATAACTCTCCTGGGAGACACACTATGTCAGAATAGGAACCACATTTTTCAGGTTTCAGCTCAAGGTCAGAGCTCTGTCATTCCCCTGCTAAAGTACCTATTACTCAGGGGCAATGATGTCAAATGTAAAAGGTCACACTTTGGCAGCTGCTAGGGATCGTCCACAGACAGGCGGTGGCTGGGGAATGAATTTGCACCAGTTCCTTAAACTCCAGCATGTACTGCAATCTCCCATTGCTCTTAGGGCTAAAAATGGTGTCAAAAGGCCAAAGACCTGAAAGAGGCAGATGATACCAGAAACAGTCACTGACACTAAGCTCAAGATGGAGTCAGAAAGATAAATCATTATTATTTAAGCTCTGCACGTTTTAATACATACTCTCTTTGCAATATTTCCATAGAATGAGGAAATAAATCACCCTGCTCTTGACATTTTTAATAACTTTAAGAATGTGGTTAGGGTAATACTTAACTTTATTGACATATTGTATGGTTCATCTGTCTCATCAAACCTCAATGAAACTTCAATGAATATTAACTGAGGACCCCTAATGTATTAGGTACTGCCTGAAAAATCTCCCAAACAGTCCCTATCTGCCCTCCAGGAGTTCTAACTTATTGGCTTGACTCCTGTCTGTGGAAATCAATAGCCCACAGGGTAAGGTTTTATGGAGTTGGGGGTAGGGACTGTTCAGATTCTAGCTGGAGGATTTGGTTCACTGGGCATAGGAACACCTCTTCTTAGACTCTGGCTATTTGTCCTCAGGTTTAGATGCCTTTCTTGAGCAACACAGACATGATGAATGGGAAGAAGACAGACCCTAGTGCCATTCAACAACTATGCCTCAAAGATAGTAGATGCAGCCTACTGTCTGTGATGTGTATGCGACATTGTTCTTCCTGGTCCCCTGCTTTCACAGAACAGAAGAGAGGCCTAGAGTGGACCTTAAACTCACCAAAGTCACATAACTAACTCTTTTATGGCAGAACAAGGAGTAATAACCAAGTGTCTTGATTTTCAGGCCAACTCCCTTTTCATTAGTAAATGATAATGGTGGTGTATTTTACAAACGGGTAGGGGAACAAAAGGAAAGGGGGTCAAATAATTCAAGTGCTGATAATGATAATATTTAACCCATTTCTCTAGGATTCGCTTTTTGTCACCTTGGATTCTCAAAGACACAAGTTTTCTCTCTCACCCTCAGGAGTTTTTTGAGCTGGTGCCTTTGCAAGAATACTCTGATCTCCAATCTTGTTCTCCCAGCCATTCTTAGACATTCTCCAGGTCTTTGTTTGGATATCACTACCTCTAGTAAGCTTTGCCTTGTTCCTCACATCTGAGCTAGGTGCCCTCTATATATTTTCAAGGTCCCCACCCCCTGTCCTCCATCACAGCTCCTACCACACTTTATTGTAATTTTCTTTTACTTCTCTGCCTTCTTCAATATTCTGTGAACCCCTGGAGGAGAGGAACTATATCTGTCTTGCTCAATCAAGATTATCTCTACAGACTCTAAAGTTGTAGAGTCTCTATAACTCTAAGAACGTGGTTATAGTCAACTTTACTGATATAGTGTACAGTGCATCCATCTCATCAAACTTCAATTAAATCTCAGTGGCCATTAAACGAAGGCCTAGAATGTACAAGGCAGTGATGCCTGGCACAGAGTAGATGCTCAATAAATATTTTAGAATGCATTAAGGAAGAGTGGAACATAGAACCTCATCAGGGAGAAAATGTCACTAGCCATTCCTGTCACAGAAGTATCCAATTTCTCCCTCCCCCCTGAATACATCCTTGGCTGCTAATCTGAGCATTCCAGAGTGAGACTTACACTGTCTGAGAAAACATGTTATAGGCTATGTAAAGATAAGAGAAAGGTACACACATTTGAATATGGTCCGTCTTATTTATAGGAGTAAACCTAACACTCAGGAAACACATCTTCTGGCTAGCAAAAGCCAAGGAAACAAGCAAATATTGGACAGAGAAATAATTTTGCAGAAATATTGCAAAAATTGTTTAATATCTTTGCTACATAAAGAATTCATATAAATTGATTAAAAAATAAAAGAATAAAGTCCTCAATAGATAAGTAGGCAAGGGACATAAACAGAAAATTTCTATAAGGAAAGCCTTAACTAGCAAATAAAAATATATAAAAATATCCAACCTTGCCTGTTAAAACAATTGTGTGGTATAGGACCTGGATCCAGAGATAAGAAAGGGTCGGTTGCCCCTCTTACCCCGGCCTTACTCACTCACAGCAGGACTCGTTGTTGCTGCTGTATTTCAATGGGCAAGGTGAGGCATTGTTTGAGTATAAGCCCCCAGGTCCTTAATAGGCTAGGAGAGATGCAAAGAGCAACACAGTGAACAGCACAAGAATGAGAATTCTGAACTGGTAGCCAATAGAGTGGGAGGAAGCTGGACAACAAGAAGAGGGATGCAACGGCACAGAGGTGGCTTTGCTTGTTCCAGGATGCAGTGCCTAATGTGGCTAGCCCACTGCCTGGCACATGACAAACACTAGAAAACTGTGGGACTAAAAATACAATATTGCACATGGAGGAGAAGGAGTCAAAAATATAAATGAATGTTTGAAACAAGGTAATATGTTTAAATATGACACAATCCCAGGGGCTTTATGATTTGCTGTGAAAGTGTGTTTTTGGCTTCTTGTTCAAACAGCTGCCATGTAGGGTTCCCTCTGGTGCATCCACCAGAAGGGAAATGAGATTCATTAATGTATAATATCAGCATGGCTCCTAGGTGCCTCACAAATTCAGACATGGGTCTGAGAAACAAAATGATAACAAAAATATGATTTACCCTATTAAATTTTCAGAAGTTAAAAATAAAGATAATATTTTATTGGTGCAGTATAAATATAAACACAACAATTTTTTGAAACTTTTTGAAAGCAGTCTGGCAATATCTATCAAGCACCATGTATCAATTAGTTATTGTGGCAAGAACGTTGTGTAACAAATACATCAAGAGAGCCTGTAAAATCTGCAAGGAGTTACACATGTGTTTCTCTACCTGGGCAATGCGGAAAACAGGGTAACGCCAACCCACCAATGGGAGGCAGCTCAGTCACTGGGCTCCTTTTCTGAGCTCAAAGGGCAATGCATAGAGTTCAACTGAATTCTCATAATTGCACATTAAAAATTCATTGAAAGGAACTTCATAGGGTCATAGAAGTGTTCTATATCTTGAATGCGGTTAAGCAGGTATGTTCACCTTTCAAAACTCATTAAAATAATCACCTAAAATATGTTAATTTTATTGTATATAGCTTATTCCCCAATAAAGTTTATTTAAAAAATAAAACCCAGTTGAGAATCACTTTAACTTTAAAATTTGAATTATAGAAAACTGGTTTTATCTGAAAGCAGGCTGGAAAACTTAAGTTGAATCAAAAACTATAGTTGTTTCAGTTCTGGCTAAGACGAAATAACAGGGACTGAATTTTGTCCTCCTGTCTGAAATAAACAAGGACAAAACAACACATGAAAGAACAGTTTTCAAGACATTGACTATCAGCAAAACAACAGATATCAGTGTGGCAATGCCTGAGAGATGCAGAACAAGTGAGGGGAGCTGTACAATTACCCCAGCTTGCTACCTTTAGAACATTTCCAGACCATGGAGCAAGAAGGAGGATATCAGGCGGAGACCAGCAAACTTCCCTAGTTTAGGGTACAGAGCTAAAAGCCTTGGGAGACAATGCAGCTAGAGTTCCAAAGACAGAGAGAAGAGAGATGAACAGAGAGAGAACTCTAAAGTCAGCCAAGATCCCCTTGTGTATTCAACAAAATATTGATCAGCACCATGCACTGAGAAAATTACTCAAGTATAGAAAAAGAACCCCCAGAAAAGATTAGAGAGAACAGTATCTAGTGTTCACATAGGGGCAAGAATACTGCCTGTTCTCACTAGCAAGACTGGAAAACATCATTATGCACCAGCATTAGGTAGAGCACTCACAAAGGGCTTGCCTAACTGGTAGGGAATAATTAACTCTAGACTGAACACAGCTTTGGTCTCACCTAACAAATATGAAAAGCAATAACCTAAAAGATCAAACTGTTGCCAAGTAACTGAACTGTATCACAGAACAAGGCTCAAAAATATTTACAGAAATACAAAAATATCCAGCACCCAACAATGGATAAAGAAGTTTAACTCATAGTGATAAAGAGGCAAATACATGATAATCCTAAATTTTTATGTTCCAGAAAACAGAACTTCAAAAAGCAAGAAGCAAAAACTGATAGAACTTCAAGAAGAAATAGACAAAGCCACAATTGATTGTGGCAGATTTTAATATCCTCTCTCTCAACAATTGATAGAACAAGGAGACAGAAAATTAGTAAGGGATATACAAAACTTGAACGACACTGTTAACCAACATGATCTAATTGGTATTTATAGAATACTCTCCACCTAACAATAGCACAATACACATTATTTTGAAGTGTAAATGAAATATTTACCAAGATAGATTATATTCTGAGACATAAATTAATTCTCAATAAACTTAAAAGGATTAAGTTCATAGAAAGTACATCTTCTGGTCAAAATGGAATTAAATTATAAATCAGTAACAGAAAGATCTCTGAAAAATCACTAAATATTTGAAAAGTGAACAACATACTTCCAAATAACCCACAGGTCAAAGAAGAAATCAAAAGTGCAATTAGGAAGTATTTGAAGTGTAAGTAAATGAAAACACAACATATCAAAAGCTGTAGATGCTGCTAAAGCTGTACTTAGGGGAAAATTTATAGCACTGAATGCCTGTATTAGAAGAAAAGGAATGTCTCAACTCAGTGAGCTCAGCTTCCACACTAAGAAACTAAAAATGGCAAAGAAATTAAGCCAAATAAAAGCAGAATAAAGGAAATAATAATTATCTACGTGAATATCAATGAAAAAGAAAACAAATGCAACATAGAAAAAAATGAGTGAAGTTAAAAGCTCATTCTTTGAGCAGACCAATAAACCTCTTGCCAGACCCCCCCCCAAAAAAAGGCAAAAACTTCTTGCTTATTTTTTATCAGTAAAAGAGACAGAAAAAGAGAGAAAGGGAGATACAAATTAGCAATTACAGGAATGAAAGAGGTAAAATCACTACAAATTCTACAGTTAATAAAAATATTTACAGAGTATATTAGGAACATCTTTTTGACAATAGATTTTACAACTTAGGTAAAATAGACAAAATCTTTGAATGACAAAAACTACCAAAGCTCACTCAGGAAGAAATAGATAGTCTGAATAGTTTCATATATATCAAAAAAATTAATTTGTAGTTAAAAACTGTCCCATAAAGAAACTCCAAGCCCAGATGGCTTCACTGGTGAAAACATTAAAGAAAGAAATAACAAGAAATGAAGCAAGGAATAAAAACTTACCAACTAATTCCATGAGGTCCGCATTACCCTAATACTAAAAGCAAACAAAGATATTACAAGAAAAGAAAACTCCAGACTAATAGATCTCATTAATATAGATACAAACATTTCAAACAAAATTTTAGAAAATCAAATCCAACAATATGCAGAAAGGATAATATACCATAACTTAGTAGGGTCTATCCCAGAAGGGCAAGTTTGGTTTAACATTTTTAAAAAATCAACATAATTTATTATACTAACAAACCAAAAAGAAAAACTATGTGATCATTTCAATTGGTGCATAAAAAACATTTGACAAAACTAAACACCCATTCCTAGTAAAAACTCTTGGCAAACTAGGAATAGACAGGCAATTCTTTAATGTAATAAAAGGCAGATATGAAAAATCTACAACTATAATCATACTTAATTGTGAAAGACTGAATTTTTTGCATAATATTGACAGTAAGACAAAGATATTCATTCTCACTACTTCTGTTCAACACTTTTCTAAAGATTCTAGCTAGTTCAATAAGGCAAAAAGAATAAAAACATCCAGATGGAAAAAGAATTAAAACTGTATTTATTCACAGATAACATGAACATCTAGGTAGAAAATTCAATGGATTCCACCAAAAAAAGCTATTAGATCTAACGAGTGAATTTAGAAAATTTTCAGACTATAAGCTCAATATATACTAGCAACAAACAATCAGAATTTGAAATTTAAAAACCAATGCCACTTAGAATAACATCAAAAAATATTAACTACTTAGGAATAAATCTCACAGAAGATGTGAAAGACCTATACAATTAAAACTAAAAAAAAAATACTGAGAGAAATTAAAGATAACCTAATTAAATAGAGTGATACACTGTGTTGATGAAACAGAGGACTCAAGATTGTTAAGATGTTAAATCTCCCAAATAGATTTATCGACTCAGTGTAATCTCAATCAAATCCCAGCAGGCTTTTTTGAATAAAATAAACTGATTATAAAAATTCATATAGAAATGCAAAGGACCAATAATAACCAAAACAATGTTGAAAAAGAACAAAGTGGAGAACTAAAATTACCTAATTTCAAGACTTATTATAAAGCTACAACAATCAAGTCAATGTGTATAGACCTCAATGTACACAACTATATCAAAAGAACACAATAGAGAATCCAAAAATAGACGCATATATATATATATATATATATATATATATATATATATGGACAATTATTTTCAACAAACGCAGAAGAGCAATTCAATGGAGAGAGATTTACCTTTCCAAAATAGTGTTAAAATGATTGGATAACTATATGCAAAAAAATGCATTATATACAAAAATAACTTCAAAACGGATTATAGGCCTAAATTTAAAACCTAAAACTATAAACTTCTAGAATAAAACACAGGAGAAAATCTTTGTGATCTTGGGTGAGGCAATGATTTCTTATATATGACACAAAAATCCCAATCCATAAGAAAATCATAAATTTGTATTTCATCAAAATTAAAACTCTTATTCTTCAAAGGATACTGTTAAGAGAATCAAAAGACAAGATACAGACTGGGAGAAAATCTTTACAAAGCATATATCTGATAAAGGACTTGTCTCCAAAATATGTAAAGAACTCTCAAAACTCTGTAATAAGAAAACAGCCCAGTTTGTTTTTACATGAGCTAAAGGTTTGAAAAGCTATTTCAATAAAGAAGATACACAGATGGCAAGTAAAAGGTGCTCAACATCATTTGTCTTTAGAGAAATGTATATCTAAATTACAATTAGACACTCTCACATACCTACTAGAATGGCTAAAGTTAGAAACACTGACCATAGCAAGTATTGATGAGGATGAGCAAGTATTGAAAAGGATGCAAAGCCAATGAAACTCTCATATACTGCAGGTGAGAATGTGAGATGGTATAACCCTTTGAAAAACAATTTAGGATTTCATAGTTAACATATACCTACTATATGATCCAGCCATTCCTCTCCTAGGGGTTTACCCTAGAGAAATAAAAGCATATGTCCATACAAAGATTTGTAAACATTTGTTTACAACAATTTTATTTTTAAAAGCCCAAAGTGAAAACAACCCAAATGTCCATCAATAGGTAAATGAATAAACAATTTGTTGCTACATCTATACAAGACTACTCAATAATAAGAATGAATGATTGACACGACATTGATAAATATCAAAATAACTATGAGTTGAAGAAGACAGTCAAAAAATACACACTGTTTGATTCTATTTGTATAAATTTTAGAAAATGCAAACCAATTTATAATGACATAAAGTCTTTCAGTGGTTGCCTGTGGACAACAGGAGTGTGTGAGGGCAGGTAGATGAATAGATTACAACCCTTTGGGAAAACTTCTGGAGGTGATGAATATACTCATTTTTTTATTTGGGTGATGGTTTCACAGGAGTATGCATGCACCTGCACCCTCACTTATCAAATTGTACATGCTAAAAATGTGCAATTTATTGTGTGTCAATTATATCCCAATAAAGCTGTTAAAAACACAAGTTATAAAAGTACAAGGGACCAGCAACATTTTAAAGAGATAGTATACTTTTGTTTTTGTTTTATTTTATTTTGTTATCTTGGCGTAGTGGGGAGCTTTTAAATGGGGACTGGAGATAGAAAACTTATACTTCAAAAGAAAAACAATAGTATACCTGTTGTTAGCTGTACTTGAATTTTTGGTTTTGTTTTTTTTTTTTTCTGCGGTTTGAACTAAATCCTAAATTCTTTGTGGGTTACAAGTCCCCAAACTAATGCTTTCAAATTTTTACTTTTATTTTATTTCATTTTATTTTATTTTTTTATTTTTTAATTTTATTATTATTATACTTTAAGTTTTACGGTACACGTGCACAACGTGCAGGTTTGTTACATATGTGTACATGTGCCATGTTGGTGTGCTGCACCCATTAACTCGTCATTTAGCATTAGGTATATCTCCTAATGCTATCCCTCCCCCCTCCCCCCACCCCACAACAGTCCCTGGTGTGTGATATTCCCCTTCCTGAAGCTGGAAACCATCATTCTCAGCAAACTATCGCAAGGACAGAAAACCAAACACCGCATGTTCTCACTCATAGGTGGGAATTGAACAATGAGAACACATGGACACAGGAAGGGGAAATTTTTACTTTTAAAACTGGGAGTTGCACTCCTTATCCTAGCACTCAGTATTTACCTTATAGTACACTGTTCCCCTAAATGCGATACTGAAACTACAGATGACAATACTAACGGCTTTGCCATGCAAGCCTTGGAACCCCAGCCAGGCCTGCATGAGTACACTCAGGCAGCTGCAAAGTGGTTTCACTCCTTTCACCTTGGGGTCAACACCTACCCCCACTACACCCCTGATCAGCAGGAAGAAATTAGAGCAGTCTTCACCCTTTTTCCATCTTCATTAGCCAACACCCTAAGATTAAGGTGTTATAAAACCTAAAAGGAGGGATTGAAACCGCTTTTGCAAAATTATGACTGACACAGTGAAGGAGATCTAACTTAACTGACTCCATTTTGCTTCTAATCTCTAAGCTGTCCTTGTTCATTCCTGGGCATAAGCTGAACTAACTTTGGGAGGAACTTAGTTTATACCTTAAAACAAACACAATAACAGCACTTTCCCAAAACAAACCTCCTTCCTGCCTGGGTACTAGACTACTAACATTAGCCACAGGATTAGAAATTATGGTTTAGGATTCATGCAGCTGGAGGCTACAAGGTTCTGACCCTCCCTAAACTCCTAAGATCAGGCCTTGAGATGTTTTGCAGACCTTGCATTTGATAGATCAGCTGACACCACCCAGACTGATAAACTGGCTCATCTGATCTTGTGACCTCCCCCCCAACCCAGGAAATGACTCAGCACAAGAAGGCAGTGACACACTATGATTTCATCTCCAACCCAACCAATCAGCACTCCCAGACTCACTGCCCCTCCCCAGCCACTAAATTGTATTTAAAAACTCTGATCCCCGAATGGGGAAGACTGATTTGAGTAATAATAAAACTCTGGTCTCCCGCAAACAAATAAATAAATAAATAAAAAGATACTGCTGTAAAAGAGTGAGGGAATCATGAAAGTGTTTTCAGAGAGTGGGGGGAAAAAGCAAGTGCCTCAGAGCTAGACGAAAGGAAAACAGGGATTGGAGGAGATAAGTATAGGCAGGCTCCAAGCAGTAAAACCCAACCTCCTCAGTTTCATCTGGAGCCGTAGAATGAGATGGCATTAGGAAGTCACAAGGAATGGGCGTTATCTGATGGCTGTTCAGGGAAAGGGAGATCAGTCAAGTTTTTGCCATTGCTTCTCACAGCTTAACAAGAGTCCCCATTGTCTACAGTGACACAGAAAAGCTACCAGGAGCTTAGTAGACCCTGGAGGACTTCATAATCCAACTTCCCCTAAAATCCAAGAACTTCAGGAAAACTCCAAGAGGAAACAAAGCTTTACAAATTTTCTGGATGACTTAGATCAGTGGTCTCCAAATAATTTTGATTGCAATCTGCTTTAGGTAAAAAAGAATCTGAGCATGTGCCCTCTAACTAGGGTCACTCACTACAAGATTACATCCCTGTATGCTGTTATATCCATATAACATGTTGATTTGTTTTAAACAGCATCAAAAATAGAAACAGTACAAGTATAAGATAAAAACAAATAAAAATCAGAATTATAATATTCTTCCTACCCTCCATATTCCCTTGCTTACTGGGTGACTACATCTCACTTTGGGGACCACTGAGTTAGATAAAGCATTCTAATTATGTACAGCGGACAAGAATAATCAGACTCAGACCCAGTAGGTTGTGTCAATATTAGGAAGGATAGAAATACTTGTGATAGGAAAACATTGGAAACAATTGGTCTATTCAAAGATGAATAACCAGTCAAATTTATATCCATTTGTCAGACAATTAAGCAACCATTTAAAATAATATTTCCAAAGAATATTCCTTGGCACAGAAAATTTTTCATGGTGTGGTATTACATGAAAAAAAATGAATAATAGAAAGATTCCAATTTTATAAAATAAAAAAGTATCAATGTGTCATAGAAAAAACTGGGCAGAAATGTATTGAGGTGTGGCTGAATTGTGGCTAATTTTACATTTCTATCTGATCTTTTCTGTACTTTCCAAATGCTCTACAATGAAAATTTTCCACTACATAATTATAAAAACACAATAATTTGGTAAAGAAAGCATTGCAAATAAGTCCACCAGGCAGTAAAGATCAGTGACTCTGAGGACGCACCTACAAATCTAGTGAGACATTAAAAGGGTTAGAAATAAAATTTTAAAAACAAAAAATCAAAACTCTAAGCATAATGTAAAGGAATCTGGGCTCGCAGCAATACTCAGGATACGCATTCACCCCGACCCTCTACAGACATCCACCCTGCATGTGCTGGTCATGTCACAGGCTCTAGGTGAGGCCCTGGGATGTAAAGATGCTTCCGATGCAAGCGCCCTGCCCTAGAGTATTTCAGTCAGTTGTCTTGTGTTCTCATGCTGTGTTATCAGAAACAAAAAGCAAAAATACTTTCTTCCCTTATGCAAAGCCGCTTTTTGTTTTTCTGTTAAACAAAGCAGTTAAGAGATGTTCTCGCCACCACAACCCGGAAAGGTACAACTACTAGAGATTCTGAGAAAGACAAATAAAATGGGAATATCAGACAAGGGGAAAGGTTAGAGTCTTCAGTCTGAAGGCCAAGAGGAGAAGACATCTGCATCCAAGAACCAGCCAGGGCACGGTGGCTCACGTCTGTAATCCCAACACTCTGGGAGGCTGAGGCGGGTGGATCATGAGGTCAAGAGATCGAGACCATCCTGGCCAACATGGTGAAACCCCGTCTGTATTAAAAATACAAAAATTAGCTGGGTGTGATGTGCACGCCTGTAGTCCCAGCTACTCGGGAGGCTGAGGCAGGAGAATCACTTGAACCCGGGAAGCGGAGGTTGCAGTGAGCCGAGATCCTGCCACTGCACTCCAGCCTGGGCGACAGAACGAGACTCCATCTCAAAAAACAAAACAAAACAAACAAACAAAAAAGAAAAAACAAGAACCTTGAGGTTTCATGAGGCACGGATTTACTCACCAGATTCCAAAACTCTGTGACTAGGGGATATCCTGTGAAATGTGATCCAGGTTTAGTTCCAGACATAAAAGGAAGCAATTTCTCTCACAGTGAGTAATAAACGGATTGAAACTTATTGGAATTCATCACCCCCAAGAGGTGGTGCTGGCAGGAAATACAAATGCCTTCCAAAAAGGTTCAGACAAATTTAGGAGTGACAGAATTGCGAATGACCTCCCTTGCTCACTTCCTCTTGCTCTCTGTCTCTAAAGCAGGCATGGTCTTTAGAGGCTGGGCTGGTGTTTGCTCTAAAGGATTTCCCCTAGTGGCCAGGCAAGGTCAGGATCCCCATTCCATGCTCCCACAGCATCCCGTATTTAACTCATCATAGCTCTGACCACACTGTATTACAATTCCTCCTTGATATGCCTGAGCTCTGTGAGGATGTGACAGAGGCAGAGCCAGTACTGAGTAGGTGCTCAATAAATGTGGGTTGAAAGAAAGAGTGTGTGACCCTACCTGTCCTGTCCCCAAGCCTGGGAGGTATACCAAGCACTGCATTTAATCAAGACTAAATTTTGAGAGCTTCCGACACTGGCAGGAATGCTGATTACTCTCTGGTCCTCACTTGCCACTGCTCCCGACTCCAAAACCATACATTCCCGGAGCAGAAAATCTGGTAGAATGGCAGGGAGCACTGGCTGCTTAGGATACACTCTCAGAGCAAGGGCCCCAAGTAGTCACACAAGAATATCTTATCTGAGGAAATGGTTCTTAAAAGCTCCTGGGCGGCTAATATCTTTTATCCCCCCTCCTCTTATCGTCCCCCAGACTTGCTCAACAGACAGTTCTGTTGTCCAGTGTTGTGGGCTTCTGAGCTTTCATCTGCAAATCAATTCCCTGGAAATTTCACAATAAAGTACACTGAGCTCTGTTATATCAAGGACACAGTCTCCTATATCTCCTCTAAAACCTTGTTTCATAACATTAATCTTATCCAGAAGTGTGCCAAGATTCTTCAGATTGAGGGCATGGGGATTTTAATTTATTTTTCCATTAATGATCAGCATCCATGCTAAACCTGTAAATATTACTTCTATTAATGCAGTGCAATGCTAATTTTTAATCCAAATAAACAGAGTGAGCAATTCAGGGACACAACTTGCCCCAATAGGGCTTTTGCAAATCTGCGTTTGGCTTAGGAGACAAAAGAGGGGAATACTTTGTATTCTGGGAAGTTGCAGTGGTCAGCTAGGATTCAGTTTCCTCATTCTTAAGATTTCTCCAGGATATATGGGAAGGGGAGGAAAAATAAATCAAAAGTACAGATCATAATATCACACAGCTGTTAAAGCTGAAAAGGATTTTAAGGACTTTCTACTCAAAAGCCTTTTTTTTACAGGTATGAAATGTAGTCACAGATGAGGATGTATGGCCCATGAGTAACTGTACAAAGTCCAGAAATGGCAACCTCCTTCAGGTTCTCAGAAATGGGATGGAGTGACCACAGTGGCAGAGCACTCTGTTGCTGAGTTTGTAATTATCATTCAGGTGCCAGTGCCCACCAGGGTCATCATATGCCACAGGTTCTCCCAGTCAGTGCTCATTTGAAATATTCTATTACATAGGTCCCATAAATGTAGTTTAAAATGTCAGATATTTACTCTGATTTAGGGTTCCCAAAATACACTCTCTAGAATTACACAAAACCTATAGAGGTAAAAAGTTAGGTCCTGCTGGGAGTCCCAGGAGCCTAGACCTAGACCCTGCCAGGACTCAGATCCAAGGCATGGTGAGCCCAGGTCTGGAAGTGCTCCAGATGTTCCGGGCCTCCAACACAAGAAGGAAAAGACACAGAGAAACTCAAGATAAAGTGGTTGCCCATAATTATCAGTCTAGAGGCCATGGGAACTGATGTTTCTAGGCAGTCAGGTGGGAGGAGAAATAAAGGTCACAATCACTCCCTGAGCGGTCTCCACAAGTGGCATTTCTCAACAGTTTTCAAGATAACAAGTTGATGTGATGGTTATAAAGACTATGATAGGAAAAAGCATTATGGAAAGCAGATGTGAAATACAGGAATGGACTGTCACTAGTCATACTGTAAGTCTCTATGGCAGATGGACTTCAAGTGACAGCTGCTTTCTGTGCTCACCCTCCTACCACCCAACAATTCCATCTCTGCCCTGTGAGACCTGGGTTATCCTTCTGGAGCTGAGGTAGGAGCAGGGGAGAAAACATGCTGATATGATGGGGATCTGCATTCCAAAAGATCTCTGTTCTCTATTGAGCTAGATAAGGTAAAGGCCAAACCAGGGGACAAAAGTACTCCACCTTGCAGTCAGGCAGTGATTCCTTCAAAGAAGACTCAAATGACACACTTGCTGAAACTCTGCACATGGTGCTCAATGCCCTGAAAGTCTGGCCTGCTGGGAGAAGACACGAACCACGATAGGGTTCATAAGCTGATGTTTGTGGATCTGACTTGCAGTCCACTTGTCCCCTTGAGAACAACAGTTTCAAAGTATGGCTGAATGTCCCTTGGCTTGGGATTGCAGACTGCTGAAGGATAATGAGAGGAATAACAAGATCAGGCAATAGCTGGACAGGGTAGGTCCAGGCCAGAGTCTCTGCCATCCAACACCCTGGACCACAGAGGGCTTTCCTTCCACTGGGCTTAGGCATGTGACACTTAGGTAAATATTGACACACTTCACAAGGAAGAACAAATACAATTTTTATTAATTATATATTTAAAGTTCAGTTTATTCAGACATCTACTCTTTTTTTCATTGTGTTTAATTTTGGGGGTGTTAATGGTGGTAGTGGAACCCTTTTGATTACAAACTGAGATAAACCACCTGTCATTAAGAGATCTGAGATCTGTTTGTTATTGCTCATTTGCAGGAAGCAGCAAGACCTTGAGAACAGGAGCAAAAACTACAGTAGGACCGAGACAGCTATTATGCAACACACTATTTCAGGCGGACACAGAAAGCTCCTCTTTCAGAAAAGGAACTAAGGGAGGAAATGAAAAAGGAAAAACTCATGGAGTCCACCTTTTGCCATATTTTCACACTTTCTGGACTGTACATAAGTTTCCACTTTTTCCGATGCTTCTGTAACTTGAAGAAAATAATCTCATAAGCTCTAGGATCTGGCTTTGGAAGGAAAGGTGGAGAGAAACAGACTAGACTGTGATCAGGTAACCAAAAATATGTGATTTCTAACCTCTGTCAGCATTTTGGACTGTGAATGTATGGAGACCCTGAATAGATGACCCTCTGCTTAGCGGACACTTCAATGGGTGTTTGGATATAGGAACCTGGGTGAAGAGCTTGGTTTGGGTTGAAGAGGGGAAATGAACTGCTCTGTTTAAGAAAGTGATAGGAAGATAAAGATAAATTGAGTCCAAGCACAGACTTAACAAGGAGTACTGAGCTACCATAATCCCAGTTCAGGGGAGCTGAGGCCGTCCATGCCTACTGGGGAGTCCTCCATATTCCTCCAACTCCACATTCCCAAAGGCTACAATCCTGTTGATCCTGTCCCCCCATACATACACTTTCTCTCTATCTCTCTCTTTCTCTCTCTCTGTTTCCCCTCTCTTTCTTTCTCTCCACCACCCCCACCCAGGGTTCCTCATGGAAATCAAGTGCCCTCTTGCTTTAAGTAGCAGCCAGAGTATCCAAGCTACTAATCCCCCACCACAGACACCCACTACTCCCTACTCCCCTCCATACTTACCACAGACAAGTCTTCTGTGAATTTCTAGGTTTCTGGAATGCAGGGTCGGGACTGGAAGAGAAGATGAAGAGGATGGAGAAAGCTCATAGACACACAAGCCAGCAATCATCCCTCTTCTTTCTACACCAATTATGGATCTGTGCTTTCCTGTCTACTAATCTCACCAGCCTGGCTCTGTATCCCACATTTGATGCCTTATCGTGCTATTGTGTGAGGCAAATAACTCTATTGCCCAAGCCTAAGACTCTCCCTATTACTTGGTCCTAAGCGATGAGGAAAAATGGAAAAAGGCCACTGTGGGCTAGTAAGATTGCCTTCTAAATTTTCAGTTGAACTTCTGGCTCCCAGGTTCAGAAGGACAGTAACTATGGAAAATGAGGAACACTTGGAGCTAAATGTAAAAGATAAATTTAAGATTAATAAAATATGATATTTCCTTGTATTTATAATAGTGGTGGTTGAGGTAAAAAAGGCATATGAAGATTGTTGATCCATTTTTAAAAATGGCAGCTTAGTAGAGGGTTTTGGGAGTGGGGAAACTATTTTCCCAAAAGGGCCTTGTATTGCTTAGACTTACTACAGAGTCTGCTGGGAAATGGAGTCCATTTGTCTAATAACCATATGCCTGCCCTATCTGCATTCCTCAAGTCATTATGATGTATCAGGTACTACTTTCTTTCTCCAGATGCTAATCCCAATAAAGCTATTTCTTCTGGGGAAAAAAATAAATGAATAGCTGGGAGTTTGTGGTTTGTGACTTGAGAGCCAGAAAATGGAATAGAAGTCTCAGAAGGAAGAAAGAAGGCAGCACGGCAGACCTATTGGGGATTGTGGCTAATTTTAGAATTGTGGCATTAGTTATAATGCCTCTTATTCAATTTTAAGTGATTGCCTATAAGCTCTACCCATTATCCATAGACAGTCCTTAAGTAAAAGTCTCCGGTGCACACAAAATGTGTTAGTGTTAACTTGGGATAGATTTAAGGAATTGGGGAGGTCTTCAGCTTGAAGCAAAGATGTATGGAAAATTAATAGTGGTCAAAGTAGGAAAGGCACAGGCAAAAATCCAAAATTCAGGAAAGCAAAATATTAAATTAAAAGCTAAGTAGGAGAAACACCAGCTTCCAAATAAACTTTAATATGAAGTTACTGGTTGTTATAGACTGAAGTCCTTCTAAAATTCATTTGTTGAAATCCTAACCCCTAATGAGATGGTAATAGGAAATGTGACCTTTGGGAAAAATCAGTGTTCATATTTCTTTGTTGTCTTTCTTCTGATCTTTTACAGTTTGATTCAATTCAGATACAAATAAGGTCCACATATTATAATTGTTGATATCTAGCCTAAGTATCTTTTAACCTAAAGGTTCCCCTTTCCTCTCTCTCTCGTCTTTTCTTTGTAATTTAGTTGATAAGTAAACTGGATTGTTTTTCCTAAAGGGTTTTCCACTGTCTGGATTTTGCTAATTAGATCCCATGGTTTCATTTGATGAGTTCCTCTGTTCCTCTAAATTGCTAGAGCTAAGGGCTTGATTAGATTCAAGTTTGTTTGTTTTCTTGTTTCTGTTCTTTTTTTTTTTTTTTTTTGGCAAAACCACTTCACTGGTGGAGTTGTGTACTTTCTTCAGGAGATCCATAATGCCCACGTGTCTCTGTGTTGTTAGCAGTATTGATGATCATTGCATAGATCCAACAATTCATTCATGGTTACCAAATATATTAATGTTCTAATTATATCACTTCTTCTTCACTTAGTATTATCTGTATAATAATATAAAGAAGAACTTTCCTTTATCATTAATTTGCTTACTCTGAGGTATAGCTCTTGTAGAAAGGAAAGATAATTCCTGGATAATTTCCTTGTATTTACCAGTTTTCAGAATAATAAATTTATTTCCTAATTTTCTATCAGTTACTACTGAGTTTCTTCTTTACTGTTACTTTTTAGCCACCTCATGAATTTATGAATTCAAATATATTTGATATGATATCAATCCATTAAACTGTATCTGTATCAGTGGCCAAATCATTCCATTTTTGGATAGTGGTAGCCTTTTCAATTTGGAATCTGAGTCTTTGACAAAACCTTAGTAGTCTTTCATTAATTATCTCCTTGATTTTTAGTATAATATGATACTTAAGGCTTGCCTTGTTCATTTCCTGTTTCAGAGCTGAAATAAGCCGTTTTTTGTAAAGAACAGTCCTTTTCAGGGAAATACTTGGAGACCATAGTGTGGATACTAGGGGTGCTCATTGCTTCTGGGTTGAAGCACATCAAAATATTAATCTACCACAATCAAGTAGGCTTCACCCCCAGGATACAAGGTTGGTTGAACATACGAAAATCAATAAATGTGATTCACCACATGAACGGAACTAAAGACAAAAACCACTTGATTATCTCAATAGATGCAGAAAAGGTTTTTGATAAAATTCAACATCCCTTCATGTTAAAAACTCTGTATAAACTAGATATTAAAGAAACATACCTCAAACTAATAAGAGCCATCTATGTCAAATCCACAGCCAACATCATACTGAATGGGCAAAAGCTGGAAGTATTCACCTTGAAAACCAGCACAAGACAAGGAAGCCCTTTCTCATCACTCCTATTCAACATGGTATTGAAAGTCCTAGCCAGAGCAATCAGGCAAGAGAAAGAAATAAAGGGCACCCAAATAGGAAGAGAGGAAGTTAAACTATCCCTGTTTGCGTGATATGATTCTACATCTAGAAAACCTGATAGGCTCAGCCCAAAAGCTTCTTTAGCTGATGAACAACTTCAGTAAAATTTCATGATAGAAAATCAATGTGCAAAAATCACTAGCATTCCTGTATACCATCCACAGTCAAGCTGAGAGCCAAATCAGGATAGCAATCCCATTCACAACTGCCACAAAAAGAATAAAATGCCTAGGAATACAGCTAACCAGAGAAGCGAAAGATCTCTACAGTGAGAATCGTAAAACACTGCTCAAAGAAATCAGAGAAGACACAAAAAAATGGAAAAACATTTCATGCTCACAGATAGGAAGAATCAATTTCATTAAAATGGCCACCCTGCCCAAAGCAATGTATACATTCAATGCTATTCCTATCAAACTACTAACAGAATTATTCATAGAATAATAAAAAACTATTTTAAAATTCATATGAAACCAGAAAAGAGCCCAAATAGTCAAGGTAAACCGAAGCAAAAGAACAAAAGCTGGAGGCATCACGTTACCCAACTTCAAACTATACTACAAGGCTACAGTAACCAAAACAGCATGGCACTGGTACAAAAACAGGTACATAGACGAATGGAACAAAATAGAGAACCCAGAAGTAAAGTTGCACACCTATGACCATCTGATCTTCAACAAAGCTGACAAAAACAAGCAATAAGGGAAAGACTCCCTTCTCAATAAATGCTGCTGGAGTAACTGGTTAGCCATATGCAGAAGATCGAGGCTGGACTCCTCCCTTATGCCATATATAAAAATCAACTCAAGATGGAATAAAAACTTAAATGTAAAACCCAAAACTATAAAAACCCTGGAAGACAACCTAGGCAATACCATCCTGGACATAGGAACTAGCAAATATTTCATGACAAAGACACCAAAAGCAATTGCAACAGAAGCAAAAATTGACAAGTGGGATCTAATTAAGCTTAGGAGCTTCTGCACAGCAAAAGAAACTATCAACACAGTAAACAGACAACCTACAGAATTGGAGAAAATATTTGCAAACTATGCATCTGACAAAGGTCTAATATCCAGCATCCATAAGGGACTAAAACAAATTAACAAGAGAAAAACAAACAACCCCTTTAAAGAAGTAAGCAAAGGGCATGAACAGACACTTTCCAAAAGAAGACATACATGTGGCCAACAAC